>NC_000014.9:33854137-34157167 GCF_000001405.40 Homo sapiens
TCTACATATATATATAAATATATATATTCTACATATATATATAAATATATATATTCTACATATATATATAAATATATATATTCTACATATATATATATATATATAGAGAGAGAGAGAGAGAGAGAGAGAGAGAGAGAGAGAGAGAGAGAGAGAGAGAGAGTGTCTTGCTCTGTTGCCCAAGTTGGAGTGCAGTAGCATGATCTCGGCTCGCTGCAACCTCTGCCTCCCAGGTTCAAGCAATTCTCCTTTCTCAGCCTCCCGAGCAGCTGGGATTACAGGTGCACACCACCACACCCAGCTAATTTTTTATTTTTAGTAGAGACGGGGTTGCACCATGTTTGCCAGGTTGGTCTTGAACTCCTGACCTCAGGTGATCCACCTGCCTCAGCCTCTCAAAGTCCTGGGATTACAGGCGTGAGCCACCACGCCCAGCCTAGGAAATTCTATATTTTTATACAAAATCTAGTATTATGCCTAGCTCACAGCATTCCCATAATATGAATTTGTGACTAAATAAACAGACTGGGTTTTGGAAGTACAGTTGTCATTAACAAAACCCATGTAGGTTCCCTGAATCCCAATGTAGTTTTTCTATGCACTTGTCCTTAACACGGAGTTTCTCTCTTTAAAGTTTTGTCAAAACTCTTATAATTGCTTTGCCCATCTCAACCTTTGGATATAAGCCTAATTTTAGAATATAAGCTCAGAAGCCATATTTTTTGTATGTTAAACACTCCTACCTATAAAGTGACATTATAGTTAATGTTTATTTTTCATAAATAAACATGTCAGGGGCCAAGTTTTGCAAATATTATCTAGAAGCCTGTATGCCATAGAAAGTGAGAAGGCTCATGGAGATACTATTTCACAGATTTGGTCAAAGTGTAAATCAATTGGAGAGGGGAGGAGGAAAGGTGGGACTTTTACTCCAGCTTGTTAGCTCATTCGCACTTTCCTTGGTGATTTATATGGTTTTAGACCACCACCTGACTTCCCAATGAGGAGACATATGTGAAAGCCTTTGCAATGCGCAATGAAAAGCTGTGCTATACAGACAGTCTCCTGAGCTACCATTCTCAGATGCAAAATAAGTGGAGAGAAAATCCAGACTTGACCTTCCACACTGGATGTTTAATACATTAAATCTTCTGCCCAAACGTTTAATGTGTTGTTTCCTTCTGGGCATGTGCCAGTTAAACATCTATTACATAGAACCCATGTAATGCCAATTGGTTCAGTCCCATTGCTACCTTAGAAATCAATAGATTAATATAGTTTGCTGGAGTGTCAGGTAGTGAGCAGCAGCATATGCAGTTGTATGACATGTCTTACAAATTTAAAAAGGCTTAGAAACCATTATGCTTCTGTGGCTCCTGGGAAATCAAGCAAATTGAAAACTTGCATTCATGTGTGGCAGAAATAGTCTGTGTGTATCAAATTCCATCTAAAACTAAAAAGACTTTCAATTCTCTTCCCCATTCCAGAGTTCTAGCAAAGTAAGATATTTCTTCACATTTTGTTGAGGTACACAAAACAAAACAAAAGGCTTTGCCTACATAAAGTTTACAGTCTAGAAGGAGAGACGTAAGAGACTCTGCTAACTAGATTTTGAGAAATCTGGAATGTTAAATGTGATGGTAGGCTGGAAAATATCCCCCTGATCAATCCACCTCCTAATCTCTGCAACCTGTGAGTATTTCCTTATATGGCAAAAAGAGACTGCAGATGGGATTAACTAAAGGATCTTGAGTAGGAGCTTATCCTGGTGGGCATTGAAGACAATTGCATGTATAAGGATACATGCTCTCCTTATCAGGGGGAGGCCGCGGGATATTTGGCACTCACAGAAGAGATGGCAGTATTACCACCACAGAGACAGAGTAACACAGCCACAAGCCATGGATTGCTGGCAGCCACCAAAAACTGGAAGAGCAAGGAAGGAAATCTTCCTTAGAGCCTCAAGTGGGAGCATGGTCCTGCCCATACTTAGAGAAACTGATTTTGAACTTCTGGCATCCATAACTGTGAGAGAATAAATTTATGTTGTCTTAAGCCACCAAGCTCATGGTGATTTGTTACAGCAGCCACGGGAAACTAATGCAAGTACTGTGAAGAAAATAATGGAGGAAGAGAGAGGGGCAGCTGTGTTGAATGGGAATAGCCAGGGAGAGTGTCTGAGGAGATGGCATGAGCCCTCAGGGCTAACGGCGGGGAGTGGCCAAGTAAGAAGACTGAGAATCCACTACTGGTTTTGGTAAAAGGAAGATGTGGCTCTCCTTGATAGAGACAATTTCAGTGGAAAGGTAAGACCTATTTGGAATAGGTTCAATAGAGAATAGAAGATGAACCGGACACAGAATTGAAAACACTTTTGAGTAGTTTTACTCAAAGAGGAGGGCCGAGAAAAGGGATAGTAACTAGAGATAAACACTGGGTCAAAAGCCTATTTACATCCTATGTTTAATTTAATTCTCACAGTGATCCTGAAAGATCCTGCTCCATCTAGACTAAGGCTTACAGAGGTTCTATGACCTGCCTAGAAGTCATATAGAAGGAAAGAGACCAAGCAAAACGTCAAACTCGTTTTTTCTTAAAACTCTTGCTACAAAATTCTTTCTGCTGTAATAGTGAAAAAGCTAAAAGTGATTTATACCTGGATGAAGGTAGTCTGTGAGTGGGTAGATCACTGTGACCCCCGAGCCACTGTAAACCACAAAGACTCCGGCTCACAGCACCAGCTCCACCTCTGGAAGTCCCAGCGGGGACACATGAGAAATTCTCAACCAGTAACTTGGTCGGTAAATACAGGCTCAAAGAATGAATGAAAAATAAGATTCTCTCTTCATAGACTGCATGAGAAGTACAAGGATTCTTAGTGAAGAGAATATTGCTGTTAATGATGAAAAAAGAAAATATTTTGATTATAAATGTTAACTGACTAGACAGAATAGACAAGTGAAAGCTGTGTAGCATGTTTCAATGTTAAACAAGAGTGACTATTTTAAGAGGACCTCCAATACAGCTAGACTGAAGAGAAATAAGAGTACTAATTTAACAGTGAAAATCAATCACAAACATCCAGTGGGTGTTTTCATCACTTTGCCTTTGAATTCAGCTGGATTGGCAGGATTCTGAAGTCATCCTTGAAACACTGAAGGCTCATAGTAAGCACTTAGGGCTCATATTTAACAGTTGATCTTTATGAAGTGTGGATGACAGTTCCTTCTTCCCAGGGTTGTTGGATTAAATAGGATAAATATGTACAGACAGCCCCCTACTTACAGTGGTTCAATTTAGGATGTTTCAACTTTATAATGACGCAAAAGTACTACACATTTAGTGGAAAGGGGTACGATACTCTGGTGATGGGGGGCAGCCAAGCCACAGCTCCCCATCCATTCCACAATCACCAGGGCAAACAACTGACATTCTGCAGTGTCCTGTGTTACCAGGTTATGTTGCCCAACTGTAGGACAATTTAAATGTTCTGAGCATGTTTAAGGCAGACTAGACTCAGCGATAATGTTCAGTAGGTGCATTAAATGCATTTTCCGCTTACAATATTTTCAGCTCATGATGGGTTCATTGGGATGTAACCCCCACTTTAAGGCATATTTTTATAAACCTTAGGCCATCACCTGTCCAAGGGAGGCCAACACTTACACAGCATCCTTATCTTCCTCCTTCTCATCAACCACAAGCCACAGGCCCTCTGAGATCTGGCTCTGCCCATCCCTGCGACCTCATTTCCACCCACTCCTCCTCCTGCCCATTACGCTCTGGTTCCACTTACCTTCTCTTCTGTGCCTTGAGCACACCCTGCTTGCTGTCATCCAGGGGCTTCTGTTCAAGCTAGAAAGCCCTCCCTCCAGATCTTGGCAGGAAGGATTTTCTCTCCATTCAGATCTGAAGTCAAATACTACCCTCCCAAAGATAGATTTTACAACTACCACATAACATTTTACAACTACCACATAACTGCCTCCTATTGGTCCATCTTACATGACAGCACCCTATTTCATTTTCTTCATAGCACTCATTTTCTAGAATGATCTTATTGATCTGTGTCCTGTCTCCCCCCATGGATGGTAAAGACCTGGTCTGTCATATTTCTTCCTTCTCTTCTGGCACCTGGAACAGTACCTGGCACAGAGTAGTAGTAGGTAGTCAATAAATATTTGATGGAGTGAATGATGATATACGAAGCATGTACACACAACTACTCTATGCATAGGGATTCTAGGTATAAATATTACCTATATATGAATGTAAATCAATTGGAAAGAAGACAGCAAGCCCCAAGTCAGATGGCTTTAGTTTAACCCCAGCTCTGCCCGCCCCCTGGGCTGTGTGATTATGGGTAAGATATCTAGGTTCTCCATCCTGTTTCCCTCTCTATGAATGGAATGTGATCAAGACCTCCCTGGTATCACAGGCGGTCAATGAAGTGCTCCAAGTCAAACCCTCAACATAATGCTAGATGTAACATTGGAAGCTCTTAATAACTGTAAACATGTATGTCTTTTTGAACAAAATCATTATTATATAATACACACTGTAAAATACCTCACCCCTTCTTAGCAAGCTGCCCTGATTGTTAGTAAAACCTTTTAAAATATTTTACCCTATTTAAATACATACCCTAGGATACCCAGTTTGAAAGACAAACAGTCATTAGGGCCCTGAGGTTTACCTAAGTTGAAGGTTATATCTAGTCTTACACAATTCTTTGGATAACATTTCAAATTCGGATTATAAAAATGAGGAGTAGTAAAGATCCATCCAAAATATTGTGGAAACCCACCCCTTAAGAACCACTTAGCAGAAAATATCAGTAAGCCTCAAGCTCCGGTGGTCTGACTGCCCACCCAACTCTTCTGTCCAGCAAGCTGCACAAAGTCAAAGATCCTTTATGAGCGTCTCCTCCTGTGTTTTTCTGAAACTCAAACTGTGAGCTACAGGTCAGGTTCTGGCCACTTCTCCAAGTCAGAGAAAATGCTCTAGAAGTTTAAAAGGAGAGCAAACATCCATTTTCAAAAGAACTGAAACTTCCTCCCAACCCTCAGGACCTGGGCATTCAGTTGCAGTCCTGGCATGCAGAGGAAAATGCCCTGTTGGAAACTATCAGAGAATCATCCTATGTGGAGCTTCTCATGGATACAAAAGCCAGAGCCTTACAACAGAAATACTTACACAGAGCCTCAGACAAACCTGTAATGACAGATGAATTTGTCTGTTAAGTGTTTCTCTTTACCTATTAAGTAACTTCAAGTCTTGCTTCTGAAATCATTAGGAAAATCTGCAGGAGACTGGAAAATTCCACCAGCTCATATCTGTCTAGACATACTGACTTCCCTAGAGCTGTGGTTTCTGCCCAGTGCTTATCATATAGAAGGTGAAGCATAAACATCTCACAGAATCCCTGGGCCTCAGATGAACCATGGCCCAGTAAAGTGGTACAACTTACCCAAGACAGAACCATGGCTACAAATCAGGCTTCCTGCTTCTGATTCAGTGTTTAGCAACTGAGGTTTTGTCTTTTTGGTTTTGCTTTGTTTATTTGTTTGCTTATTTTTGAGATGGAGTCTTGCTCTGTCACCCAGGCTGGAGTGCAGTGGTGAGATCTTGGCTCACTGCACCTTCCGCCTCCCAGGTTCAAACGATTCTCCTGTCTCAGCCTCCCAAGTAGCTGGGATTACAGGCATGTGCCACCATGCCCAGCTAATTTTTGTATTTTTAGTAGAGGCGGGGTTTCACCATGTTGGCCATGCTGGTCTTGAACTCCTGACCTCAGGTGATCTGCCTGCCTCAGCCTCCCAAAGTGCTAGGATTATAGGTGTGAACCACTGCACCTGGCCAGCAACTGGGTCTTGGCCCATTTATGATCCACCGGACTAGAGGATGACAGCACAGGAAACCCTGCAGTTCTCAGTCCTAAATCTGCATGTGTCTGCTAAGCCATTGTATCAGGATGACTCAGTCCCAACTCAGGTGTGAAACAGCAGCACAATGCTTATTTTCTTTAAATCCTTCTGAATGCTCTACCACTGAGCAGTTAGCCTCATAGTTACTGGGCCTTCCTTCCCCTGTCCCCCCACCCCATGATTAGGCCAAGTTCTTGGGAGATTCATGCACCACCCAAGCTTTCCAAATGCCCTTCTCATTATCAGTCCACACTGGTTTTCATCAAGATATGAGTATCTTTGACAAGGCTGGAAATCCTGATGCCTGGTGTCCAATCTCCCCAACCTGTCTGTGTCGGTCCTTCAGGATCTCTGGAGCAATGCCACAAAGCATTGCTCCTGTTCCCATTATTCATTCATCAACCTGTCAACTGTCCACTGCCTCCCAGGCTGAGGCACCCCACCTCTCCAGCACTCTCTTCTCTCATCTCTGGGATTCCCAGCATCTTCTTTTTTGTTTTATTTTACTTTTAAGTTCTGGGGTACATGTGCAGAACATGCAGATTTGTTACACAAGTATACATGTGCCATGGTGGTTTGCTGCACCCATCAACCCATCATCTACATTAGGTGTTTCTCCTAATGCTCTCCCTCCTCTAGCCCCCCACCCTCCAATAGGCTCTGGTGTATGATGTTCTCCTCCCTGTGTCCATGTGTTCTCATTTTTCATCTCCCAACTTATGAGTGAGAACATGCAGTGTTTGGTTTTCTGTTAGTGTTAGTTTGCTGAGAATGATGGTTTCCAGCTTCATCCGTGTCCCTGCAAAGGACATGAACTCATCCCTTTTTATGGCTACATAGAATTCCATGGTGTATATGTGCCACATTTTCTTTATCTAGTCTATCATTGATGGGCATTTGGGTTGGTTCCAAGTCTTTGCTGTTGTGAATAGTGCCGCAATAAACATATGTATGCATGTGTCTTTATAGTAGAATGATTTATATTCCTTTGGGTATATACCCAGTAATGGGATTGTCCCAGCATCCTCTTTTCAAGAAGCTTGGCAAATCAAGAAAAAAAAAAAAGAAGAGGCACTGACTTCAAGCAGCTTCTGCATTGTGGTCCTATAAGAATACCTCAGGCAGGAAATACTAGGGGTCTAGTTGTCTAGTTAGAATTCAAGAGAAGAATAAAATATTCAGCAAACAAAATTCAAGTGAGTATCTCAAAATATTTCTCTGCTGCACCAGTATAGGTCATGCTGCCTTCGGCTGCCTGGTACTATTATATTAAAATTTTTAAAATAATAATGGGACAGAGCTTTAGCAAGAAACCCAAGACAGCTTGACTTATAGTATTCATCCTTTGTGTATGGGTGTGAACACACATACCTAACTTTGAAACAATATTTGTGTTTATGCATATGTAAGATTTTTGAAAAATCTGTTCTCAGAGCACTTTAGGACCATTTCCCCAAGTAAGGGTAATATCGATTTACTTATAAAATACTGTAAAAATACCAGCATCAACTCCATGCTGTTACTTTAAGTCTCACTCTGCATGGGTCACTTTAGGTCTCACCACAGAGGTAGTCAGTTGTGCTGGTCAGGAATATACACCCCAGTTTCAGTCAGCTACACATTCCATAAAAAAACTCTCCATTCCAGAAGTACCTACAAACCCTTTAGTAATCCTTTTCTCATCAACATTAGACACTTTGTCAACAGTGAGTGTTCAAATCGGATTCTCTTTGGGGAAGTTAATGGTATTAAATACATGTGCAGTGGCTAAAATATTTAGACACATTCCCAACCCTTAGATAAATAGGGCTTAAGAATCTGGAACTGTGTTGTCCAAAGTGGTAGCCACTAGCCACATGTGGCTGTTGAGCAGTTGAAATGTAACAGTTACACATGTTAAAATAATATGTTGGATATACTAGTTTATAAAAATATATATTATTCACATTATATATGTTTGTAATTTTTTAAATATGGTTCATATTTTATGTTTATTGGACAGCACTCATCTTATTACTCATGGGGATGGTGCCCTGGGTTTAATCCCTAAAAGGTCCTGGATTCCACCACCAGTTCAGTGGGTTCTAGGTCCCCAAATAGTTATCTGCCATAGAGTTAAGTATATCTGGCACCAGAATAGTGTCTTCTTGTTTACCTCAGGCATCATGCAATGTCGTAGGCACTGAGGCAAACAGAACAGTGGTCAAAATAAAATATCGGCCTTTGCAGAGCTTTCAGAAGAGGTGCTTTTGTGACAAGTTACTACAAAGTGGCCATATGACAAAATGTGATCAGAAAACTTGCTTTGGTTATAGCCTGGTAGTGAAGTTGCAAAGGAGGAGCTACACCTCACTTACTTTCATGCTGTTTTTAGACCAGGGGCTCTGGCCCTGGAGCCAGTGCCTAAGGCTCTTGTCTGGACTCTTCCAGCCATGCATGCTCCTTCCCCAAGACAATAATATGTACCAGAGCCTCTGTGGGGTTCCATGCAATGCTGCTGCAAGATGTTCAGAGAGATAATAGAATCTAGGGAAACAGAAGACGTATTATCAGTACCCAAAGCATCAGACACCCCAAGCTGGTTTATAGCCAGGTGTAGACTATTGCCCTGTTGACTAATAGACACGGCTGCAGAATTGTAAATGGGCTGTATCTGTCTGCATTAAGCCTGGCTCTTCTCAGTGGGTTGGGACATGAAGGCCATACTTCAGTCTTTTCCATCATAGTAAAATAAAGGTGCAGCCAATTCCAAAGAGTTGTTTTAATATTACATATATAAGCTGGGAGATTTACAGTGATCTATAGTGATATATAAATTATATTTATAATACATACGTATATTCCGTACCCTCTGGGAGATTCTTACAGTAATGACCTCCAAGGAATTATGCCTCCTAGTACCCATGTCCTGAGTGGCCCCCTCCCACCTTAACTCTGGCTTTGGCCACGTGACTTCCTGTGGCCAATGGAGCATCAGCAAATGTGACACAAGCAGAGGCTAGATAAATGCTTGGGTGCTGCAGCTTGCCCTCTTGCAACCCCGAGACCGCCATGCAGTAAAGAAGTCAGGATTTTAGTGAAGAAAGGCCTAAATGCCTTAGCTGTCCCCAGAGCCCAGCCCCCAGCTGACCCACCAGTTGAATGCAACTACATAAGAAAGCCCAGGTAAGAGCAGGAGCAGAACTTCCAGGAATAGTGAGAAATAATACATGTTAGTGTTTGAAACCACTAGATTTGGGAGTGGTTCGTTATGCAGCAATAGCAATCTAATATCATCACCCAGTTAGGCAGAGATATGCACTCTGCCCTCAAAGGCCTATATTTTTCCCTGTATCCCGTAAGTACTGGCATAGCAAGTGATGAGGTTAGCATTAAGCATTTGTTAACAAAAATGTTGCATCTGAAAATCTAGATTTTAATATAAATCAAGGTTGATTATCTGCCTTATTTAAAGATAGTCCTCTTTTAATACTGAAAACGTAATTCTAAATGTAAAGCATTTGATTTGTAGACTAGTTTTCATGAGAACACATTTACTGAGTGAGGTAGCCATGAGCAGTCCACAGCCTATATGAACTGCTAACCAATGTATGAAGATTGTCAAATTCTAGGGTTATTTTAAATTTGGCTAGCTATGAGAAATAAAAAGGCTTATTTCCTGAAAATCTTATAAAAACCATTCAAATCGATTTAATGTTTAGTCATAAAAGAGGTGATCTACACTTTACTTAGGAAAGCAAGACCTCGATGTACAAACCTGTTAGAAAACTTTAAGGATATATACATAAATGAGGTCACAATACTTAAAGATACAGTCCCACATGCCATAATATGAATGTCAAAATCCTGAAAGATAAAAATCCCTAAGGTCTAAAATTCCAAAATCACAATCCTGAAAGATCAAAATCTCAAAAAGATAATTCTAAAATAACAATTTTTAGAAATGTTAAAACATTTATTTATATTTTTAAAAGAGGATTTAGGCCAGGTGTAGTGGCTTACGTCTGTAATACCAACACCACAAGAGGCCAAGGTGGGAGGATAACTAAAAGGCCAACAGTTCAAGGCCAGCCTGAGAACGCAGCAAGACCCCACCTCTACAAAAAATGTTTGAAAAAAATAGACAGGCATGGTGGCAAGTACACCTGTAATCCAAGTTACTCAGGAGCCTGAAGCAGGAGGATTGCTTGAGCCCAGAAGTTTGAGGTTACACTGAGCTATAATCATGCCACTGCACTCCAGCCTGGGCAACAAAGTGAGATCCTGTCTATTAATAAAAAAAAAATAAAGGCCGGGCGTGGTAGCTCACGCCTGTAATCCCAGTACTTTGGGAGGCTGAGGCGGGCGGATCACGAGGTCAGGAGATCAAGACCATTCTGGTGAACACGGTGAAACCCTGTCTCTACTAAAAATACAAAAAATTAGCCAGGCGTGGTGGTGGGTGCCTGTAGTCCCAGCTACTCAGGAAGCTGAGACAGGAGAATGGCATTAACCCAGGGGGGCGGAGATTGCAGTGAGCGGAGATCGCGCCACTGCACTCCAGCCTGGGCGACACAGCGAGACTCTGTCTTAAAAAAAAAAAAAAAAGGATTTAAGAAACATACCAAACACAACAGAACACTTCATAGACTACTTTACACAATAGTCCAGGCAATAGGCAATAATAACACACATTTTTTAAAGCATAAGCACTCAGGTACACTAACAATGTTCCCACTGGTATGATAGTTAACAGCAGATGAACCATATCATAAAGAAATAGGTCAAAAAAGAAAAATGGGTAAATTGACAACTATGGTTGGTAATTATGCACACCTATCTTTATAACCACAGTCATCTGAAATATTGTGACAGACATCCTAATTCTTTTGAGGAGATCGATCAATAATCACAATGGGTCACCACTGCATTTGTAGAAGCCTAAAGAGCTGAGATCGAGAAATTTTATCTTTCACAAATGTAGATGTACAAAAAGGACATGTATTTACTGAAGAAGTCTCAATGTTTTTATGTACATGCACAAAGCTTACATACAAAGTCAATGTTGTGATAATGCACTTTTGTGGAATCAAATTTGCAAAAAAAAAAGTATAAAACAAATCAGAATGCTCTAAAAGTCTTTACATAATTTATATCTCCAGCACTGGAAATGGTGCAAAGATGAAATACATGGCATAGCAAATTGGCACTATATGTGAAGGGGCAGAAGTCATACATGATTAATCTGGCAGGGGAGATTTCGTTTCTCTTTTGCCTGCATTTTCACTCCCATGATCTTCAAAACACTTATTACACTTGTATTTAAAGAGTGGTTGTGGCTGGGTGTGGTGGCTCACACCTGTAATCCCAGCACTTTGGGAGGCCGAGGCAGGCAGATCAAGAGGTCAGGAGTTCAAGACCAGCCTGGCCAATATGGTGAAACCCCATCTCTACTAAAAATACAAAAATTAGCCAGGCATGGTGGCACACGCCTGTAGTCTCAGCTACTCAGGAGGCTGAAGCAGAAGAATTGCTTGAACCTGGGAGGTGGAGGTTACAGTGAGCCAAAATTGTGCCACTGCACTCCAGCCTAGGCGACAGAACAAGACTCTGTCCAAAAAAAAAAAAAAAGAGAGTGGTTGTGATCGGCAAATTTTGTAAGTATATGCTGTCCATTTGAAAGTCTGGTTTTTGGCCAGGCTCGGTGGCTCATGCCTGTAATCCCAGCACTTCGGGAGGCCGAGGCGGGTGGATTACCTGAGGTCAGGAGTTCGAGACAAGCCTGGCTAACCTGGTGAAACACCGTCTCTACTAAAAATACAAAAATTAGCCAGGCGTGGTGGTGGGTGCCCGTAGTCCCAGTTACTCAGGAGGCTGAGGCAGGAGAATCACTTGAACCCAGAAGGCGGAGGTTGCAGTAAGCCGAGATCACGCCACTGCACTCCAGCCTGGGTGACAGAGTAAGACTCAGTCTCGAGAAAAAAAAAAAAATCTGGTTTTTGCTTGGCCATTGCAATTAAGTGATTTTCTGCTTTTGCAGTGTCAATAATAATTAGTTTTTAAACTTTTGTCTTTTACCATTAAATAGCCTTGCACACTTATCACAGTCTTTTTGTGAGGGAACAATTTCACAGATCTTTTCCATTGTGTTGTAAGGAATGCACTAAGAAGAAATTATATTTAGCTTCCCCAGTACCAACTCTGTATTAATCAGGGTTCTCCAGAGAGATAGAACCAATAAGTTATGTATATAGATATATGAGAGGAAATTTGTTAGGGAACCTAACTCACACTATTTTGGTGGCTGAAGTCCCAAGACAGGACATCTGGAGACCCTGGGGTGCTAATAGTGTGGCTCAGTCCAAGTCCAAAGGCCTCAGAGCCAGTGAAGCTGATGGTATAACTCTCAGTACAAGACTAAAATTCTTAAAATCCAGGAGGCCACTAGTGTTAAGTCCTGTAGGACTGATGACCAAAGGGAGCAGAAGAAAAGTCTGTCCCTGCTCTCAGAGAAAGGCCAATTTGCCTCCTGTATTTGTTATCTTTAGGCCCCTGGCTGATTGGGTGGTACTCACCAACACTGAGGGCTGATATTCCGTATATTGTCCACCCAGACTAACACACTCATCTCTTCCTGGAAACATTCTCACAGACACACCCAAAATAATGCTTTACCAGGTTTCTAGGTATTCCTTAATCCAGTCAAGTTAACACCTAAAATCAAGTTCATAATTCTACCCTTTGTCAACTTGGCATTCATATGCACCTCCTTAAAACATGTTTACTTTCCAAATAAAGACAATAGCAAGGTAATAGTTTCATCTAACATGATGCAACTAACATTACCTCCCACTAGGTCCCTCCCACAACACATGGGAATTCAAGATAAGATTTGGGTGAGGACACAGCCAAATCATCATTCCACCCCTGGCCCCTCCCAAATCTCATGTCTTCACATTTCAAAACCAATCATGCCTTCCCAACAGTCCCCCAAAATCTTAATTCATTTTAGCATTAACTCAAAAGTCCATAGTCTGAAGTTTCATCTAAGGCAAGTCCCTTCTGCCTATGAGCCTGTAAAATCAAAAACAAGCTAGCTACTTTCTAGATTCAATGGGGGTACAGGCATGGGGTAAATACAGCCATTCCAAATGGGACAAATTATCCAAAACAAAGGGGCTACAGGCTCCATGCAAGTCCAAAATCCAGTGGGGTAGTCAAATCTTAAAGTTCCAAAATGATCTCCTTTGACTCCATGTCTCACACCCAGGTCACATTGATGCAAGAGGTGGGTCCCCATGGTCTTAGGCAGCTCCACCCCTATGGCTTTGCAGGGTACAGCCTCCCTCCCAGCTGCTTTCATGGGTTTGCGTTAAATGTCTGTAGCTTTTCCAGGTGCATAGTGCAAGTTGTCAGTGGATCTACCATTCTGGGATCTGGAGGGTGGTGGCCCTCTTCTCACAGCTCTACTAGGTGGTGCCCCAGTAGGGACTCTGTGTGGAGGCTCCGACCCCAGATTTCCCTTCTGCACTGTCCCAGCAGAGGTTCTCCATGAGAACCCATCCCTGCAGCAAACTTTTCCCTGGACATCCAAGCATTTCCATATATCCTCTGAAATCTAGGTGGAGATTCCCAAACCTCAGTTCTTGACTTCTGTGCACCCACAGACTCAACACCATGTGGAAGCTGCCAAGGCTTGGGCTTGTATCCTCTGAAGCCATAGCTCGAGCTGTACTTTGTCTCCTTTTAGTCACAGCTGAAGTGGCTGAGAGGCAGGGCACCAAGTCCCTAGACTGCACACAGCACAGGGACCCTGGGCCCAGCCCACAAAACCAATTTTTTCCTCCTAGACCTCCAGGCCTGTGATGGGAGGATCTGCCATGAAGACATCTGACATGCCCTGGAGACATTTTCCCAATTGTCTTGGGGATTAACATTCAGTTCCTCATTACTTATGCAAATTTCTGCAGCTGGCTTGAATTTCTCCTCAGAAAATGGGATTTTCTTTTCTATTGCATTGTCAGGCTGCAAACTTTCTGAACTTTTATGTTCTGCTTCCCTTATAAAACTGAATGCCTGGCTGCTCTATGGAGCAGCCATTCTCTTATTCCTTTACATTCTTAATAAACTTGCTTTCACTTTGCACTGCATACTTACCTTGAATTCTTTCTTGCATGAGATCCAAGAACCCTCTCTTGGGGTCTGGATTGGGACCCCTGTCCTGTAACATATTTCTGGTGACCACAGAAGGGACTATAGTGCAGAAACCCTGACCCAACGGCTACCTTTGGGTAAGTATTGAGGTCCTGTAACATATTTCTGGAAGACTACAGAAGGGACAATACTGAAGAGACCCGCGACCCAAAGGAAAATCACCTGCACACCCCAATTGGCTGACTGGGTAAGTGGGGTGTCTATACCCGAGTAAAGAATGGGATTGGGTTAGAGGCCCAACTTAGGAGAATTAGAGTCTTTCTTAAGACAGAGTGGGTTAGAGGCCCCTCTTAATAAAAGGCAAGGACGCTTGACCAAACTTCAGTTAGAGGCCTGACTTAGGAGGGTTAGAGTCCCTTCTAAGATTTAGGGGGTTAGAAGCCCCTCTGGGTAAATTCACTTTAAGAACAGGTTTGGCACTACAGAGTGTTAACTGCTATTCTCTTTGGATTAATCTGCCTTGTACTCTTTGCTGATGGCTGTGGGAGACAGGGTTAGGCATATATACCATCATGGGACATAGGAGCTTTTTCCTTCCTAAAAAGGGAAACTTGAGAGCTGACTGGACTGCTGGAAAAAATCCCTTCAGGACAGCAGCCACAGCTGCCTGAACTTTTCAGTGTTGCTGCAATGGGTGAGTCTTTCTCTGGCCTCCCTGATCATGTCGCCTTCCCCACCCTGCCACAAGCAATGCTTTCCTTCTCTACTTTTCCTTTATCCTTCTTATCTTTTCTATTACTCAGGGCGATCATCTTGCCCAGAGACCTCCATCCAAGTCGGAGGATGGATTAAAGACAATGGGGCCCATCTGGGGGCAAATTTAAGCCTTGCCAGTTTGATATTGGGTGCTAAACAGAGTGGCTAATGTCTACGTTTTATCACACGTATTTCGCTCTAGCCAGAACGAAAAAAATAATAATAATTTTCCTTTATGATGTGGCTTGGCTCCAAGGGCGATGGTGCCGCAATCCAGATCACTAGGACTACTCAGGGAAAGGGAACCCAGAAGCCTGGTATGCTGGCAAAAGGGTGATAATTTCTTACAGTCAGATCTCTGGCTTCTCTCTCTGTGCAAATGGTTGAATGAATGGTAAATAAATACATAAATCAGTGTTTATCTCCTCTGTAAAGTGTTAATGTGAACAAGAATTCTAAGGCTAATCTTAAGCTGGTTTATTTTGTGCTATGAATTCATTTTTCCACGTCGAGGGGTACTTCAGGATAAAACATGGCTTAGAACACCTGTAAGCCTGCTTTTCAAGATGACGCAGGAAGCTGGTTAGTAACAAACTTGGCTGCAAGTCCCTGAAACAAACAAAAAACTGGATGAAATCTCCATCTTGTTTTATGTCCTTGAGAGCCTGACCTTTTAACTACGTGGTGGTACTTTTTGGTCTCTGACTTCAGGGAACAGGAATGTTGGGGTTCATGTTATGGTTAGCTCTAAAAATCATATTAAGTAGTTAAAAGCCTTTGCAAACTCAAAGTTAACTACTCTAGACTTCTTCTGGGAAAGAAAATGGAGATGGCCCCATTCTGTAGCTCAGTAGTCAGGGTTTTTCCACTTTCACAGTGACAGTCCAGGTTCAATTCTCCACCTAGGAAGTAAGTCATTTCTGGTTTGATATCTTTGTGACACTCTCTATTCTCTTCTCCATGGACTGTCTTAAATCTTCTTTTCTCTAAGCACTTAGGAGGTTACCTTTGGTAACGTTCAGAAGCTAGAAATATTGGCTGCTTGGCATGGCTAAAGTCAGGTAATAAGAGATCTGAGGCCGGGCACAGTGGCTGACGCCTGTAATCCCAGCACTTTGGGAGGCCAAGGCAGGTGGATCACCTGAGGTCAGGAGTTTGAGACCAGCCTGGCCAACATGGCGAAACCCCATCTCTACTAAAAATACAAAAATTAGCTGGGCGTGGTGGTGCGTGCCTGTAGGCCCAGCCACTCAACAGGCTGAGACAGGAGAATAGCTTGAACACGAGAGGTAGAGGTTGCAGTGAGCCAAGATTGTGCCACTGCGCTCCAGCCTAGGCCACAGAGCAAGACTTTGTTTCAGGGAAAAAAAAAAAAAAAAAAAAAAGAAAGGAAAAAAAAGAGATCTGCAAGTATTTCTTTTTTAAAGAGCACTGTGGTTAGAAGTCAGCTTAATTAAAAGTGGATAAACAAGCTATAAATATATTTAAAAGGCCTGTATGTTTTTCTCTTCTTGGAACTTGTTTTTCTGGAAAAAGGCTTTTTCTTCTCAGTCGACTGTATTATTTTTCTCCTTTTTTTTTTGTCTTGCCACTCTTAGTGCACACATGAGAGGCCCTAACGTAATGTCTAGTAGCCTGGGACTCTTTGGGAAAAACAGAGGAGGTGACACAGATCCCGTTATGGGAAGAAAAAAAAACAAAAAAACTGTTTTCCTCATGAAACCCCAGGAATTAAAAGCAAATAGATCCCTCTCAAAGTCTCTGTTCTGTTTTGTATTGTGTTATCTAACAGTTTTAAGGGTATCAAAAATCATTTCACATTATGAGAGAGCTTTGGTGTGTAATAACTAGGTAGGAAACATACTTTAAGGGATGGCTAATAGTACTTATGGAGGGATACTTGGTTCTTTGCACACTTGCATCAGAGAAGCATGCTCTTGGCCACCTGGAAGTTTAGGAAACATCCCCACCCCCAATTGGCAGATGAGACTCCATGAGGGATGGGCTGATTACCAAATGGGCTGATTGGCTGATTTCCCTTATAATGAAATGCAGAGTAGAAGCACTACACTGTCTTCTCCCGTAGTATTTCCCTCCTTTTGGGAATCCAGGAACCAGTATAAAATGGCACCCTTAATTTTGGGGATCTGTCTTTGCCTTCAGCTGCTTATTTGCTGTTTATTGGACCCTAAAAACGCATGCTTTCCTGGCCCTGTTTCTCCAATGGCTCCACCCTGAAGCCAGTAATCCAAGAAGCTGGCAAATGAAAAACCCTACAAGTGCTGAATCTTCTGTGTATTTATATGTGTTTTATGTTTATATATAAAAGAGCTCTAATTGGCTTAGAAAAATAAATGCTTAAATCAAATATTTTGTCAGAAAAATAGAAACTAATGCCTTTTTGTTCACGTAACTTTAGTAATCTTTTGGAAATAAAAAGTTTTAAAGATTATTGGTAAAATAAAATGCCTTGAAAATGTAGACATTTGGTTGAAATTAATGTCAGATATCAGATTTGCTAAATGCTTTAAGGTCAAACTGTTTCTTTGACTTTTGAAAATTGTTCAATTTATCTACCTTAAAGCCATTAGATTCTTGATAAGCCTGGGGACATGTAGAGTTAGCCACGCCCCCTAGCTATGCTGGAGAGTCCCTCGTTATCTGCACTTCTGCCTGGTGTGTCCTAAACTAGGCGTCACACCTAGTGCATAATTAAAATCCCTTACTTACCAAGGTTTTCACCAAAAATAAAAGTTGCTAAGAGTTAACATTATAATACATAATTTAAACTACTAAAGAAATGATTTCACATGCAAGGTGTGTAAAAAAGTAAAATGTGTTTTCGGTGAAAGATTATAAGTCATTGGAATGTGGATTTTTTTCTGCCTAAAGTGTTAAAGGATTGTTTTAAATAAGAAAAAAATCTAAAAGTTTAAACAAGTTGTGGAAGGTTTATAAAAATTAATTGTAAGAGATTCTGTGTGTGAACATATTGGCTAAAGTTAAGGGGTATTATTCAGTTTTTCCATAAATTAAACATTGGAATAGAAGCACAACAGGTTTTTCTTAGAGCACTAATCTGCTCTTTCACACACACAAAGAAAAAATGTAAAGGGTTATAAAAGGCTTATAAGAATCTTACCTTGTGGTTAAACATTAAAATTGGGTAAATGTGTCTATAATATTTTATTAGAAATTCAGTTTAACATTGATAGCACATTAATGTAAATGTGAAATTTGGCTTATTTGGTATAAAATTTATACAGAGAACCTTATCAAACGTGAAATAGTGCTTTGCTTTCTTTGGACTATATTTGCATAAATGTGTTATTGGTTTATGTTCCAAAGTTATGAGAAACTCCTCTAATTCTAATATGACTTAGTGTATGTTATTAATAATTATAATTGTTATGTAAAATTTTGTGTGCCACAGAAATAACCAAACTTCCTTATCAACTGCAGCTTTAATAGTGGCTGTCCTAAAACTTTTTATTTTCTACAGACAATTGTTGTCTTGTTTTAATCCTCTTTAGAAGGTGGTTTATAATCAACTATAGAACTCTAGCAGGTGTTCTTAAACACAGGTTTCTAATAATTTTGGAAGTTATAACATTAGAACAGAGGAAACAACTTTCAGAACTCTCATAAGAGCTGGAATGTTCATGAATATTAACTAGAATAGGAGTCAACTGAATTAACTGAACCAATAGAATACTGAAGTAATCTTTTTAACTTTGCTTAAAACACTGCTAATTCTTTGTTTTGTTTTTCAGAGTCAAAGAAACTTTTGAGTGATTCGCAGCTTGTAGCAATTGAGTAAAGTATACTGCTGTGAACAAAATTTGGAACATATTTGTTTCTACCTGATTTCTCCAGAATTTGGAAACTACTTGCGAGTATTCTTAACTTATGGCAATATAGTTATTTGCATAGGTGCAATAAGAATCTGTTTTCTTTTGTAACAGGACACAATTAGAGAAATTGGTTATTTTACCAAGGCTTTGACTGGAATGGTGTGCTTTCTTTTAAGGAATCAAACTTGACTTGTAGAGCCAATAAAAGCCCTTTGGGGAACAGGCCTCATACCTTGCCTACAGTCCCTGTACTTACCTATGGTAAGTAAAGAATGTCACTTTCTCACAGGTCCAGGAGCCCCAAGTTATCTTGGGACCTCAAAAGGAGAGGAATTTACCCAATTCATAGGTATTTGAGGGTACAAACCCATGGCAGGGCTTGGCTTTAAAAAAAATCTTATCTAAGATTCCTTCTGTGGAACAGAGTTCCATCGAAGCCAATTTTAAAAAAGCCTATGTGAAAAATAGTTATTCTTGCTGCACTTTATACAAATAATCAGACCAAGTGTACTAAAGCAAATCAGTCTTACCATGATTTATCTTTAGTAAAAATGGGAAACTGGAGAGAGAAATATTGTTTCAAAAACTATGGTATACTTGTTATTAAATTCTAGTCTCATTAGTTGTTTTTAAGTTTGTTTCTGCAATTTAGGCTAACCCCACTTATTCCTGTGAACCATCCAGTAATCTCTGACTGCTGCTCATAAGAAATGAGAGGGATGGGTAATGTAAAAATCTCAATCTGTATTTTAATTCCGGGCACATTACAATCAGCTAACAACCCCATATCAGCTTAGTTCCAACAGTTGCCAAGTTCATGGAAAGCCTTCTGATTTAGTTTACTTGAAATACCTTTATTTATTTTGCTTTACTCTTGTGGAATATAATGCTGTTATATTCTTTGTGTAGTAATACAGGACAAGCTTACTGAATGTTTTCTTAAATGGTACACTTATTAGTCTTCCAGATATCACCTTCTTTTGAAACTCAAGAGGTATAAATAGATCTTACCATACTGATGCTTTCTGACTGAGCTCCTTCCTACCCTAAATACATGAGACCCTCATAGTTAGGCAGGAATATCATTGCCCCTATTCAGCCTGAAGAAGTTACAGAAGATGGATCTTCAACCCTCTGCAACCCTTAGGATTAAGAGTTCTCTTATAAAAGGGAGGGGGGAAATGTCAGAGGCCTGTGAAACAGAGCAACTCCATCTTAAACAGGAGCTGGGTAAAATGAGGCTGAAACCTACTAGGCTGCATTTCCAGACGTTTAAGGCATTCTAAGTCACAGGATGAGATAGGAGGTCAGCACAAAATACAGGTCATAAAGACCTTGCTGATAAAACAGTTTTCAGTAAAGGAGCTGGCCAAAACCAAAATGGCCGCAAGAGTTACCTCTGATCATTCTCACTGCTACACTCCCACCAGCACCATGACAGTTTACAAATGCCATGGCAACATTGGGAAGTTACCCTATATGGTCTAAAAAGGGGAGGCATGAATAATCCACCCTTGTTTAGCGTATCAAGAAATAACCATAAAAATGGACAAGCAGCAGCCCTCTGGGCTTCTCTGTCTATGGAGTAGCCTTTCATTTATTTACTGTCTTAATAAACTTGCTTTCACTTTGAATAAAAAATAAATCGTAAAAATAAAACTGAATGCCTTTAACAGCATCCAAGTCACCTTCTGAATGCTTTGCTGCTTAGAAATTTCTCCACCAGATACCCTAAATCATCTCAAGTTCAAAGCTCTGCAAATCTCCTGGACAGGGGCAAAATGCAGCCCATCTCTTTGCTAAAACATAACAAGACTCACCTTTGCTCCAGTTCCCAACAAGTTCCTCATCTCCATCTGAGTCCACCTCAGCCTGGCCCTTATTGTTCATATCACTATCATGATTTTTGTCAAAGTCATTGAACAAGTATCTAGGAAGTTCCAAACTTTCCCACATTTTCCTGTCTTCTTCTGAGCCCTCCAAACTGTTCCAGCCTCTGCCTGTTACCCATTTCCAACGTTGATTCCACATTTTTGGGTATCTTTCCATCAATACCTAACTCTCAGTACCAATTTACTATATTAGTCCATTTTCACACTGCTGATAAAGACCTACCCGAGACTGAGCAATTTACTAAAAAAAGAGGTTTAATGGAGAACTCACAGTTCCATGTGGCTAGGAAAGCCTCATAATCATGGTGGAAGGCAAGAAGGAGCAAGTCACATCTTACATGAATGGTGGCAGGCAAAAAGAGAGAGTGTATTCAGGGAAACTCCCCCTTATAAAACTGTCAGATCTGACACTTATTCGCTATCCCAAGAACAGCATAGGAAAGTCCTGCCCCCATGATTCAATTACCTCCTACCAGGTCACTCCCACAGGAGGTGGGAATTCAAGATGAGATTTCGGTGGGGACACAGCCAAACCATATACGCCTTATCTCAACGCAGGACAATTTATGATGAGATTTATGATTCAGGCTTCCCCCTCCCCCAAAATTAAATAAAAAATAAACTTGATCTGAAAATATATCTTTGATTATCTCCCACTTCCCTTCCTCTCTTATATGTTTTTTTTTATAAGACACACCAACAGAATCTGTTCCTCAAATTCAGTTTCCAAGGAATCTGACCTGAGGGAGTTGGTATCAGCAGTGGCCCCAGGAAGCATACCTAGGGGTAGAATTCTGAAGTTGTATCACCCGTCATTTGGCCGGACCCCATCACAGGTGGTAGAGTATTGATAGTCCCTGTCATTATAGTTATATATTAAAACTTTTACAAAGGGAATGATGTCAGCAAGATGGTAGACTAGAAAGCTACAGGCTCTCCTTCTCCTACAAACATATAAGTTAACAACAATTTATGTATCAGAATACTCCTCTGAGAACTCTAGAGACCAGTTGAGAAGCTACAGTACCCAGGCCAATAAAGAATTTAAAACCAAGAGCAGTTTCCAGCAATAGGGGTAAGAAAATTCCCAACACCCATCCATGCCCCTCTTCTTATGCAATAATAGTGTGTGCAACTGGGAAGAAGCTTTCCATACTAGGGCTCTTACCTTGGGACAGAAAAGAATGGACTGTATATCTAACATAGCTTGTCTGGAAGCTGCTGGATAAACTGATTTCTGCCTAGCCTAACTCAGACCACTTAGGAACAGCAGAGTTTGGATATCACTGAAATTAGGTGAGCAGCACTACACAGTAGAGTTGAAGCTCTATAGACATACACCAGGGTGAATAAGATATCAGAAAATCTTTGAGAGTTACTCTGGAACCTTCAGTAGGGTTGATCAGTAAAGGTTGTTCCCTGCATGAAATTAGCACACAAAGACATGAATAGGAGGTTGTTTTTTCAGTGCCCATACCCTAGCAAAAGATTACAAGGTATAAAAAGAAACAGGGAAACATGGCCCAAAGGATCAAAACAAAACTCCAGAAAACAACTCCAAAGAAATGAAGTTCTATGAGCTTCCTGACAGGGCATTTAAAGTAACTGTCATAAAAGATCCTCAATAAGCTAAAAGTGAACACAGACAACTAAACAAAAATAAGAAAAACTATGCAAAATAAAATATCAGCAGAAAGATATAAACTCAAAAATACAACAGAAATGCTGGAGCTGAAAAATAGAATAACTAAACTAAAAAATTCACTAGAAGGATTTAACAGTAGACTTGGTTAGGCTGAATAAAGAATCAGTGAACGTGAATGCGGCAATTTGAAATAAAATCACAGGAATAAAACAAAAAAAAATGAAGCAAAGTAAAGAGAGCCTAAGGGACTCTTAAGCAGACCAACATGTGCATTATGGAAATATCAGAAGGAGAAGTGGGAAACAGAGAGCTTATTTGAAGGATTAATGGCCTAAAACATCTAAATCTAATGAAAGAAATGGAAATAAAATTTAAAAAGCTCAGTGAACTCCAACTAGGATAAATCCAAAGAGAACACCAAGACACATTATAAAACTATCTAAAGTGAAAGACAGAATCTTGAAAGCAGCAAGAGAAAAGCACCTCATATACAAGGGAGTTACCACAAGATATCAGTGGATTTCTCAGAAGAAATTTGCAGGCCAGAAGGAGTGGAATAATATAATTAAAGTGCTGAAAGAAAAACAGCTGTCAATGAAGAATACTGTATCCAGCAAAACTCTCCTTCAAAAATAAAGGAGAAATTAAGACCTCAGATAAACAAAAGCTGAGGGAGTGCATTATCACTAGACCTGCTCTACAAAAAATGCTAAAGGAAGTCTTTCTAGTTGAAATGAAACACATTAGATAGCAACATGAAGCCAAATGAAAATGTAAGGTTCTCTGATAAAGGTAAATACATGGAGAAATATAGTAACCTCAGAAATACTAGAAATGAAATTCAACTGCATATTAAAAGGATTACACATCATTACCATGTGAATTTATGGAATGCAGGAGTGTTTCAAAATATGGAAATTAATGGGCCCAGGTGTGGGGGCTCACACTTGTAATCCTAGCACTTTGGGAGGCCAAGATGGGAAGACTGCTTGATCCCAGCAGGTTGAGGCTGCAGTGAGCCATGATTGTACCATTGCACTCCCACCTGGGTGACAGAGCCAGATCCTGCTGCAAAAAAAGAAAAAGAAAGAAAGAAAATCAATGTAACATTAACAGAATGAAGGAAAAATATATATAATCACATCAATTGATGCAGAAAAATAATTTGGCAAGATTCAATACCCTTTCAAGATATAAAAGCCAAAAACGAAAACATTCACCAAACTAAGACTAAAAGGAAACTATCTCAACATTTAAAGGGCCACTTATGAAAAGACCACAGCTAACATCATATTCACTAGTAAAAGATCAGAAGCAAGAAAAGGATGTCCATTCTTAATTAGAAAATTAAGAAAAGTTTAATTATAATAGTATTTGATACAGTTTGGCTCTGTGTCCCCACCCAAATCTCATCTTGAATTGTAATAAGCCTCAAGTGTCATGGGAGGACCTGGTGGGAGGTAAGAGAATCATGGGGGCAGGTTTTCCTGTGCTGTTCTCCTGATAGTGAGTAAGTCTCACAAGATCTGATGGTTTTACAAAAAGGAGTTCCCCTGCACATGCTTTCTTGCCAGCTGCCATGTAAGACATGACTTTGCTCCTCATGAGCCTTCTGCCATGATTGTGAGGCCTCCCCAGCCATGTGGAACTGTGAGTCCATTAAACCTATTTTTCTTTATAAATTACCCAGTCTCGGGTATGTCTTTATTAGCAGTGTGAGAATAGACTAATACAGCATCAAAGATAATAAAATACTTGGAAATAAACCTAACCAAAGAGAGAAAAGACTTGTACAGTGAAAGCTGTAAAACATTGCTGACAGAAATTAAAGACACATAAAGAGACATCTGTGCTCATGGGTTGGAAGACTTACTGTTGTCAAAGTGTCCATATTACCCAAAGAGATCTAAAGATTCAACACAATCCTTATCAAAATCCCAATAGCACATTTTTTCCAGAAATAGAAAAATTCAGCCTAAAAGCCATAGGAAATCTCAAGGGATACCAAATAGCCAAACAATTTTGGGAAAAAAAAAAAAACCACACAGCTGGAGGACTTAAACTTCCAGATTTCAAAACATATTACAAAAGCCACAGTAATCGAAGCAGTGTAGTGCTAACAAAGGCAGACAAATATCAAGGGAATAGAATGGAGAGTCCAGAAATAAGCCTCATGTATATGGGCAAATGATCTTCAACAAGGGTGACAACATCACTCAATAGGGAAAGGCCAGCCTCTTCAACAAATGGTGCTGGGAAAATTGGATATCTGCATGCAAAAGAATGAAGCTGGACCGTTATCTTACACCAAAAACAAAAATTAACACAAAATGGATTAAAGACTTACATATAAGACTCAAAACTATAAGACTTCCTGAAGAAAACATAGGGGAAAAGCTTCATGACATTGGACTTGGCAATAATTTCTTGGGTATAACATAATAAAACACAAGTAAAAAAAGACAAACAAAAAAACAAAACTACATCCAATCTTTAAAAGTTTTGTACAAAGGACACAATAGAGTGAAAAGGCAACTTACAGATGGAGGAAAATATTGGCAAAACATATATATTATAAGGGATTAATATCTAGGATATATAAAGAAATCCTACAACTTAACAACAACAAATCAGAAAATCTAATTTTAAAATTCTTAGACCCAGTGCAGTAGCTCATTCCTGTAATCCCAGCATTTTGGGAGGCCAAGGCAGCAGGATCACTTGAGCTCCGGAGTTTAAGACCAGGCTGAGCAACATGGCAAAACCCCATCTCTACAAAAAAAAAAAAAATACAAAAATTAGCCAGGCATAGTGGCACACACCTGTAATCCCAGCTACTTGGAAGGCTGAAGTGGGAGGGTCACTTGAGCCTGGGAGGTTGAGGCTGCAGTGAGCCACGATTGTGCCACTGCACTCCATCCTGGGCAATAGAGTGAGACCCTGAATTAAAAAGAAAAATTAAATGGGCAGAGCATGTGAATAGACAAAGATAAAAAATGGCCAACAAGCATGTGACAAGATGTCCAACAGCACTATTCAGAGAAATGCAAATCAAAACCACGATGAGGTATCCCCTCATACCATTAGGATGTCTACTATCAAACAAACAAACAAACAAAAAACCAGCAACAAGTGTTGATAAAGATGTAGAGAATTTGGGACCCTTTTGGATGGTTAGTGGGATTGCAAAATGGTGCAATTGCCATGGGAAACAATATGGAGGTTCCTTGAAAAACTAAAAATAGAATTTCCATATAATCCAGCAATCCCACTTATGGGTATATATCCAAAAGAATTGAAAGCAGACTCTCAAAGAGGTATTTGCACATCCATGTTCATAGTACAACATTCACAATAGCCAAGAGGTGGAAGCAACTCGAATGTCCATCAACATATAAAGGGAGACAAGACAGGGAACACACATGCAATACTATTCAACCTTAAAAAGGAAGAAACTCCTTTAATATGCTCTACAGATGAACCTTGAGGATATTATCTTAAATAAGCCAGCCACAATAAGACAAATGTTCCATGAAACTACTTATATGAGTAATTTAAAGTAGTCAGAATCTTAGAAACAGAAAGTGAAATGGTGGTTACCAAGGGCTAGGGGGAAAGGGAAATTGTTTAATGGATGTAGAGTTTTAGGTTTGCAAGATAAAAAATGTTTTGGAGATCTGTTTTACAACAATGTGAATATAGTTAACACTACTAAACTGTACACCTAAAAATGCTTACAATGGTAATTTTTAAAAATAGGCCCTGAAGTATTTGTCAAAACCCATAGAATGGTATAACATGAGTAAACCTCAGTGTAAATTATGAGCTATAGTCAATAACAATATTAGTTCAATAACTGCAACAAAATTTACCATACTAATGTAAAATGTTAATAATAGAAGAAATTGTCGGGGAGGGGGAGGACACGGGTGGAATGAATATATGGAACTCAATGTACTATTTGCTCAATTATGCTTTAACTCTAAAACTGTACAAAAAAATATATTAATAACAAAACCAAAAAAAAAGTCACCTGTGGCTAACTGGCAAGGGTGGAAATATAGGTTGAGTAGATGCACTGGCTTATGGAATAATTCAAGTGTGAGATAAACATGGGAGGGAATAGAGTTATAAGCATGTGTGGAATTGGTAGCTGTTGCAGATGCTTTAAAGAGAAAATGATAGGTTCTCAGTAATTAGTCACCAAAGAGTAAACATCAGAGAGCCTCCTTACATCCCTGCTGTGTTTAAAGAAACTCTCATCTCTTACAGCCAGAGGACTGATCAAACTAAGACCAAGGTCAGGAATTAATTTTATGACTATCGAAATTTTAGCAGGATGAATTATCAGCCCTAGCAGGTTTTCTACACTACATTCAGGTCCCTGATAGACAGAGAATGGAATTCTGACACTTGGGGTGGGGATATCTGAGTAGATACACTTGAAAACATTGAATACACAAATTTCACTGAAACTTTTGAGTCTGTAAAAGTTTCCCCTTATTAGAAGAAAACAGCTAACCCTCACTCGAAGACAATGCAGAATCTTCAATGGAGGCAGGTACCTTATAGGACAATGCTTGTCCGCCTCAGAATCTGTTCCCACATCTCATTTGAACCAAGAACTAGGGTCAAAACTCAGCATGGCCCCGACTACAGAAGTTTAGATCTACTAAGGGATGAGAGGGTTGAACATTGAAGAAGCTGCAGGAGCTGGCAAAGGTGTACAAACAGAAAAGGGGAGAATTTGTCTGGACATGGATCTTCAGGGTACTAATTCAAAGGGAGAATATAAAGCTGGATAAGGGAGAGTTATCAATATGGGCCACTCTTCCATGACACCAGATTTACTACCCTGATAAGCCTCCAGAGGCTTTTCCTAATCCACTGTTGGAATGGCTCTTGGAAGCCTAGAAAATTTGATGGCCCAGAGTAAATGAAGAAGAGATACCAGAACAACCGTGGCAGACTGTAGAGGAAGGATTAAAAGGCTCAGAGAAGTAGGCATTTTATAATAGATTTATTATAATCCATCATACCAGAAAACCCACTAGCTGACTGCTTCTTGGAAGAGCCCAGAGATCATTCTGGTTATCAAGACAATATAATATGAAGTGTACTGGTGAGTGGGTATTATTGGTATCATTGAGAAGCTTAGTAGTTGCTCTCTTCTAAGGTAGAGGATGCAGTTTCAGAACTGGGTTTATTACTAGATATGGGGATCATAAACCCCCAAAATAGCAGAGGCCTGGTATCAGCACTGAATGATGGGCAGCAAAGTCAGAATGGTAGCCAAGGTTGACTGACCTACAGTAATCTAGAAAACACATTACTAGAGGCAAAATATATAGACAGCAAAGGGAATATTGCTTAATAGAATTAAGAGACTAAGAATGTGTAAGCAGAAAGTTGAGATCACTGCCCCAATAGAAAGCCATGATTCTTTGCCCAATCCCCAAATCTGAGTAAGCTCTCAGATCCAGAATTCACTGAGAAGACAGACAAATCTGGGACAATTTGAGCATCAAGAAAATGATAGTAGAGGACTATAACATTAAGTAAAAATCCATGGGGCCTACACTGATATAAATAAAGAAGGAAAATCTATTTCTTGCAGTAGAAAGCCAACAAATAAATGTAGAAGGAATAATGAAATTAACATTAACCATTTAATAATTATCTTGATTCAGCCAAAAATCATTAATGACTGCTAAAATAGTGAAAGTTTGATGAGAAATAGAGTAACATTCACATAATCCCAACTGTCACCTCCACAAGATACCTATTAATTACAGAACATAAAATAGGAACTTTACAGTGCAGAAACCTGACAGGAACCACCTTAGCCAAATTATCAAATTTAACATTGCCAGTAATGAAACTAATCTATAGCAGGTGCCTCTTGCTATGATGCACCGAGAAGGACACAACATCACTTCAGTGATAATTCTGCCAAAAATGCACTACCTGAATCTGATTATGAGACAAATAAACCCAAAATGAAGGACACTGTACAAAATAATTAGTCTGTACTCTTCAAAAATATCTATTTCATGAAATACAAAGACTCAGGAACTATTGTCTATTAAAGGAACTCAAAGAGACATGACAACTAACTGCAATGCATAATCTTGAATATTCTTTTGCTATAGAGAATGTTATTGGAAACATTGGAAAAATCTAAATAAGGTCTGTAGTTCAGATAATGGTATTTTATCAATGATAATTCCCTGATTTGATTATCACAATCTCCCTTTATCCAGTTTTACTTTCTTCAGTTTCAGTTACCCAAGGTCAATTGCAGTCGGAAAATAGGTGAGTACAGTACAATCAGTCATTTTGGAAGAGAAAGAGACCACATTCACATAACTTTTATTTCAATACATTGTTATAATTGTTCTATTTTATTATTAGCTATTGTTCATCTTTTACTGTGCCCATTTTGTAAATTAAACTTTACCTTGAGTATTTTCATATTAGAAAAAACATAGTATGTGCAGAGTTTGGCACTATCTACAGTTTCAGGCATCCATGGTGGGGACCTCTTAAAATGTATCCTCCTGCATAGTGTACTGTGAATTCTTTTTTTTTTTTTTTTTTTTTTTTGAGACAAGGGCTCACTCTGCCACCCAGGCTGGGGTACAGTGGCATGATCTCACCTCACTGCAGCCTCAACATCTTGGGCTCAAGTGATCCTCCCACCCACCTCAGCCTTTCAAGTAGTTGGAATTACAGGTACACACCATCACAGCTGGCTAAATTTTTGTATTTTTTGATAGAGATGGGGTTTTACCATGTTGCCCAGTCTGGTCTCAAACTCCTGGGTTCAAGCAATCCACCGGCCTAAGACTCCCAAGGTGCTGGGACTACAGGTGTGAGCCACTGTGCCCGGCCAGAGAATTATTTTTTAGAAAATACACACTGAGGTGTTTAAAAATAAAGGGGAATCATATCTGCAACTTAGTCTTAAACAGTTCAGAAAAAAAAAAGGTGTGTGATACATATACATTTATCTATCGAGAAAAGGTTACAGTAAGTGTAATAAAATGTTAACATTTGGGGTATCTGGGTAGAAGTTATCTAGGAATTTTTTGAACTATTCTTGCAACTTTTCTGTAAATTTGAAAGGATGTGAAAATTTAAAATATATATATCAAAATAAAAACAAAGAAGCTTCAATACCAAAATAAATTTATATAGTAGTGATTACCCTAGTCCTTCCTGAAAGGGGTCCATGGGCACTTACTCAGATAACCATGTACTGGGGGAAGTAGACTACACATTTTGTTTTTCCTAAGACATGGAGTCTTGCTCTGTCACCCAGGCTGGAGTGCAGAAAAGTGATCTTGGTTCACTGCAACCTCCACCTCCTGGGTTCAAGCATCCTCCTGCTTCAACCTCCTAAGTAGCTGGAATTACAGGCACATGGCACCATGCCCAGCTAATTTTTGTATGTTTAGTAGAGATGGGGTTTCACCACGTCAGTCAAGCTGGTCTCGAACTCCTGACCTCATGATCCGCCTGCCTCGGCCTTCCAAAGTACTGGGATTACAGGTGTGAGCCACTGCACCCGGCCGACTGTACATATTTTTAAAAGGATGTTGGACACAAGGTCCCAACTGACATTGATACTCAGAAAACCAAAGTACCATTCTGACCTTCTATTAGAGAAGATGCTTGGGGTCAGGTTATAAATGAATTCCTGACCCAATCCTATAGACCTCATAGTGAGTCCATTGGGTTTATGGATCTACCTAGTGGTTGTATCTCCAGTTCATCAATGTACAATTGGAATGGACATGCCAATTTGTAAAACTCTCACATTGGATACTGGTTTAACAGTAAAGTAAAAGAATTATTGTAGGAAAGGTCAAGTGGAAGCCTCTGAAACTGCTGCCGGCTTTAGCCAAAATAATAAATTAAAAATTAATATTGCTTCCCAGCGAGCAATGAAAGAGATTAGGACTACTATTGAAGCCATGCCTCAAAGAGTTAAATAAATCAATGGCTACATTCTTAGACTTACAGGACAGCAGGTAAGAAAAGAAATAATTGAAACTAAAAAAGCTGAAACTATGCTCTCCCCATCTCAAGAGTAAGAAACCAGTAACTAACAAATTTTCAAGTTTGCAGGACAGAAGATAAGAACATGCTGAAATGCCCTCTACTTAAGAGATTAAAAAATAAAAACAAAACCTGGCTGAAATCAGTTGGAACCACGATGGCTGACTGGAGTTTGTGCCGAATGAGCTTGCTGACATCACAACCTGAATTTCCACCACATTTCATACTAACTCTCCCAAAATTTGCACATGTGACCCATGAATTAACATAAAGAGATACCTGCACATGCCCAAAGACTTTCCAGACTTCCCCTTTCCTTTTACCAACCACCTACTAATCTCAGAATCTACCCGAAGAACCTTTGCTAATAAAAATATTGTCTTGCAACCATCATCGGGAGACAATTTGAGTTTGATTTATGTTTCCTTAGGAGTTGACTTTCAATATAACGCTTTTCTTTTCTCAAAAACCCAGTGTCATAGTATTGGTTTCTACCACATCAGACAGCGACCCCTTTTGCTCAATAACACTATCAGATTTAAACAATGCAATGGTGATGATCCATAATTGTAAATCATGATCCATGTCATGATTTACAATCTTATTTAATTCACCTGTATGGCCTCCACAAATACCTGATGAATTGGCAGTGGACTAGCACTAACTTAAGCAGAAGCCTTGCAGTTATTGTGCCACATGTGATATCTTTACTAGAAGAGATTAACACATGGTCTAGAATGTGATATACAGGTAATGATCTGGCTAATGTATTATTTTCCATATCTTTGCAAAGGGAAGATCAGAAGCAGATCCCATTCACGTCTAAGAAACAACGTACATTCATGATCTTGTCCCAGATTCCTAATTCTCCTTCTCTGTTATATCACAGTCCCAAAGCAACCTAGATCATCTGGACATTTTGCAGAACATCACACTCTATCTACTGTATTGATGAGATCATGTTAATTAGACCTGTTAAGCTAGAAGGGGTAAGTATTTTCAACGTCTTTGTAAGATATACGGACTCCAGAGAGTGGGAAATAAACTACCAAGATTCAGAGTCCTTCTAGCTCCAAAATTCTGGGGTCTAATACTCTGGGGCATTCTAAGACATCACCTCCAAAATAAAGACCGTTTATTATACCTTGTACCTACCACCACTAAGAGAAAAAAAAAATCACAGTGGTTAATAGGTATTAAGTATAGTTCATACTTGGGAATAACATTCTGATTCATTATCAAATGATTTTGAAGGTGTCCAATTATGAATGGAGCTCAGAGGAAGGAAGAGATCAGTATCAAGTTCAGACTGTAGTACAAGCCATCCTGCCACTTGGGTCATACCATTTGGCAGATTCAACAATATTAGAGGGAGAAAAAGCTCTCTTGTGAAGTCTCAGGCAAGCCCCAAGTGGAGAGTCACAGCATATTCTTAGGGTTCTGCATGTAGAAGGTATATAGAGAATTATATACCACCTGAAAAATAACTCCTGGCATGAAAGAGATGGAATACCTTATCACGAGATACCAAGTGACCTGTAGCTATAAACACCCATCATGACCCACCAAGTCATGAGGTTACATGGGCTCAGAAGAAATACACCGTAAGATTAAAGTGGTACATCTAGAATCAGGCATGAGCAGGTCCAGAGGTCACAAGTAAGCTGTGGGAACAAGTGGCCCAGATTTCCACAACATCTTCCACTACTGAGCCAATGCCTTCTCCTTGGCTCACAGCTATGACCTTATGAGAGAGTTCCCTATAACTAGCTGGCAAAAAAGAAGAAAGACATGAGCTTGGTTCTTGATCTCATATCCCTCAGGGATCAAAGTGTGGGTTATTCCAAGTGCTACCATTTCCCAATAAAGGAATAGGGACCCAGAGGCTGGGTCCCTGGCTGCCTTGCTGTGGGGTTTTGTTATTTCTCTGATAAGATTGCTCTGGAAAGAGCTGCTTTCAGGGATTATTTTTGAATACCCTGAGTGGGGAACAGGGTTCTCCTCAATGCCTCACAACCAAGATCATAGGAAAGGGGCCCTATTTTCCTGCTCAGAACATATACTGAATGGAATGTATTTTTAAGAGAATAAACTATTTTTTTTTGTATTTTAAAGACTGGGAGGGCTAAGAAGATAGCCCTCAAATAAACTGGCTATTGCATTATAGGCCCATTTGTTGGGGGCAGTCTGTTGGTCCACACCTACTTGCTTAGGCAGGTGCTCTGGTCTCACCCCTGCCCCTTGGAGTTTAGGTGCAGCAGCCTCTACATTCCTGTTCCAAGCATGGGACCAAGGAGGCCGGAACCTGTCACTGGAAGCCAGGTCAAAGCCATGAGCAGTGGCCCACGGCTTGTTGGGTTCGTCTGTATCATTGAAGCTGCCTGTCTGCATGTATCCTCTGGCTCGCGTGCTGTTGGCTCTGCAGTACAATATGTAACCAATAAAGCTCCCTCCTTTCCATGTAAAAAACAAACAAAACAAAGTGTGAGTTATCCCATCAGATAGGCCATCTAGACCAGCAGAAGTGATGGCTGAGACTGAGAAGAATCTAGAATGAATAGTAAAGGGTGGAGATTGTGAGTATTAGTTGTGACTTTACGACGACTGCACCAGTTGGGCTACACTGTTCCTGCTAACCTTCCTCTTATATATTTTGCCAGAACTGTGACCAAACAGAATCCACTAGAATCTATACCTTAATGAAATGACCTTAATGTGCGAGAAACAATGGATCTCAATAGGGTAAACTGTAACTGATGTTGTTTTTATCTCACTTGAATCTTTTTTAGTGGGCTGTGTACCCATTCTCTCAGCTGCTGTGAGTATTGGCTGATAACAGCTCACAAGTGCCTCCCTCTATGGAAGCTTGCCCTCAGCCAATGGGAACAGTCTTGCTCAAAAGACTATAATCCCTACTTCCTCATCTCTGTCAACATTGCCAAAGACTTACAGGGTAGGGTACAAAAGACAGTGTGGGCCAGGCACGGTAGCTTACACCTATAATCCCAGCACTTTGGGAGGCTGAGGCGGGCAGATCACAAGGTCAGGAGATCAAGACCATCCTGTGAATGGTGAGACCCAGTCTCTACTAAAAATACAAAAAATTAGCCGCGCGTGGTGGCGGGTGACTATAGTGGCAGCTACTAGGGAGGCTGAGGTGGGAGAATGGCGTGAACTTGGGAGGCAGAGCTTGCAGTGAGCTGAGGTTGCGCCACTGCACTCCAGCCTAGGTGACAGAGCAAGACTCCATCTCAAAAAGAAAAAAAAAAAAAAAAAAAAGACAGTGTTGTGTATGCTCCAGATCCCCCAACTCCTACCCCATGGAAGAGCTCTACTTTACCTGAAATTTTATTCCTTGCTTTTCCTCTTTCCCTTCCTTGTTCTACTCCCTTGCTTTTCTACAGATTTTCCTCCTAGAAAAACACCTTTAATAAAACATGTGCACCTGAATCCCTGTCTCAGAATGTGCTTCTAGAGAAACCAAATCAAAGCATCAGATGATATAGATATGACTCAAAATTTCTGAATCTATGAATAGAGGAAAATTTTGCTAAGGTTTTGCCTATTTGTTAATTTAGCTGTTTAGCAGCATTGCTCATTATTTTTTCCAGTGCTATTTGCATATTTTAATGAACTTAAAAACAAAAATGCTAAAGATGAACACCTCTGACATGCTAGAATTGTCATGAGAATCACATTTCCCTTTGTGGATCTCTGAGAATTGGAGAATAAGATAGGAGAGATCTCATGCTACTTTGATCCCCATCCTCTCTACCACTCTATCACCTCTATCCTGAAGCTCCAAAGAGCATGTATATCTCCTTATTTTCAAGAGTTTCTAATAATATGACAAAAGCAACACTTAAAAAAGATCAGTTTGGTAACTGATCAAGATGGACTGAAGCTGAATGAGACAAGGGAAAGAAAGCCAATGGAAAGCATGTTACCGAGATAAGAGCCTAGATGTGAAATGGCAAAGGCCTATTTATAGTAGCAAAGAGAATGAAAGGGAAGGAATACAAATGGAGATGTATTTTAAGTTAACTTAACCCAAATGTCCTCAGGCCTCACCATTCTGTGGCTCAACATTCAGGCAACAGTAATACCTCAGTTTCCCTAGGTCATCACTTCCACCTGCTGATGTAAATGTCTGCTCTGATCTCATGTTTCTCATTTATTCTTAGATTACCCAAAGGAAGCCTCTTATGTGCTCAAGGACAAGCGTGCTCATATCCTTCTGCCTTAGCCTCTTTTTTGATGTCTGCTTCTTACACACCAGAGGAGGATGGTGCTTCAATGCTGTTGATCTAACTGCCCCCAGAGTTCTTTCTACTGTTCCAAAGTCTTCAAAACTTTTGAGGTGACAAAGAGTACTCCTTGATTTCCAGCCAGAAATCACACCAGAGCTACACTGTGTTTGCAGCACTAGGAGACTAATACTCTCCCAACTCCAGTTCATTCTTCATGAAGACTTGTGACATAAAGAGTAATAATGCCAGGCCACCCCCATGGCTTAGGCCCCAGTGGATCGCAACATAAGACCAGCCTGCCTAAGGACTACAGCAGCAAGTCTGCCCATTGACTCCACTAGAGAGCCTGCCCAGAATCTCTAGATGGGCTAACTGGTAAAGGGCTTTCACTGCCAAAGCCAGCCTGAGGACTACAGCAGCAAGTCTGCCCATTGACCCCACCATAGAGCCTGCCCAGAATCTCTGGATGGGCTAACTAGTAAAGGGCTTTCGCTGCCAAAGCCAATCTGTAAATACTGGAATAAGGGTCTACTTCTTCAAATGCACAGACACCAACACAAAGCCACAAGGATCATGAATGATCAAGAAAACATAACACCAAAGGAGGAAAATAAAGCACCAATGACTAAGCCTAAAGAAATGGAGATCAATGAACTGTTCAAAGAATTCAAAATAATCCTCTTAAAGCAGCTTAGTGAGAAAAAAAAAAAACCCACATGTAAAAACATGAAATCAACAAAGCAGTATATAAAAAAAAATCAGAAATTCAACAAAGTGATAGAACCAAAAAAAAAATCTGAAGCTAAAAAACACAATTACTTACCTGAAAAAAAAAAAAATCATTGAAAACTTCAACAGCAGACTCAATCAAGCAGAAGCATCAGTGAGCTCAAAGGTCATTTGCAATTACCCAAAGGAACAAATTTTTTTTAATGAGAAGACTGAAGAAAGCCTAAGAAAATTATGAGACATCATCAAGTAAAAACATATTATAGAAGTTCTAGAAGGAGTAGAGAAAGAAAAGGACAGAGAGCTTACTTGAAGAAACAATGACACATAACTTCCCAAATTTAGAGAAGGAAATGAACATTCACATTCATGAAACCCAAATAGCCACAAATAGATTAAATATAGAGATCAAATATATGTTAAAATCAAATTCCCAAAAGTCAACGGCAAAAAAGAAATTTGAAAGCAAGAGAAGAGCAATTCATCACATACAAGGGAACCTTCATAAAACCAAAACAGAAGATTTCTCAGCAGAAACTGCAGGTCAGGAGAATGTAGGAGGATATTAATGTGCCAAAAGAAAACAAACTGCCAATCAAGAATATGATATTCAGCAAGGATGTTCTTCAGAAATGAAAGGGAGACGCATTTCCCAAAGAAACAAAAGCTGTGAGAGTTCATCACCATTAGACCTGCCTTATAGGAAATGCTGAGAGGAGTTTTTCAAGTTGAAATGAAAGCACACTAACAACACAGCACATGAGATTATAAAAACTTACTATAAAAGAATATAGTCAAATTCAAGATATCCTAATACTGTAATGATGGTGCATAAATCAATTTTAACTCCAGTATAAAGTTAGTAGACAAAAGTATTAAAAATAACTCACACTACAATAGTTTGGAAATTGATACATATATGTAAATTTTGACATCAAAAATATATTTGGGGAGGAGAAGTTAAAATGTAGAGTTTTTATTTGTGATTGAAGTTGTTAGTATCAGCTTAAAACAGATTATTATAACTATGTTTTATGTAAGCCTCATGGTAACCACAAAGCAAAAAAAAAATTAAAACAAACAAACAAACAAAAAAAACCCTATAGCATATAATGCAAAAGATAGAAAGAAATGAATCAAAGCATACCAGTAAGAAAATATTAAATCACAAAGGCAGACAGCAAGAAAATAACGATTGAAACAAAGGAACTAAAAAACAGAAAGCAATTAGCTAAGTGGCAGAAGGAATTACAATAATTATTTTAAATGTAAACTGATTAAATTATCCAGTCAAAAGACATGGAGTGGTTGAATAGATTTAAAAAAGAAAAGATTCAACTATATATTGCCTATAGGAGACCACTTTAGCTTAAGGCATATATAGGCTGAAAGTGAAAGGAGAGAAAAAGATCTTCCATATAAATGGTAAACAAAAGAGCAGAGGTAGCTACACTTAGACAAAATAGACTTTAAGTCAAAAATTGTGAAAAGAGACTGATATGGTTAGGTTTTGTGTCCCTACCCAAATCTCATCTTGAATTGTAATCCCCATAATCCCCACATGTTAAGGGAGAGACCAGGCGGAGGTAATTGAATTATGGGGATGGTTTCCTTCATGCTATTCTCATGATAGTGAGTGAGTTCTCACAAGATCTGATAGTTTTATAAGTGGCTCTTCCTCGCTTTGCTCAGCACTTCTTCCTTCCACCATGTGAAGAAGGTATCTTACTTCTTCGCCTTCCACCATGATTGTAAGTTTCCTGAGTTCTCCCCAGCCATGTTGAGCTGTGAGTCAATTAAATCTCTTTCCTTTAAAAATTACCCAGTCTGGGGTATGTCTTTATAGCAGTATGAAAATGGGCTAATGCAGAGACAAAGAGGGTCATTAAATGATAGAAGTCAATTCAAGATGGTAAAACAATTGTAAACATATATCCACTCAATATCAAAGCACCTAAATATATAAAGCAAATATCAACAGAAATGAGGGGAGAAAGAGCAATACAATAATAGTATAGTACTTCAACCACCTACTTTCAACAATGCATAGATAATTAAGATAGCAAATCAACTTAAAAAAATGGACATGAACAACACTATAGACCAAACAGATCTAACAGACATATAGAGAACATTCTATCCAACAACAGCAGAATACACATTCTTTTCAAGAGCACACAGAACATTCTTTGGGGTAGATCGTGTGTTAGGCCACAGTGCAAGTCTTAACAAATTCAAGAAGATTGAAATTACATCAAGTATCTTTTCCAACCACAATTAAAGAGGAAATCAGTAACAGGAGAAAACATGGAAAATTCACAAATATGTGGAAATTGAACAACATACTCCTGAACAACCAATGTATCAAAGAAGAAAACAAAAGGGAAATCAGAAAGTATCTTCAGATAAATTAAAATGGCAACATAATATGTAAGTTACAGGATGCAGAAAAAGCAGTTCTAAGAAGGAAGTTCAGAGTAATAAACACCTACATTAAAAAAAGAAAGACCTAAAATAAACAACCTAACTTTACAACTCAAGAAAAAGAAAAAAACTAAGGTCGAAGTCCACAAAAGGAAGGAAATAAAAGGATCAGAGCAGAAATAAAGAAAACAGAGACTAGAGAAACCACAGAAAAGATAAATGAAACTAAGTTGGCTTTTTAAAAAAATAAACAAAATTTATACAACTTTAGCTATATTAAGCAACAAAAGAGACACTTCAAATACAATTATAAATTAAAAAGGAGGCATTACAACTGATGCCACAGAAATACAAAGAATCTTAAGACACTTCTATGAACTATACACTAACAAATTGGATAACCTAGAAAAATAATGGATAAATTCTAGAAACATATAACCTGCCAAGACTGAATCAAAGAAATAGAAAATGTGAACAGACCAATAACGAGGAAATTGAATCAGTAATTTAAAAACAAACAAAAAAGAAAAACACTCCCAGCAAAGAAAAATTCAGGATCTGACGGCTTCGCTGTTAAATTCTATCAAACACTGAAGGAAGGATTAACACCAATTCTTCTCAAACTCTTCCAAAGAATTGAAGAGGAGGAAACCCTTCCAAACACATTTTTTGGGCCAATATTACCTTGTTATCAAAGCCAGAAAATGACACTCATACGAAAAGAAAATTATAGGATACTAGCAAACCAAATCCAATAGCACATTAAAAGATCATAGGCCAGGCACAGTGGCTCATGCCAACACTTTGGGAGGCCAAGGTGAGAGGACTGCTTTAGCTCAAGAGTTCAAGGACAGCATGAGTGACAGAGTGAGACCTTGTCTCTACTGAAAAAAAAAAAAAATAGCCTGGCATGGTGGCACACGCCTGTAGTCCCAGCTACTTGGGAGGATGAGGCAGGAGAATCACTTGAGCCCAGGAGAGTGAGGCTATAGTAAGTGATGATCATGCCACTGCACTCCAAGCTTGGGTGACAGAACAAGATCCTGGCTCAAAGAAGAAAAAACATTTTTCAAAAAGATTATACAGCATGATTAAGTAGGGTTTATCCCTGGGATGCAAGGATGCATCCATGCAAGGTATGCAAATTAATAAATATGTTACATCACATTAACAGAATGAAGGATAAAAATATGATTATCTCAATAGATGCAGAAAAAGCACTTGACAAAATTCAATATCCTTTTATGATAAAAAACTCTCAACAAGTTAGGTATAGAAGGAATGCCCCTCAAACAATAAAGGCTAGATATGACAAGTCCATAGGAAACATCATACTGGATGGTGGAAAGCTGAAAGCTTTTCCTCTAAGATCAGAAACAAGATAAAGATGACTATTCTCACCACTTTTATTCAATATAGGACTGGAAGTCCTAGCCAGAGCAAAATTAGGAAAGAGAAAGAAAGAAAGAAAAGGCACCCAAATTGGAAAGGAAGGTGACATCTGTTAGAAGATGCCATAATCTTACACATAGAAAAACCTCACAATGGCCGGGCACGGTGGCTCACACCTGTAATCCCAGCACTTTGGGAGGCTGAGGCTGGCGGATCATGAGGTCAGGAGATCGAGACCAACCTAGCTAACATGGTGAAACCCCATCTCTAGTAAAAATACGAAAAATTAGCCTGGTGTGGTGGCACACGCCTGTAGTCCCAGCTACTCGAGAGGCTAAGGCAGGAGAACCGCTTGAACCCAGAAGGCAGAGGTTGCAGTGAGCAGAGATCCGCCACTGCACTCCAGCCTAGGCAACAGATTAAGACTCCATCTAAGAAAAAAAAAAAAAAAAAAAAAAAAAAAACCCTAACAACTTCATCAAAAAACTATTAGGACTAATAAACGAATTCAGTAAAGTTGCAGGACACAAAATCAAAACATGAAAATTAGTAGTGTTTCTATCTATTAACAATAAGCTATCTGAAAAAGAAAATTCCAATTACAATAGCTACCAAAAAAGATTAAATACTGACATGGTTTGGCTCTGTGTCCCCACCCAGATCTCATCTTGAATTGTACTCCCGTAATTCCCACTTGTTGTGGGAGGGACCCAGTGGGAGATAATTTGAATCATGGGGGAAATTTTCCTCATACTGTTCTCCTGGTAGGGAATAAGTCTCAAGAGATCTGATGGTTTTATCAGGGGCTTCTGCTTTTGCATCTTCCTCATTTTCTCTTGCTGCCACCATGTAAAAAGTACCTTTCACCTCCCACCATGATTCTGAGGCCTCCCCAGCCACATGGAACTGTAAGTCCAATTAAACCTCTTTTTCTTCCCAGTCTCAGGTATGTCTTTACCAGCAGCATGAAAATGGACTAATATAAATACTTAGGAATAAATTTAACAGAGGAAGTAAGAGATCTGTATAATGACCATAACATTGATGAAAGAAATTGAAGATGCAAGTAAATGGAAAACATCCCATGTTCATGTATTGGAAGAGTTAATATTGTTAAAATGTACACAACACCCCAAGTGAGCTACAGATTCTGTGCAATCCCTTTCAAAATTCCAATGACATTTTTCAGAAATATAAAAAAAACCACCCTACTGTTCACAGGAACCACTAAGACTCTAAGGAACCAAAGCAATCCTGAGCAAAAAAAAATCAGAAGGCATCACACTACCTGACTTCAAAATATACCACAAAGCTATAGTAATCAAAACAGCATGGTAGTGGCATAAAAACACATGTATAGACTATTGGAGCAGAATAGACATCCTGGAAATAAAGCCATACACTTACAGTCAACTGATCTTTGACAGAAGTGCCAAGAACATACAATGCGGAAATGACAGTCTCTTCAATAAATAGTCCTGGGGAAAACTGGATATCCACATGAAGGAGAATAAAATTAGACCTTTATCTCACACAATATACAAAAATCAACTCAAAATAGATTAAAAACTTAAATGTAAGACCTGAAACTATAAAACTACTAGAGGAAATGGGGAAAAACTTCTTGACATTGGTGTAAACAATGATTTTTTTGGACAGGACCCCAAAAGCACAAGCAACAAAAGCAAAAATAAATGGACTGCATCACATTAAAAAGCTTCTGCACACACACACACACACACACACACACTCACTCACACACACACACACAAAAGCTTCTGCACAGCAAAGGAAACCATCCATGGAATGAAGAGACAACCTACAGAATGGTAGAAAATATTTGCAAACCATATATCAGATAAGAGGTTAATATTCAAAATAGACAAGGAACTCAATAGCAGGGAAACAACCCAATTAAAAATTGAGCAAGGGACCCAAATAGACATTTCTCAAAAGACATACAAATGACCAACAGGTATATGAAAAAACACTCAATATTACTAGGTAGCAGGGACATGCAAACTAAAGCTACAATGAGGTATCACCTCACACCTGTTAGAATGGCTATTATCAAAAAGATAAGTGGAGAAAAGGGAATCCTCATACACTGTTGTCAGAAAGGTAAATTAGTATAGCCGTTAAGGAAAACAGTATGGAGGTGCCCCCCCAAAAAAACTAAACTATTATATTGTCCAGCATTCCCATTTCTGGGTATATATCCAAAGAAAATGAAATCAATACATTGAAGAGGTATCTGTACTCCCATGTTCATTGCAGCAGTATTCACAATAGCAAAATATAGAGGCAACCCAGGTATACATCATCAGATGTACAGAAAATGAATAAAGAAAATGTGGTATATATACACAATGGAATACTATTCAGCCTCAAAAAAGAAGGATGGATGACCGTGAAGGACATTCTGCTAAGTGAAATAAGTCACGCATAGAAAGACAAATACCACATGATCTCACGTATATGTGAAATCTAAAAAGTTGAGTTCTTGGAACCAGAGTGGAATGGTGGTTTGTCAGGGAGAGGGGGAAGAAGACGACATTGGTCAAATGGTAACACAAAACTTCAGTTAGACAAGATGAGTAACTTCTAAAAATCTACTGTACAACATGGTTACTAGAATTAATGATAATATACTACATACTTGAAATTGCTAAGAAAGTAGATCTTAAGTATTCTCACTACAAAAAAAGATAAGTATACAAGGTGATGGATATGTTAATTGGCTTGATTTAATCATTTCACAAACATCAAAATATTACATTGTATGCTGTAAATATATACAATTTGTATTTGTCAATTTTATCTTAATAAAGCTAGAGGAATTTGTAAAAACATTGATGAGAAGTTTCTTTTTTTTTTTTTTTTTTTTTTTTTGAGACGGAGTCTCGCTCTGTCGCCCAGGCCGGACTGCGGACTGCAGTGGCACGATCTCGGCTCACTGCAAGCTCCGCCTCCCGGGTTCACGCCATTCTCCTGCCTCAGCCTCCCGAGTAGCTGGGACTACAGGCGCCCGCCACCGCGCCCGGCTAATTTTTTGTATTTTTAGTAGAGACGGGGTTTCACCTTGTTAGCCATGATGGTCTCGATCTCCTGACCTCATGATCCACCCGCCTCGGCCTCCCAAAGTGCTGGGATTACAGGCGTGAGCCACCGCGCCCGGCGAGAAGTTTCTTTATAGTAGTTGATAATGTTGTTTCATATACCATCATCTCATTCACTGAGTTATATGGGTATATGTTGCCTAATCAACTAGATTGAGATTCCTTCAAGGGAACCTACTTCCGTATATTCATTCCGTAGTGCATATAATGGCTTGAGGCATATAGTTCTTGCTCAAAAATTCGGGTTGAGTGATTGACCAACAGAGAGACCTGGACAAGATTCCCAAGTAATTGTCTAAAGAAAGGAAACCCTTTCATTCTACATACAGTAGTAGCAGAAGTGATTGCAAGTGAAAGTAAAGTCTGTTAATTAATTTGATCATATGATCATGTGTTACTATTTGAGGGCTACTATGTGCTGGCATCTAAGACCTTTGACAAAGTTAAACTAGAGATATACAATGGCTGAGACAGACGATCGAAGCAATAGAATGACCCTTGGGCCTGTACATGATTATGCACTGTCAGTAGGTATTTACAACCTAACAGAAAAATAGTCCATCAAAAGAGGTTAAGCCATGGGAAACAGGAAAGGGAAGGTTGCAGAGGCGAATGTGGCCAGTGCCTACTCTCAGTACCCAGACTGGGAGAGATACTCTGTATCATGTTTTAAAATAAAATAAAGTTTTCTGCATGCACAAATAATCTCTAAGGAAAAAAAACACTAATGGAAATACACTACTTTGTCCAGTGGCTGATTAGTTTAGATGGTAATGGAACATTGCTAAACAACAGCACTTCAGATTTGATCACCCACTTATGCAACTGCTGTTAAATGACTACTTCATAAAAGGCATTTAGTTTGTTTCCCCAAAGATACATACAAAATAAAGTAAAATAAAACATTCTCACTGACAACTACAAGGGCAGTATATGATGAGTTCCTTGAATTTCATAGCATCGTGTAGTGGGAAATTAAGTTAGATAAAGGATAAAAACAGAAGTAGTGTTTAAACTTGTCTTGCAAAGATAAGATTTCGGTAGGTAAAAGAACAAGAGAATCAAACCCTGCTAAAGTTTTTTCTCTTATACCAGATAGTTGCTCTTCTGATACACTGTAGTGATTGGTAGATAAAGAGTAGTGTGTAAGAGCAAGGCCATCACCACTACTGGATCAAGAGTTCAAAAGACCGGTCCAGCTGAAGGCAGGCAAGGGTGTCATCATTATAAAAAGAACAGCGACCATGTGGGAATGAAGGGACTGGCTGCATAAGAGAATGTCTGGCAGCAAATCAACTCCCTCCACTAGTGAACTACCAACCCCTGTACTAAGCAACCTTCAAAGTCCTTCCATGGCAGGTGAAGGCATTCAAGGCAGGAGGTACAGCACAGGCAGTTAAATGCAGAAGTTGTGCTCCCTTGATTTTGTAGTCTTAGAAAACTGGGCCATTCCATTACTGCTAATAACGTAGGCAGAGAAGCAAAGACAAGAATGCTTTGCTTTTGAAGATAAATCCCTACAGGAAAGCTTCTTTGCTCTGTGTAGGTAGAAACAGAGAAAAACTTGCAAGAAAACGGTCACATCCTCTAACACTTTTATCTCCTGGCTGCCTAGCAACTTTCATAGGTAGAGTGTGGAGAGGAAAAATTCTCGTGGAAGCCTGAGAATAAGCAGGCACCATGTCTGCAATGTCATGAAACACAATCTCTGAAGAGTTGCCCTACGAGAGAGCAGGCTGCTCCCAGTTAATAAGGCTTGGCAGAGTGTTCTTACCTCTTCATGTAGAATCTGATTTCCCCTTGGCTCTTTTGGCTTCCTCCTAGGGATGCCAGGAGGAGAGGGAGGAGGAGGAGAGGGAGGAGGAGGAGAGGGAGGAGGAGGAGAGGGAGGAGGAGGAGAGGGAGGAGGAGGAGAGGGAGGAGGAGGAGAGGGAGGAGGAGGAGAGGGAGGAGGAGGAGAGGGAGGAGGAGGAGAGGGAGGAGAGGGAGGAGGAGGAGGAGGAAAGCTGTTGTGTTATTTGGAGCCAAAGAAATATTATGGTTTAAAAATGAGCAAGAACAAGCTTAACTGTATGTTTCCACCACCTTCTTATTGCAGTATCTCAATGTTTCAGTCCCTGTTTCTGCTGGTGCCAATCCAGTGACAGGAAGAATACCTTGCTCTTCTAGCTCCTATAAAGTGTCCCTAATCTTAAACCAAAATTTGACTCTCAGAGATTCTGAGAAAACAGTAATAAAAGACAGGAAAAAGAATAATTCAATAAAAAAATATTTCCCTCAGCAAGGATCAGAAGAATCCAGTAACTACAAAGCAAAGATTGTTTTAATAAAACACCTAAATCAGTCAGGTGCAGTGGCTCACACCCATAATCCCAGCACTTTGGGAGGCCGAGGCGGGCAGATCAGCTGAGGTCGGGAGTTTGAGACCAGCCTGACCAACATGGAGAAACCCTGTCTCTACTAAAAATACAAAATTAGCCGGGTGTGGTGGTGCATGCCTGTAATCCCAGCTACTCGGGAGGCTGAGGCAGGAGATGTGCTTGAACCTGGGAGGCAGATGTTGTGGTGAGCTGAGACTGCTCCGTTGCACCCCAGCCTGGGCAACAAGAGCGAAACTCCATCTCAAAAAAAAAAAAAAAATCCAAAATACATGTATCTAGAGATTATGGAGAGTTTCTGATTTTCAGATTGAGTAGGCTAAAAAGTATAGAGTATTAGAAAATTAACATAAACAAGGATGATTTAATAGAGATCAATGTGAACACAAATAATTTTCTATTCTTTAGAAAATAGACATTCTCAAATGTTTCTGCACCAAAATTTGTTGAGGTATTGGATTACTGAAATCCTTATAAGACTTATGGTTTTGAAATTTTTGTTATGTTCTGTTTAAAATATGTAATAAACCTGGAAAAAGTAAAAATAAACAAAAATATACTAATCACTTAGAAGTTTTACAATAAAATTCTTGATTCAGAAAAACAACCCTGCAGTTAGAGACTATTCAGAAGTAAACAATGAAAATATTAGTAAGAATAAGCATTCAATTGTTATCAATACTGTTTCAACTACTTTACATTTAATCCTCATAATAACACTATGATAACAACACTGTGTCAAACACTGTTTCAACTACTTTACATTTAATCCTCATCCTAACACTGAGGTAGTTCCTGTTGTTTCTCCATTTTTTTCAGCTGAGGAAACCAAGGCACATAAAGGTCAAATAATTTGCCCAAAGTCGTATAACTAGTAAGTAGCGGGGTCAGAATTTGAACCCAGGCAGCCTGGTTCTAAAGCCCACATTCTTAACAACTACAATGTATGGCTTCATATAAAAACCCACAGGAATGACTGAAGCCAAAAGGAATAAAGTTCATACTCTTAATAGCTTTTCATATTTAAAAAAATTGATCAGTGAACCCGATTTGCAACATGATGGCAGACAGTAAATAACCTATTGCCCCCCTTCTGCACCAACTGTCTAGAGAGGAGAAAAAAGAAAAAAAAAAAAAAAAACAGAAAAGAAATTACTGAAGTGGTGTTGCCCTGACCAAAGATTAGCCAATGTCTCTGTTGATGGTGCAAAGGTGAGAAGTGCAGCCCTGTGTATATACACAGATACAAGGTAAATATGGTTGGAATCATGGCTTTGACTAGCAATGCCTTGAGTATTATAGCATCAGTACATATTGAGTCAATTATGATTTCTGTGCATATTGAGTCAAAATTGAGTTCGAAGTCATTAGATCTCTAATGATTTTAATTACAGTAACTGGCTACATCTCTGTAAATGGAAACTGCTGGGATGCAGTGGTTAAGAGCCAGGCTATGGGTGTCAGACCTTGGCTTGACTCTACGGCTTGGCCACCTGCTAGTTTTATGACCTTAGTGGAGTTACTTAACCTCATTTCCCTCTTGCATAAAATGGGAAAAACAATAGCCACCTCCAATTCTATCATCTCCCAGGGTTGTAGTAAAGACTAATTAATTATAAAACACTTATTATGGTGCCTGGCACAGAAAAGCTTCCTTCTCTCATTTTTATGCATTCTATATACATACAACACTGGAAAGTAACAGCATTTGGCCTGCTTTATAATGAAAAATGGAAGCATACCAACCCTTCAAAGTCAGAAAGCAGGCAGAAATAAATTGTCAGAGGAAACTGGAATACTTCAGATCATCTGTAAACAAAGCCCTCTTGAAAACAAAGCAAAAACAAACCTCAAATCTCTGATTAAAACATTAAAAAAAAAAGAAATGCACACCTTTCTTAAAGGTAAGAGCAGCTAATAACACAAAAGTTATTAGAACAAAAGTAACTCTGGAGGTAAATGAGTATAGAAGCCACTTTTGTCTGGAAGAGGTTTATTACTCCCCCTAGATTTGAACTTGCATGTTAATGCCTTTTGGCTATAAAAGGGACATATATTAAAGCCCAGACCCACATAAGGTGACAATGATCGCAGCAGTGGACTGTCTAGAGCAGCCACTGCCCCATGATGCCAGCTGCAGTGAAGGAGGTGCGGCTGGGGCTGTGCACTCCATGGAGCTGGCCAGAGCTGGGAACAGGCAAAAGCTCTGCTCCCTTCTGAGTTGACAGGGCCGGAGCTTTGCACTCCTTGGGCACAGCAATGACTATCCAGCCACAGTTGCATACCCAGGCATCCCTATGCTCTTGGGGGCTGGGAGCAAGCAGGAGTCCTACCCTCCCAGGCACAACTGCAGCTGCCCAGCCACTGCTGCAGTTCCAGCATCTCTGCACTCTCAACGAAGTGCAGAGAAGGCTTAGAAGTGCCTGCTCCCAGGCTGGGCACGGTAGCTCATGCCTGTAATCCCAGCACTTTGGGAAGCTGAGGCAGGCGGATCACAAGGTTAAGAGATCAAGACCATCCTGGCCAACATGGTGAAACCCCGTCTCTACTAAAAATACAAAAAATTAGCCAGGCATGGTGGCAGGCACCTGTAATCCCAGCTACTTGGGAGGCTGAGGCAGGAGAATCGCTTGAACCCGGGAGGCGGAGGTTGCAGTGAGCCAAGATCGCGCCATTGCACTCAAGCCTGGGCAAAAAGAGCAAAACTCTGTCTCAAAAAAAAAAAAAAAAGAAGTGTCTGCTCCCACTGTCTGGCCTCTCCCCACTCCCAGTACTCACTTCAGTCTAGGAGCAAAGTTGAGGCTGAGCCCAGGTGCTGTTGCAACCCAGCCAGGTGTGAGCAAGCTCAGGGAAGCACTGACATGACAGCCCCCTGCTGCCTTGGCCTCCTCTGGACTTTGAGCACCAATGAGCATGGGAGGGAAGCCTAGGGGGTTGCTGAGAGCAGCTTGGTGCTGCCTTGCAGGCACCTATCAGCATGAACAGCCTGGGCACCATAAGCAGCAGCAGGGGGCAAACAGGCTTCTGGGTGGAAATGGGCAGGTCCCCAGTGAAGCCTCACCTTCAAGCCAGGGAAGGCCTATAGCCTAGGGGCCAGGCTGCCATTCCTGTGGACAGGAGTGGGAACTTATGGTACTCTTTCTGGGCCCACCCATGGAGACTCATGAACCAATCAGCATGCACATCCTCCCCTCTAAAGCCTATAAAAACCCTGGACTCAGCCAGACTCAGAAAGACATCAGGACAACCAGCTGCAGAGAGGAGCTACCAACTCCAGGGTCTCCTCCCTACTGAGAGCTGAGCAGATGTTGGGACAGCCAGCTATGGAGAGGAGCTACCCACTCTAGAGCCTCCTCTCTGCTGAGTTGAACACTCACCAGGACATCCTGGCTACAGAGAGGAGCTACCCACTGTGAGTCTCTTCTGAGTTGTTCTATCACTCAGTAAAGCTCCTCTTGTCCTTGCTCACCCTACACTTGTCCAGGTACCTCATTCTTCCTTGGTGCAGGACAAGAACTTGGGACCTGCTGAATGGTAGGGGTGAAGAGCTGTAACACAAATGGGGCTGAAACACACCCCTTGCTCACCACATTGCATGCTACAAGAAGGAGAGAAGAGCTGTGGCCCTTCAGGGAGATCAGACCTAGGAGCTCCCCAAGCCAGGGCTGTAACACCTTCTCTGGGACTCTGCAGTTCCTGGCATCTCCCAGCTTCCAGGTGCCACCAGCTTCCCTGGTGGCAGCTGTGGAAGTTGCTTGCAGGTCACCTGGTTAAGCTGCAGCCTCGTAGGGAGTTGGCACCCATGCTGACACCTGGAGCTGCCCGCCCCACAGTATGCCTGGCTGTGTGCAGTGGCTTGGACCCCACGCTGGCTCACTCACCTCACCACTCTGCTTGCCCTTGACAGGCATGGGATCCAGGCCAGGAGTGCGAGCTGAGCGCAGCCTGCTGGGCCAAGTAGGCCCAGTGGGCCCAAGCAAAACTTGGGCAAAGGTGCCACCGGCCACAGAGGTTTCTGGCTGGTGAAGGGACACCCCAATGATTCCATAACAGCAAGTCTAATGGAAGCCTCTCCCCTCAATAACCTGAGGGCCCAAAGGTGAGAATGAACCAGGGGAATCCAGGCCTCCTGTGAGCTCTTGCATCATGTGTAATACCAGAACCGAAACCTCTGATTAAGGTGGTCCAGGACAAGATTTTCCCTCTGGTGCCTAGAAGAAGAAAACTCAAATGCTCTCCAGAAGACTGTAATTTTGTTCTGGTTATCCACTTGTTTCAAGAGATATTTCCAAGACAATAGTCAGTAACCAGTGATGAGGATACATATTAAACACAAGTCACCATGAGGGGAAAAATCATTATCAGGTATGCACGTGCACACATAGATACACACACACACACCCCAGATTTGGACTGTCTATAACAGAACTCTGATAATTAGGTTTAAAGAAATATGCAAGATATGCTTGAAAACATCTGCAGGGAGCAGGAAACTATTACAAACCAATTTAGCAAATAAGGTAAAGAACCAAATAGGATGTCTAGAATTAAGAAATGTGATGACCAAAGTTAAGAACTCAGTAAATAATAGCAGGTCAGGCATATTCATGAATTGGGACACACACACACACACACACTCAAAAGAAGTTATCAGAATGTATTCAAAAGGCAAACAGATAGAAAATGCAAAAGATCAAGTAAGAAGGAAGAGGTTAAGATCAAAGGCACTCAACTGGGGTTCCTGAAGAAGAGGAGAGTGGAACAGAGACCACATTTGAAAAGACAATGGCTGAGAATTTTTCATAGCCAATCCAGATTCAAGGAGTTCGTGACTTTCCGCCAGAATAAGTGAAAAATATGCCCATGCCTAGATACAGCATAGTGACACTGCTGGAAACCAAAGATAAGGCAAGCATTCCTAAATGAAGTCAAAGAAAAAAACAACTAATTTTCTTCAAAAGAGTGTCAGATCAACAGCAACAAGACAGAAAATGGTGGAATGATCTTTTCTTTCAGTAGGTTGAAGATAACTGTCAACCTAGAATTCTATTCCCAGAGAAAATATTTTTAGAACCAAGGTGAAATGAAGATATTTTCAGACAAACATAAACAGAGTTTGTCAACTAAATAAAGGAAAACTTAACTGCTATCTCTCAGGTAGAAGTAACAATGATCCAACATGAAAATTAAGAGATGTGAGAAGGATTTGCAAGTTCATCTAAATAAAGATTGAATGCATAAAATATGTCTTGAGGGTTTGAAATATAGAAATAAAATACATGACAATAGTATATAAATTGGGAGAGGGATATGTAGAGTTAAAATGTTCCAAGATCACTGCATTTTCCAGAAGGATGGTAAAGTTATCAATGAACTTTAAACTTTGATGCATGCTGTAATTTCTAGGATAACATCTAAAAGGAATAGAAAAAGAATGTAGAAAATCTAAACTAGTTGGGGAAAAATTGAATGATTAAATACTGAAAAATGAAAGAAGAAAGAAAATTCAGCAAAACAGGATAAGTACAAAGCACAAAATAAGATGTTAGATCTAAAAATCAACCAATGATCACACTTAATCTAACTGAAACATACAAAAAAGAGGAGGATGTCTATAAGCTGTTACAGGTAGTTTTCAGGATATATTTTAAAGTGAAAAAACAAGATGTAAAAAATTTTCTGTCATCTTTTGTGTAAGAAAGAAGAAATGGGAATATATATAAGTTTATTTTTGCAAAATAAAACAGAAAGGATAAATGAAATAAAATTTGCTACCTACGGGGGTAGAATGGAGAGAAAATGGTATCAGAGTTCTAGAGTATACCTTTTTGTACAGTTTTGACTTTTGAACCACATTAATGTTTTATGTATTTAAAAAAATACATTGAAAACAAGAATGGGGAAACGCTAAAATCAAATGCAAACAGAAACTAAAGAACATAGCTATATATCACATTGATACATAATTACACAGAAGGAAAAATTAATCCAAATAACTTCTGAACATAGTACTCTGACAATACACCCTCAGTGAAATACAGTTGAGTCTAAGGACAAAAAGAAAACTGCAACGAAATCTTAAATTTGACGAGTGAGTTTGTTGTTGATGACGCAATTATGAAATATTTTGAATTTCTTGCAGGACTGAGCAAATGTATTCTTGAGAACCCAGGTTTTCATTGTGGGAGAAGAGAGGTAGAAATGTCAAATGTGAGGACGAAAGAAAAGAAACGCTGTAGTTTTAGAATGGAATTGAGCCATCATTAGTATGAATCAAGATTATTATTTCTTAGTTCTTGCCACAGAAAAGACCTAGAAGCAATTAAATCTCTGTACAAAGAGCACACCTACTACACCTACTATCCAGATTTCAGTTTCTGAATACCATTCTCCACTACACAAGAGAAGTGAACTGATTACAGGGCAGAGACAGGCAAGGTAAAAAGGAAGACCTTATACCAGAGAGTAAAGAAGTGTTCAAAAACTGGTGGGTACTATCAAAAGGACACAAGATCCCTTGACACAGGAGCTTCAAAGAGCTCTCATGGCCAAGTATAGTATCATTTAAATCTTAAAATGAATTATGATCGGAATAGATTATAACACTGGATAAACAAAATCATTCATGAACCCATGCTGATACTAGAAATTTATTTTTAAAAAGATGAGGCAAAGGAGAAAGAAGGGGAAAGCTCTTTCTTAGAGTAGGCTGCCAACTAACAAGCATAGAAGCAATGATAGCAACAGATTCCTTTACAGCCAGAAAAAAAAATCACCAATGGATGATAAAATATTGGGTAAGTGACTGTTGGGAAGCAGAACGTGGAGAAATCTTACAGACACCCACCAATTGACCAAACTTAATATTACTACCAGTAAGGCCAACTGTGTCACACACACCCCTATTATACCACACTGATAAGGACAGAACATTACCTATCTGTGTAGTACTCCTGCCAATAATATACACCTAGACCTAATCATGAAAGGGGAAAGCATGAGACAAATCCAAATAGAAGGATATCTATAAAACTGAGATGGATTTTAAAACACACACACACACACACACACACACACACACAGAGACAGAGAGAGAGAGAGAAACAGAAAAAGAGTGAATGCCATGAAAAACTTTAAAAAAAGAATAACAAATGAAAAGGGGCTGGGGACCTGTCCCACATTACAGGAGACTAAAAGTAAATGAAATGTAGTTCATGACCTTTGGTTGGATCCTGGGTAGCACGGATATTGATAAAAATCCTTAATGGAACAATTGGGGAAATCTGAATATGGACTGTATATTAGATGATAATATCATGTCAATATTAAAATGTTGGAGTGGACAGTTCTATTGTTGTAAGAAAAATGTTCCTGATGGTCAACTCTCATATAATTCATAAAACTACATATATGTATATATATTTATGAATTTTATGTATATCTAAATATGCATTTATGTACACACATATTTATATAGAGAGAATGGGGTAAAATGTTAATAACTGGCAAATCTAATTGGTGCTTACTATCCTTGCAAATTTTCTGTAGATTTAAATTTTTCAAAATATAACTTATAAAAAATAAAATTTAACTGAAAAGTAATTTAACTGAAACATTTATCCATTTAAAAAACAAAGTTTATTATTTGAAAAAATCCAACTATATGCAGTTATGAGCCACTTTTAAGCCTAAGGATGCTAAAAGATTGACAATAAAGATGATTTTTTTAAAAAGAATGCTGAAGTGGCTCTATCAATGTCAAACGCGAGATTTTTAAACAAAAAGCATCACCAGAGAAAGAGGATCATCTCAATGATTTTTCAAAAAGTTCAAATCACCAAGAAGATATAAAAAGCTCTATAATTATATAGGTTTAATAAAATGTTTGTTTTTCAATAGATAAAGCAAAATTAACACAACTACATGAAGAAATAGAAAAACCTACATTCATAGTAAGAGATTTCAGCCTAAATCTCACTGAATGATAGACCAAGCAGCCAAAGTAGCATTCAGAGGAGAGGAGGAAAATCCAGACATGCAAAGACCTGAAGTTTAGCATCCATGGATACTTTCTGAAATACTGTTATAGGGTGTTTTCTTGCTAAAGAAAAATAATGAATACAAAAGGAATACATGGAATATAAAAACAATGGCAATCTAGAAGGTAGTAAAAATTCTCTAAATATTCTTTATTACAGAAAAAAAAACCAGAACTAATATCTGAGATTATCTTAACATGAGAGGTGGATGAAACACAGGAACAAAACATGCAAAACATTTTCTGCAAGAGGAAGCTATACATTCTGATTAGAAGATAGAAAAATGTTAAATACATGTCAAAAATTTAAGGTTAACTACTAGAAAAAAACGTCATGTATTGTTTCTGAACCACTAGAGTAAAAAACAGGAACAAGAATAAAAGTAAGCAAACAAAAAACTGATCAAAGACAAAAAGGAACAAAACAAACAGGAAAACAAACAGGGTAAAATACAGCATGTCAATCTAACACGCTGTGCCTGTAACAGTTGCCTCATGTGAGGGGAAGTAAAGCTATGGACTATTTATGAGATACCCCTAAAATAAAATATTACCTAAAAGTTGAAAATAGATTGATGAAAAAAACAGAAAAAAATTCTACCCAGAAGATGAGCATAATAATATTAATAGTTGCTTGAACTCTATTTTGTCTGCTATCACCAAAGGAAAAAAGAGGGGATTTTTAAAACTTATAATCCACAAAAATCGTAATGGTCACAAAGAATTGTGCTGTTTCTCCAGGACTTCAAAGAACATAAAGCAAAAAGCCTTGTAAAAATATAAGGTGGAGAAAATCCATAACCACAGTAGGTAACACCTTTAGAATCCACTCCCATACTTATTCTCCAGGTTTCTTTTGATAGATAATATTAGCAAAGTCTTGCAATTCACTTAGTGTCTGAGTTTCTCCTCCCCCAATCCTAGTATATACCTGTCTTTGGAGCATGCTGAGAATTTACCTTAGTTATAGGGCTAATGGAACAAGGGATGGTCCCGGTGGGTCTTAAGAATGAACATCCCCTTCCAAGGCATCTGCCCCAAATGAGGTTATAAAGGTTTTCAAGCTAAAGAAGGCTAGTCTATTCAGACAATGAAAGGCAAGGGACTTTCACTGGCCAAGGAAGCTCAGCATGACTTGGGGTTTCAGGACTGTCAGTTTTATCTGAATCCAATCAGATATTCCAGGTTTCAGAATCCCATTCTTTCCCAGTCAATGCCGTAAATTTTAACACAAGAAATTTTGCAACACTGTGAATTTATCCTAATTCAGCAACCCATGGAATTAAATTTTATGTCTTATTTTCAGAAGTAGCAGCTCTGTGGTAATAAGAAACAGCAATTATTTTAGGGCTAAAATAGAAGCTCTCTGGTTCTCAGACTGTCACTTGAGCTGAAAGACATTAAAGGACCTGATTCCATCACTTTCTCTCTGTAAATATTCTAGTAAAGTCAGGAAAATCCACTCCACATCACAGCCCATGTAGTCATCTCTACTGCTGGAACAGTCAGGTCAAGCAATTGCTTGGGATTCCAAGGAACCTGCTTCCTTTGACATTTTCATTGCAATTAAACACAAGGGCTTAATTGTATTGCCACTGCATGCAATAGATTATTCACGTCTCATTTCCAATTGGCAAGTAGCTGAGCACTGCACTTAGGCCCAAAGAAAGCCTTCAAAAACCGCGTACTGACGTACCTGCGCGCGCGCACTTTCAGAAGGAATAGGAGGGATCTCCCGATACCAATTCTGTATCAGTCAGGGTCCAGGCAGGAGACAGAAACTAAGTAATTTGAACAGAGAAAGTTTAACATGAAGAAGTATGTATAGGGAGTATATGTTGATACATAAAACATGTCCTAGGGCTGAAGAGGAGCAGCTGAGGGAGGAACAAACTTGGAAGGGCAGCCCCTTCACAAGGCTGGGCTGCAGCCCACTGAATGGTGGGCTGGAGCTGATCCAAACTCTGGGAGCTGAGGCTGGTTGGTGGTCAGGAAGCCTCCCACTGGGTGCCAGGAGCCGAGCACGCGGGCTGGGGACTAGCTAAAACTTGCTAAAGGGTAAGTGCCACCTGGTGTCCTGCAGTCTATGCTACCGCAAACCATGGAGCAAGCCGAAATAAGCACACTGAGGACAGGAAGAGAGGTCCCTTCCTCCTGCGACATCCCTCCAGCACCCTCTACTGACAAAGTTTAACATTGTGCGAGAAGGCAAGGGAGAAATTTTTCCAGGGCGTAGCTTCATCATCGAGGTAATGAAGGGTGGATATGGAGTCAACTGGTAACTGTTTAACTGTTGCACTTTTCAATGGTTAAACATTTGTTTAACCATTACACTTCCCCTTCAACCAGCTCCACAGCTGTTCAGGGCTCTTTTCCTGGAAGAGTAACCCAAACCCTCGTTCTCAGTGGGGCTGAACTCCGTGAAGTGCTGCCTGAGGAATGTTGCTAGATCTGTCTCTTAACCTTTACGGGGCACGTTAGTCCAGGGAGGGAACCCAGGGTAAGCTTTGATATCTTCCATCCCGTTTCTCTGAATCTTCTTTGGGCAACAGTGACTTTTGCTTGCCCTTAGTAGTTTCATCGAATATTCCAGCCAACACTGTTTTTTGTTGTTCATGTTTGCCTACTTACCTAGTAGTAATTCCTGAAGCCGTAAATGGCCAGGTGGTGCTTTTAATATCCAAATTCAACAGAAGTATCACTGTACCTCCTGGTGGAAGTGTACATCCTTTGGGCACTAAAGCCTCTAAGCCAGCAGAGCCCAGATTCATGGGGACAATAAACATTTTGTAAGTTATTATGTAACCATTGAGAATGGAGGCAAGGTGACAGAGGAGGAAGCTGAGGGATCTAGAGGTTAAATAACATACACAGCTTGCACAATTATAAACAGCTGAACTGGAGTTTAAAACCAAGTTTGACTCCAAAGTCCATGTTGTTTCCAATACATGTTTCTGACTCTCTGCCAAGCTACTATGAAGTACTGGTAATTAACACAATTTCATACCCCAAACATCCAGTACTGTCTCTCAACGCCTAAGAGGACCACCTACATGTCACACACACAACGCTGATGGTTGTGCTTAGCTTCCTGCAGCATTCCCTGCCCTTTTGTGTGTTTATCATCCAAAAAGCAGCACCGTATACCCAAGGATGTCAAAATCGAGTGTCCTTACCTTATCCCAGAGCTGAGACTTTTCCAGGCTTGAACATACTGTAGCAAGGACTACTTCACGGGTCCAGAACTTTGGTAGTTGTGTGACCACACACTTCCAACCATGTGGGCAGTGGACCCTGCACTAGTCTGGCTTAAGTATGGTTTTGCAGAAGGAAGTCACAGCTGGTAATAAGAAGGGGCAGTCAGGCATCTGATGGAGGAACGAGCTGACCTCTAAAGACCCCTCCAGTCTCGGGCTCAGCAGTTTGTTCAGTAAAGCAGCAGCAGCTGTGGAGGAGCTCAGACCTTATATAGGGTTAAAGGTCATCAATGCCCCTTCTTCACAATCTTGGGATATCTTTGTTCTACAATGATCTCTACCTCCATAGAAACACATGGCTGGGGTTTGGGGAAAATATTATGCATCTGATAGCAATAATTTAAGCATACACTTAGAATGACCCTGTATGGCAGATGCACCTGAATGTGTGTTTCGAGCTAGGGAATCCAGGCACCCAACCCGGAGATTTGTTCCTTGCCTATGGTAAGACCATTAACATTTAACTACAGTAAATGCAGAGTCCTTCTTTTTATTTTTTATTAAGAGGCAGCTGGCCATAATTTAATAGGGAAAGAAATGGCCATGATGTAATTATTCTCCTTGAAGACAAAACTTCATAATAACATTACTGTCATTTGTACAGGTCATCGCGAAGACCAGGCTCCTATGTGGGTTTCAGAGACGTGATTGAATTTGTGTAGCTATAAGTGCTCGCACAGGGTCAAGTATTACTCGTCTACTCATTCCATTTTCCCAATGAGTCAAGTGAAGTATAGAGGCAGAACGCACCTTGGGAAATGCGAAATGAGAAAAAGTGCCTTCAGCTGCTGCCCCACGGCAAGGTGCCTTCCATTCCTCCACCCTTCCATCCAAGCTCCCTAAGCCAAGGTCTTATTCGGCTCTGCTTGGCACTGTCTGAAACCCCTATTTCCTGCTTCTCTTGCTCTCAGAGTCCAGGTGTCAAATGGCGAAACTGTTTTGCAAGTCAGTGCGCATACAAGGAGGCAAATAGGTAGCTTTCCATTATTTAAATCTTCAGAGATAAGACACTAACTTCTTCTACCAGGGCAGTAGTTATCACAGTGTCTGTATTTATTAAACAAGCATGAATATGCTGGTCATCGTGTGGCAGGCACTGTTGTAATCACTTCACAAATATTCACTCATTAAGCCTCATAAAAGCCAACAGGAAATATGTTCTATTATGAGCCCCATTTTATAGACAAGGAAGCTGAGGCACAGAGAGGGTAAGGAATTTTCCTAAGGTCACACAGCTAGTAAGCTTAAGGCCAGTTTCAAAGTTTCAATACTTTCACCTATACACGGTAGGGTTAACGCACCTGATAGTAATAATTTAAGCATACTCTTAGAATGGACCCTGTATGGCAGATGCCACCTGAATGTGTGTTTTGAGCTAGGGAATCCAGGCATGCCCAACCCGGAGATTTATTATTTGCCTATGGTAAATATCCGAGCCCTGGGTCCATCCCGTGGAATATGGGCTGTAAAGGGCATTGAGGCCCTTAGTGTTGGGTTAAATGAAGGTTGCTAGGTAGAGGTTGTTGAGGGGAGGGTGTTAAGTGAAAATGCTACATAAACAGCATGATGTTTGCAGGTGGTAACAGTTCTCCTGGCCAGCCCACTGCCACTGGACTCTCTCTCCTGTAAATAAGCACCTAATAAAACCCCATGTCTCATTTATTGGTGCTGGGGTTCTTCTTTGGCCTCTTAAACTTGGTGCCTTCTCTTATTGAGGTTCATGGGGGTTCGAAACAACTTACCCACAAATACAAGTTTGGCTTTTACCATTCTAAATCCTCAGAACGGCAAGTCCACTCTCCACTTAAAATTAGAGGAGAGGTCCCTATTGCAGTCTCAAGAGATGTGAAAGAGATGTTTGGGCAGAACCCAAATAAGGATGTATCGTTTCCTTAGAAGCTAGGTCGGTCTTAGGCCTTTCTGTTCTGTTTGTTCCAAACAAGCAGTGACAGCAATCTCAAACTTCCCCTGTCATCTGAAGTCAGCCAGTATGCCATGTCACCATCTCCCCTTGCTTGCTAGTAACAACCAACATGGAACTGATAATAACTAAGACTGTTACCTTTCCAGTTTAACATAAACTAGAAACCTGGCCCTGCTGGGGATTGGCAGATACAGTCCATGGGATGAGACTGGTAAGAGCTGTAGGGTCAGGGAGTGTGCATCTGCCCTGGTCCCTCAGTCAGAGCCCCAGTCCCCGGCTCCTTTCCTCCGTGTGTTCTGCAGCCACAGTCCAGGCAGCTGTGGAGGCAGCAGAGCCCAGTGAGTAGAACGGAGGGAAATTCAGGGACACTGACCCTCAGCTGAGACCTCCACAAGCTGATGTAACAGACCTGTCTTCACCAAAATGTTTAACACTCCTGGAAGGATGAAAAAGTATACTTTTAGCAAATTGTAACTGTTCACCTCTTAAGTGACAAGTGATTTGAATTGCTTCACTTCTGGTTTTTTTAATATAGTCAAATTTATTAATTATGTCTCTGAATTTTCAGTTATATTTAGAAAGCCTTTATGTACATCAAGGTTAATGAGGAAATCACCCATTGCTTACATGCTATCACTTTTTACATTAAAATTTCAAACTCATTTGGAGATTTTTCTTGCATGTGGTGTGAAATATGGGTCTGATTTTATTTTATTTTCCTTTTATTTTTAGTCAGCATGTAATAATTTTGCCTATTTATGGGATACAGAGTGATTTTCCATACATGTATACAATGTGTAATAATGAAATCAGGGTAATTAGTATATTCATCACCTCGAACATTTATCATTTTTTTTATGTGCTATGGACATTCAAAATCCTCTCTTCTAGCTTTCTGAAAATATACACTAAATTGTTGCTAGCTATATTCACCCACAGTGCTACAAAACACTGGAACTTGTTCTCCCATCAGCTGTCACTTTGTGTCTGTTGACCAGTCTCTCCTCCCCTCCCCTCCTCTCCCCTCCCCACCAGCCTTCCTAGTCTCTAATAACCACAGTTCTACGCTTTACTTCTATGAGCTCAATGGTTTTCTTAGCGCTACGTATGAATATGAATATTTGGTATTTTTCTGAGCCTGACTAATTTCACTTAAAATGAGGTCCTCCAGGCTCATTCATGTTGCCACGAATGACAGGATTTCATTCTTTTTTGAGGCTGAGTAGTATTCCATTGTTTCTGTGTACACCACATTTTCTTTATCAGTTCTTCCACTGATGGACATAGGTTGCCTCCATATTTCTGCTATTGTGAATAGAGCTGCAATAAACATGGGGGTGCAGGTATCTCTTTCATAAACTGATTTACTTTCCTTTGGATAAACCCACCCAGTATTCATTTCTGTTTTTTTGTTTTGTTTTGTTTTATTTTGTTTTGAGATGGAGTCTCGCTCTGTCACCCAGGCTGGAGTGCAGTGGTGGGATCTCGGCTCACTGCAGCCTCCACCTCCCAGATTCAAGCGATTCTCCTGCCTCAGCCTCCCAAGTAAGTGGGACTACAGGCACCCGCCACCATGCCTGGCTAATTTTTGTATTTTTAGTAGAGACGGGGTTTCACTGTGTTGGCCAGGCTGGTCTCGAACTCCTGACCTTGTGATCTGCCCGCCTTGGCCTCCCAAAGTGCTGGGATTACAGGTGTGAGCCACTGCACCCAGCCTCATTTCTGTTTTTGACAGACCAAAAGAGGGAAAGGGCTCCTATGTGATCTGGAGGGGATGGAATGGGTTCCTATACCTGAACCTAACCCCGGTGCTGAATGACTCTAGAGTCGATGAATAAATATACTAGCCCTTCAGTGAATAATAACAGAAATTCAAGTCAGGTACTGCCTTCAGGTCCTGCAGGATACTTTAGGGGCAGACAGGATTCTTGAAACTTCTTATACTATGCCAGGCAAAGCACATCGGCTCTACTGCTTATATTCCTAGAAAAGGAATGCCTGCCATTGCCTGCTCTGCCCACATCCCCTTCTGAGAGAAACAGCTCTAAACAGCCATATAGGATAGGATACCCCATGATTTTACCCCATCCCCTCCATCTACAGCACTTGTGAACATGTGGCCAGAGGTCAGGCAGTCCATCCAGACTTCTGGTCTGGCTCATGAAGATGAACTTTGTATGGCTGGGTGCAGTGGCTCACACCTGTAATCCCAGCACGTTGGGAGGCCGAAGCAGGTGGATCATGAGGTCAGGAGTTCGAGACCAGCCTGGCCAACATGGTGAAACCCCGTCTCTACATAAATACAAAAAAAAAGTGAGCTGGGCGTGGTGGCACGTGCCTGTAATCCCAGCTACTCGGGAGGCTGAGGCAGGAGAATTGCTTGAACTGGGACCCGGGACGCAGAGGTTGCAGTGAGCCAAGATCACGCCACTGCACTCCAGCCTGGGCTACAGAGCGAGACTCTGTCTCAAAAAAAAAAAAAAAAAAGATGAACTTTGTAAATCATATTTTTTTCTTGAGAATTGGAAAACTGAAGGCAGCTGGAATAGCTAGAAAGTCACGTGGGGCCCCAGGGTCCAAAAGAAACTGAGCAGCTGAGAAGAGCGGGGCGGCAGAGAGAGTCAGATGGCTGCCCTGAGAGTTTCCTCAGTCCTAACTGTTCTCTTGGCTTCCAGTTCTAGTCCAGTGTGGCTTTGGTCCCTGTTCTAGATGTCCATGACATTTCCTCTTGAACCCAGTCACTAGGAGAGCACCACCAGAGGACAAGCATGGTGGCCCACCAAGTAACAGCAGAACATGGAATAAAACTTTGACCTCCAAACCAAAACTGATGTGTCTGTCCCAAAAACCAGGTGTGATCATGAATATACTTAACAACTAGGTGGCACAGGCCCCACTGATCAGAATGGAGGTCTGCCCTGTTGCAGGCCGGTAGTGAAAGTGCAGGTGCATCCTGGCTGCCTGCTCAAGTCAGGAACATCATGGCACTTGGAGGAAGGCCATTGAGAACAGCTTCATGTCCATCTCTGAATGAGACAATGCTGCAAACACTCACCATAAATTATCAAGTGCAATACAATCTTCAAATTGCTCCCACCCAGGCTTGGCTCCTCAAACCTCACTCCTGGTGGATGATGCCTGAAAGGAACATGACAGAGCCTTCTGACAGACAAGGAAATGACCCTGGTCTGCCACACAAACCAATCCTTAGGTGGAACCAAAGTAGTCATTTCAAATTGTGGTTCCTTTATATCCACCTGAGTTAGAATGGGCCAGGGTGTGGCCATCAGAGGGAGGTGGGATCTTTCTGAAGCCCTTGGAGGAGACTTTATAGGTCTTTGTAGAGAAGGAAATGCAGTGCAGATCACCATGGTGAAAAGCCGAGACATTCCCTTCTATGACTCATTCCTTCCAGCAGGCCCTGTTGAGCGGTTATGCCCTGCCAGTGATGTCCACACGTCTTAGTTTGCACATTCCCAGTGAGGTTCATACAAGCAGGTACCCACTGCATAATGTTAAGGTTGACATCTAGATTTTTCACTTTAAGCTTGAATAGCTACAAGGAATACGACTTCCAGTATATAGTAAACATCACCATTTTAAAATAAAACTGTTTCATTACTCTCTTAAATGTAAAACCTGGATAGTGAGATAGACCATGGGCAGGTGAGATGGAAGCAACATTAGGATGGAAATCCTTTTTAAGGAGCTGAGATCTAAATGGCCCATCATCATCCATGGAAAGTAGAAAAGGGAGGAACACTTTAGGCAGAGGGAAGAAGTGCAAGCCCTGAGGCAGAAACAACCTTGACTTGTTTGAAGAAGAGGAAAATGGCAGTGTCAGGAACATAGCAAATAGGGGAAAGCCTAGTAGGAGAAAGGCTGTGAGGAGCAGGCAGGGCTGGATCATGTGAACTCTGGAGGCCATCTGTGTCGACTGTTTTCCCTTTGCCTCTCCACATTCTCTATCCTTATGGCCCTACTCTGAGCCACGGGAGCTCGACCTGCACAGGCTATGTCAACAGACTCCATTGACTGCTAACTTCTAGATGTGTTTAGCCCGGGATGTGCTCCTGCAGGTCTGAAGTGGGAAAAGGGGAAGGCCGCGGTGTTTATTCCCTTCATTCTCTTCTTGCGGGCCTCTCTGTTTCTGGGTACTGATTTCTTCCCATACCCCGCACCCTTTCCTGCCTCTGAGTGGTGGTACCACCTGCTGTTGCAGCCTAGGGCACGGCACTAGGGTTTCCCTAGACCCTCCCCACCTTGTGGTTTTCCTATACCCTCCCTACTGTGGTAAAATGTGCCTGTATTTAACTGTCCTCCAATTATCCTAATTCATGTGTGTCTCCTGGGATCTGTTGCTACACCATGATGAGGTGTGTAATTTTGTTAGTAGTATTCTTAAGTCATTTGGTAATAATCTTTCATCCTGTGAAGCTACAACATGGATTTTTTTAAACTCTTGTTTCCAAGTGCCTAATACAGTGTTATAGGAAATGCTTAGTGACTGCATACACCATGCACAACAGAGCCAAGTGTACTTGAGAGACAACTGGTCCGTTGAGAACAAAATGCATTTGGAGGCCATGAAGTTCAAGTTGAGAGCAGCATTCCCATGCACACCTCTCTCTGGGGAATGCAGCCAGTCCCTGCAAACCCCATTCCCCTCTCCAGGTTAAAAAGTTCCTCTTCACCCTGATGTTAGTTTGAAAAGTTTCGGCCATAACCATATTTAGTTATATTTAGGGAGAGGGGAGTGGTGGGTCAAAGGCTTAAAAAAAAACCCAAGAATGTATATATACTTAAGTAGCTAACAGTTTACTCCTAACATGCTTGTCTGGGAAAGCCTCTACTGGAGATCACGTGACAACAAAACAAAACACCCTTTCTCTTCATTTGGGTGGACAACTGGTTTAGTTTGATTAAATCTCAAACCAAGAATCATCATGTAAACTCATGGCTTAGTTGTCACACTGTGGAAGCCTTAAGCAGCTACAAAACTGCTGCTGATAGGAGACTAGTCCACACTCATCACTGCAAGTCACAGCTGTCTTGTTGTTTTTTAAGCGGGTTTCCTTCATCAAGATAATATAAATTTATGATAAAATGAAATTTACAGACAGCCCAGAGAGGAAGCAGGAGGTAAGAGTGAATTGCCTGGTTAAAAACAGGAACATGTGCAGAGGAGAAAGTTTCCCTGCTCTTGGAAGCCAAGCCAGGTTCCCAGTACCCTGACCAGCTGCTCCCATTTGGAAAAACCCTGGCACAAGATACCATACCAGACGTTCTGCACATGCCTCCTGAGAAAGCCAGAGAAGGCTGAGAAGTATATGGGCCCATGAAAATAAGAAGCAAAGAGGAAAGGGTGTAGAAGTTGGTTAAAAATAAAACTTATCAGATGAGAATTAGGTCCTGAGAATGTTATCTCTCCCCACAGGAGGGTGGAAAAGAAAATAGGCATGTCAAGGAGAACACAGGCCACAGGATGAATAAGCATAAAAATAGGAGGAAATGATCAAGCAAACATGCCAAACAGCCAGAGGACGCCTCTCATCCTAGAAGTGCTGACTTTCCAGGATTGCTCGCCTTCCCTCACCTACTCCCCCAAGAGAATGAGTCAAGGCCAAAAACCCTGGCCAAGGAACTGTTTCCCGGAAAGAGAGACTTTTTTTCCTCTATACCTTTTTGGACTATTTCCATTTTTCCCCCATGTGCCTAGATTACCTTTTAAAAAAAAAAAAGTAAATGTTTATGGAAACAGTTATTGGAATATTCCTACTCCCAGCATTTTATGACAAGTAGGCTAGTCCCCTAGAGAATCTGGAAACTCCAGATAGTTGGTGAACACTTAAATCCTCCCCCAGCTGCTCCCTACTGCTCCCCTTGTCCACACCCAGCCCTGGCTGCAGCCCTGAAGTGAAGAGGCTTGCTGGGAACCCCCATGCTCCATCCCTGTAGCTTTTCAGAGATCTGTGAACTTGATCTACTCCCTAAGCTCACTTCAAAACATGCACCCAGTCATAAGGGATATGCGGTTTCCCTCAAATAAAAGGCACAAAACAAAGACTACAAGCATACCTCATTTCACTGTGCTCCACTTTCTTCTGCTTCATAGATATTTTTTCTAGCAACTCTGCATTAAGAAGACTACTGGAACCATTTTTCCACAGCACATGCTCACTTCGTGTCTCTGTCACATTTTTGGTAATTCTTGCAGTATTTCAAACTTTTTCATTATTATATTATCTGTTATGGTGATCTGTGACCAGCGATCTTTGATGTAAACTATTGTAATTATTTCGGGGTCCCAAAAACTGTGCCCATATAAGATGATGAACTTAATTGATAAATTTGGTTTGTGTTCCAACTGCTTCACCAACTGGCTTTTGCCCTCTCTTGGCCTCCCTATTCCCTAAGACACAACAATCTTGCAATTAGGCCAATTAATAATCCTACAATGACCTCTAAGGGTTCAAGTGAAAGGAACAGTCACACATCTCCAACTTTAGGTCAAAAGTTAGTTGGTGAGGAAGGTATGTCGAAAGTTGGTGAGGAAAGTATGTCGAAAGCTAAGATAAGCCAAAAGCTAGGCCTCTTGCACCAGTTAGCCAACTCGTGAATGCAAAGGAAAAAGTCCTGGAAGAAAACTAAAAGTGCTACTCCTGTGAACAAATAAGCAAGTGAAAACAGCCTATGGTTGATATGGAGAAAGTTTGAGTGGGTTGGATAGAAGACCAAGCCAGCTACAACATTCCCTTTAGCCAAAGCCTAATCCAGAGCCAGCCTCTTTCAATTCTATAAAGGCAGAGAGAGGTGAGGAAGCTACAGAAGAAAAGTTGGAAGCTAATAGAGGTTGGTTCATGGGGTTTAAGTTAAGAAGCCATCTCTATAACATAAAAGTGCAGAGTGGAGCAGCAAGTGTTGATGTTGAAGCTGCAGCAAGTTCTCCAGAAGATCTATCTAAGATCATTGATAAAGGTGACTACACTAAACAACAGTGTAGATCAAACAGCCTTCTGTTGGAAGAAGATGCCATGTACGACTTTCACAGCTAGAGAAAAGTAGTCCACCCGATTTCAAAGCTTCAAGGGACAGGCTGACTCTCTTGTTTGGAGCTAATGCAGTTGCTGACTTTAAGTTGAAGCCAATGCTCATTTGCCATTCTGAAAATCCTAATGCCTTTAAGAATGATGCTAAATCTACTCTGCCTGTGTTCTATAAATGGAACAAAGCCTGGATGACAGCACACATGTTTATACCATGGTTTATTAAATATGTTAAGCCTACAGTTGAAACCTATTTCTCAGAAAAAAAGATTTCTTTCAAAATATTACTCCTCATTGACAATGCACCTGGTCACCTAAGAGCTCTGACGGAGGTGCACAGAGATTAATGTTGTCTTCATGCCTGCTAACACAACTTCCATTCTACAGTACATGGATCAAGGAATAATTTTGACTTTCAAGTCATATTTAAGAAATACATCTCATAAGGCCATAGCCGCCATAGTGATTCTTCTGATGAATGTGAGCCAAGTAAATTGAAAACCTTCTGGAAAGAATTCACCATTCAAGATGCCATTAAAAACACTGATTTGTGGAAGGAGGTCAAAATATCAACATTAACAGGAGTTTGGAAGAAGTTGATTGCAATACTCATGGACATCGTTGAGAGGTTTAAGACTCCAGTGGAGAAGGAAGTGCAGATGCAGTGGAAACAGCAAGAGAACTCGAATCAGAAGTGGAGACTGAAGTTGAGACTGAATTGCTGCAATCTCATGATAAAACTTGAACAGATAAGTTGCTTTTCATGGATGAGCAAAGAAAGTGGTTTCTTGAGATAGAGTCTGCTTCTGGTGAAGATTCTTTGCATTAGCTGCATTAGCTCCTAACAAGAGAGCCAGCCTGTCCCTTGAAGTCTTGAAATTGGGCATGGACTACTTTTCTCTAGCTGTGAAATGACAAATAAGAACTCAGAATATTATGTAAATTTATTTTATTTCTTGTAGAGACGAGGTCTCATCATCTTGCCTAGGCTAATCTTGAACCCCTGGGCTCAAGCAATCCCTCTGCTTCGGCTTACCAAAGTGCTGGGATTACAGGTGTGAACCACTGCATCCAGTCTATTATGTAATTTAGTTGATAAAGCAGCAGCAGATTTGAGAGGATTGACTCCAGTTTTGAAAGAAGTTCTACCATAAGTAAAAGGCTATCAAGGCCAGGCGCAGTGGCTCACACCTGTAATCCCAGCACTTTGGGAGGCCAAGGCGGACAGATCACGAAGTCAGGAGTTAGTGACCAGCTTGGCCAACATGGTGAAACCCCATCTCTACTAAAAATACAAAAATTAGCTGGGTGTAGTGGCACACGCCTGTAATCCCAGCTACTCAGGAGGCTGAGGCAGGAGAATTGCTTGAGCCCGGGAGACGGAGGTTGCAATGAGCTGAGATTGTGCCACTGCACTCCAGCCTGGCCAATAGACTGAGACTCTGTCTCCAAAAAAAAAAAAAAAAGGCTATCAAATAGCATTGCATGCCACAGAGAAATCTTTCATGAAAAGACGAGTCAATTAATATGGCAAATTTCACTGTTGTCTTATTTTTAAAATTGCCACAACCACCACAATCTTTAGCAACCACCACCCTGATCAGCCAGCAGCTATCCACATGGAGGAACGACCCTCTACTAGCAAAAAGATTATGACTTGCTGAAGGCTCAGATGATCATTAGCATTTTTTAGCAATAAGGTGTTTTTAATTAAAGTATGTGCATTGTTTTTTCAGGCATAATGCTATTGCATATAGATCCCATTGCATGCTGAATACACACCGTATAGTATAAACATAACTTTTATATGTACTGGGAAACCAAAAAAAATTGTGTGACTCACTTTAGTAATTTTCGCTTTACTGTGGTGGTCTGGAACCAAACCTACAATACCTCTGGGGTATGGACCTGTTAAATTAATTTTTAATGACCTAGTGTTTAGCCACTCCTAAAATAATGAATTTCACTCAACTGCTCTTAAATCTTCTTGCAAAATTATGACAATAAAATACAACAGCCATTGTCTGTTTCTCTCACTTTTAAAAAAGAATCACAGCCGGGCGCAGTGGCTCACGACTGTAATCCTAGCACTTAGGGAGGCTGAGGCGGGTGGATCACGAGGTCAAGAGTTCGAGACCAGCCTGATCAACATGGTGAAACCCTGTCTCTACTAAAAATACAAAAATTAGCCAGGCGTGGTAGTGCGCACCTGTAATCCTAGCTGCTCAGGAGGCTGAATCAGGAAAATTGCTTGAACATGAGAAGCGGAGGTTGCAGTGAGCCAAGATCGCACCACTGCATCCCAGCCTGGGCAACAGAGCGAGACTCCATCTCAAAAAAAGAAAAAAAGAATCACAAAATGGCCTTTATTTTCTGAAAAATTTCAGCCCTCGGGAGCATAAGTACTTCTGGAAAAGCTGACTTTTCTATATGCTGTTTTTCAAATAAGCAAGATCCAAGAAAAAAATGTGGTTTTTCAATACTCAGTTTTTCATGGTATTTAAGTAAGGCAAAGAGCTGTGTTTTAAAGAAATTAAAATAGCATCTTTCTACAGGCTACCATAAAAAAATAGGTAGACATGGCTCAAATGGCTTTAATTAAAAATGTTTATCTCTACTTAATGTCCCTCAGAGGTGACAAAAGTAGGCCATTTAATTTATTCGATGGAGAATTATAATAGAACTCCACTGACATCTCAGCTCTACCTTAAGTCCAAGCTGGGAAGTTATGTGTATCAAAAAGAAAGGAAATCTGTTTCCTTTGCTCCCCCCAAGTGCATCTGACACAAGGACATGAGGGCTGAAGCTTGCACATTGTCCAACTGTCCCAGTGTGCTGTGGCCTAATGGAAGGTCTCCAAATTGCACCCAGGAAATCTCAAGTTTGTTTTCTCTTCCAGATGGCCTACACTGCTTAACTCTGATACGTGAGTGAGAACACGCTTCATGCAACTCATGCTCAGCATTAGCCCAAGAGGCCAATGCTGGATGTAAACCCAAAGTTCCTCCATGATCTCTGAGGCATATGGGAAAGATCCCATTGCAAAGTCAGGAGACAATCCAACTGATGTTTTCTGCTTGTGTGGTTTTTATGGAATAACTGACTCTTTCAGGATGGCCTGACACCCTTGTTCATAACCACAACATTCAATAAAAATATCAAGCAGCAAGCATTTAAAACTCCCCCTCTCCCAACTCCACTCATTCTTGCTCTGTTGGCAGGAAGGAGATTCCAAAGACAACAAATGCTGAGGAGCTGGAAGTCTTGTGTCAAATCCTAGTGTACTACTCCATCACTGCGTAACCTTGGACAAGCCACCTAACCATTCTGAGTACATTTCCTCAGCTGTGAAAGAGGAAGAGCTGACTCACAGTGGTAGCAAAGAATAAATATGTGGGAGCACGTAGCACAGGGCCTGGCATATAGGTATTCTCCGAGTATTTCGAGTCATCTTACCCATTGTTCTCAGCTTCTTTACATCACAACTCTTTAACCTCTCTAGCCATGGCCTTGCAAATGTAAAGGTGGTAAACCATGGTAAATCCTGACCTATCAACACAACAAGAAAACAGCATACTAAAAACCGTATTGGGATGAGAGTAGATGGGGTCTGAAAGTAGACTGGGTCTTTAACATAAACCAGCATATATTATCCAACAGAGTTCAACTATAGACAGCTTCATTTGAAAAGTTTATTTCCTCTGGGCACGGTGGCTCACGCCTGTAATCCCAACACTTTGGGAGGCCGAGGCAGGTGGATCACGAGGTCAGGAGTTTGAGACCAGCCTGGCCAAGATAGCGAAACCCCGTCTCTACTAAAAATACAAAAATTAGCCGGGTGTGGTGGCGGGCATCTGTAATCCCAGCTACTCGGTAGGACGAGGCAAAGAACTGCTTGAACTCGGGAATCAGAGGTTACAGTCAGCAAAGACGGCGCCACTGCACTCCAGCCTGCGTGACAGAGCAAGACTCTGTGTCAAAAAAGAAAAGTTTATTTCTATTCTGTTCTAACAATACTTTCTAACCACCTTACTAACCAACTCTTCATGCCATTCAAAAGATTCAAGACTGTAGCTAAGTCAATGTTGTATCGTTTTAAAAAATAACTTTACTAAGAATATCCCTTCTGCTTGTCCTCGTAGTCGATCAAATATATAAGTACCTGACATATCCAAACTCCTATCTTATATAAACTGCTGGCCCAGCATGGCATTTCCCATCATTGCTTTCTAAAACACAGGAAATTTCAGTACTGAATGGCCAAAAGAAATTAGGACGACCCAGCCTCTAAAAAACCTGAGTTAAAGAAAAACAAAATCATGTCTGAATGGATAATTCATGATTCTGACAGTCCAGCATTTAATGGTATTAACTACTCTACTAAGGATCTATCTAATGCACTTAGGTAAGACTTTTTATTTCCATGAAATTGGATCTTTGGTTCAAAATTTAATCTCCTACCAAGAACTCTGGACTATATAAGTGACATAATGGTGAGGTAGGCTCTTAATATTTCATTGCCGGGAATATAAATGAAATTGATCAGATTATTTGCCAAATAATGTTTCTTTAGCAGGGCTAACTCCTCCCCTAAATGGGCTGTCAAAGAGAGGAGCAAAAAACAGACTCCTAGCATTAAAGTTGTATTTTCCAGCTTAATTTTCCAGGACTCAAATTGAGTCATTAAAAAAAAAAAAAAAAAAAAATCAGTGCACATAAAAAAAGTGGTTTGTTAGCTTATAGGACCTTTGTCTGGAAGGAATAAACAAAGCCTTGGAGGTCAGATCTTTTGGCATATTGACTAAAATGAAAAATACAAGACATGCTTTTGGAACTATATGATCCTCCTTCAGAATATTGTCACTATCATTCTTATGACATTAGAAATCATGAAAAATATATAACTACAATTTTACAGAATACAAAATTCCTAATAAACTTCGTCCTTTCTTTCCTATTGAAATTTTTCAAGATTGTTCGAAAGGGGAATTCACTCTGTCCTATCTGAGACTAATGTTATTTTACTAATGTTGTTTCTAGGATATGGAAGGGCAAAATATAATTTGTTCAATTTTCAGATTCATAGTGGTCAGTGAATGACCTATTCATGGGTATACAAATACGAAGCAACACTATGACCAAAGCGTTCTAAAACTCTTAGCGTAAATGTGTAAGTCAACAATGTTAAAAAGATGTGTGTAAAAATTCTAGCAAGCCCTTCCTGCCAAAGATGGAATATATTAATCAAACCATTAGAATGCTAATGTAGGAGACTGAGTTTATTCAACAAGTATTTACTGAGCCCTTACTATGTTCCCGGCACTATTTTAGGTGCTGAGAGTATGTTGCATTGGTTAAAAATATACAAAATTCCTGTCTTCATTGTGCTTACACTCCAGAGAAAGGATACAAGACAATAAACATAATAAGTGAATAAATTACATAGTAATTTAGAAGGTGATAACTATTACCGTACAACAAAATAGAGCAGTCGTTGAGAATTAATGGTGACATGTCTTATCTGGAAATTTTCCAAAACCAGAAGAGGAAAAAGTAAACTTCTATCTTGGAAGACTATATATATATATATCCGTACATAACAAAGGAAAATATTTCTGGCTCTTTAATGTTCATGGGATTTTCAAGCAAGAAATTAAAGGGATTTTTAAAACATGAAAGTAATACTGAAAACTAGGAAAAGTAGCTTTTGCAAAATACGTGCTCAATACCAAGTTATTGAGGCAGTGCGATCTGTGCTTACTGCAGGAGTAGAAGCTTCCACAGTTCTAGCAAATTCCATGATTCTGGTCATACTGCCAACCACAGTGGATCTAGAGAGCCAAGTGAGCTGAAGAAAGACTGCTAGGGACAGACGAGAACTCAAATAGCTTTGAGATTTTTTTATTTCCACTTCCTTTTTTAAAATACATCACCTTGCTTTTTTTGTGTTAAAGGGTGAGCTCATTAAAAAGGAAAACTAAAAAAAAAAAAAAAAAAAAAACAGGAACACCCACATTTCCAACTCCACCTCCCCTCTCAAATTGTTCAAGATGCACACATGTTTATTGTATATCAGTAGACCTAGCTCTTTCCACAGTTATCAGTGGTTAACACAAAACTACCAGGGATATATTTTTCCTTTCATTTAAATTTAAATTCCATTCCAACAAAGCAACCAAAACAACTAATGTCTAGTTTTTTAGCTTCTGGGGAATTAGGTTCCCAGGTAAGAACTGAAAATGGAGAAAAAATTGTGTTGCCATCTTTATTCAGAAAGTCATTATTTTCAGCAAAATGGGGCTGAGGCAGAAAATCCAGGTTGCAGGACTGGGAAAAAAGGAGTGTCTGCCCCATGGGACACTTATAAATTGTTCACTATGACAGCAGCCCTTTCTAGAGGTATTAATGTCATTAGGTTGTGATAATTCTCCAGAAACCCCAACAGCCCTGGATTAAGAACATCTGGAAATTGTTCAGATGACACAAATTTCTCTGTTTCCTGCTGTTAAGGCTTCCGTGATGCCTCTCTGTGGCATCTACCACCTCCATTTTTTTCTTTTCAAACCTCCTCCTTTCAAATCAGGAAGTATACATAAAGTGCAAGTAAGGTTCATTCCCTCGCTGTGCTCCTAGGCTCTTCTCTTGATAGTATTACCGAATCTATCAGGTAAACCGCTGGCCGAGTAGGATGTCTGCAGGAATTTCTGGAGTTAGCAAGTAACTTCATCTGGCAAAGAGAGTATCTGAAGATCAACACAGTCTTGGCAAGAAAACATGAAGTACCACACACAAGACAGGGATGTGAAGGATGCAAGAAGTAGCAGGGAGATTGTTGTCACTGAAGAGGCCATCTTTGGATCTCAAAGAATTTAAGAGAATTCAGGAACCGTTACTAAAATGAACAAGGCCAGCAGATTTCAGAGCACGGTCAGTCTTCAGTGAGGGCAGATTCAGTTTTCCCTGGGTTGGGGACAGAAAGGAGAATAAAGAGGGTATGGAGTCAGCTCTGATGAGTTTTATGTCACAAATGTCACCAAAAAGCCTCCAGTAAACACTTCCCATCTTATATAAGCCTCCTAATAGAGCTCTGCCAAAGGATTCTCTCTTGACTTTGCAATGGGATCTTTCCCATATGCCTCACAGACTGTGGAGGAACTTTGGGTTTACATCCAGCATTGGCACCTCTTGGGCTAATGCTGAGCATAAGTTGTATGAAGTGTAGCCTCACTCACATATCAGAGTTAAGCAGTGTAGGCCATCTGGAAGAGAAAACAAACTGAGATTTCCTGGGTGCAATTTGGAGACCACTTTGGTATTTGAGAGGTATACAGTCCAAATGGGTTATGGGCTAGGCAATATTATATATGTTTCCTTACTGCAGGATCTCTTAGCGCCTTAATTTAATATGCTAGTGAGCAATGTGACTCTTTTTAAGACAGGCATACAGCATGCAACATTTCCCACATTTTTGGGACCAGGAATTTACCAAATTGGCAGGATTTGTGTTTTAATGCAACGTATTTTGGGAAATGCTGCCTTCTAATACTGGTTGGAAGGGATAGGAGTAGTGCTGTTATATTCAGTTTATATTACATGAGCCCTGCTGTTATACTGAGAGTCACAGTCTCACCCAATATAATAAATTTTGCCATCATAACTGGGTTCCATTATATTTCCTTTGCAATATGCCAAAAATCATGGGCAAAATTTAATGTTACATTTGACTGGTTAACATTAATAGGAAAAAGTTAACTATTTCCCATCTATCATAAACCATCATACATTCAGTGGGCATTCTCAGGGGAAGCCCCTTGCATTGTTTCTGATTTTTCTAAGAGCCCTAAGGCCAAGGTTTCAGGATAAAACCCATCAAGATGTCATTATATATAAAGCTAAGCCGTAACAGATTGAACAGAACATGTTTAAAACTACATAAAATTGAATAAAAGTCAAGGATTAACTTGATCAAAAGTCACAGAAAATTATCAAACACATACTAGTTAAATTCCTGAATTTCTTTTTGGCTTCTGCCCTTTCTTCAGCATCAAAGTACCAGACAGTCATAGCATATCTGTGAAAGATAAGCAGATATAAGGAAAGAGATTTAATGGTACTACTAGAAACACAAATGTCCTATAAATCTCACATTAAAAGTTTTAAAGTTTTCTCTATTATTAGAAGTCTACCCTGATTTATTTATTTATTTATTTATTTATTTATTTATTTATTTTTTGAGATGGAGTCTTGCTCTGTTGCCAGGCAGAGGCGTGATCTCGGCTCACTGCAACCTCCACTTCCCAGGTTCAAGCGATTCTCCTGCCTCAGCTTCCCAAGTAGCTGGGACTACAGGTGCACGCTACCACACCCAGCTAATTTTTAAATTTTTAGTAGAGATGGGGTTTCACCATGTTGGCCAGGATGGTCTCGATCTCTTGACCTGCCCACCTCGGCCTCCCAAAGTGCTGGGATTGCAGGTGTGAGCCACCATGCCCGGCCTGTCTACGCTGATTTTAATTTAAAATTAACTTCTCTGGTTTTAATTCTATTTCAATGTAATAAAATGCATAAGGAATTCCAGGTATGTGCCAGAAATTATCTTGGGCATTAGGAATTCAAATGACCCTGTGATCAGATCTTCCTCTGCGATCTCAGGCTCCAAGTAGGGGAGACAGGTGATTTTGCAATAATGCAACAGGTAAACATAGCCTCTACAGAAAGGACTAGAAGGGAGTCATTCTGCTAAAGACTGGGAGACCCAAGTTGGTGGCGAGAACATAGAGAAGAGATGACATTTGAGTGAAGCTTTGAAAAACGACTTATGTAAATCACAGTATGTTTAAAACTCTTGGCTTGCTTTCTTTAGTTTTGGACATTGAGGCAAAATTGCAATTGAATAATAATAATGCCCCAGAGCTTTCTACTGCATCCCCACTAATTTGCTTTATCCCATTCATTGGATAGACTGTAATGGGAGCCATTTCATGCTTGGTTTTTTTTTAAAGTTTCATTTTGTAATGATTGTTAGCTACTTCCGTAGCTAACAATTTCTATAGCACTTGAGTTTTTTTCAAGGGACTTCTCATCAACATTTGCTAATGTTTTCCCTGTAAGGCCAGTCATCATGAGATTGGGGAATAACCAAAGACTTCTGCCACAAACAACAGGGTTTAGTTACATACCCCATAAAACACAAAAGCTGACTTCAGTGGTAGAATTCGTTCCCTGCTCATCTAGAAGACATTCCGATTTGGCAGTTAATATATAACTGGGTTTGGGGCTAAGCTGTGTGACTTCCGGAGGAGGGCACATGTGATCTTAATTTAATTAGGCTTGTTAGGGTTTAATCATCATCCTACCAAAATTCTCTCCTCCTGCCCCTGAATGCTAGTCTCAGTATAAGCTGCACTCCATAGCCCTCCAATGCTGCCCGGCTTATTGCTTTAGACACAGACAAAGGTAAATGAGAGGCAGAATTGAGAATGAAGATTTTTTGTCAAGATTGTCTAGATTGGTCCTAAACAATACTAAGGTGTTCAGTTACTCTGAGAATCTTCATGTGCACATGATAAAGAAAAGATTAATAAAACATCCAACTGTTGGACCATGGATACAGCAAGCCCAAGCCAATTTCAAACCAAGGAAAAGACAAAAAGAGAAAGTCAAAACAAATTACTCTTTCTCTTCTCAAGGCTCTTTCTCTGCTTGCAATTAGCAGCTTGTAAACTCATCCAAAGTAACCAGACAGAATTCCTGATATGTGACAGCCAACATTCTCTAGGCATAGTTCAACATTAGGTTTTTTAAAAAAAGGGAAAGAGAGATAAGAGAAGGGAGGAAAGGAGAGAAGAGAAAAATACTTTTGAGAAATTGGAATCCAATATGCTCATCTAATAGAAAACAACTTGTTAATAGTACTTTCAAACTGAGGTTAGGTTTGATATGCTAAAGAACGCAAAGTTTCCCCTTTAATTTTTGTAGACTCCAAACAAGTTTGCTATCAGCTATGGGGTGTGGTCAATCCCCCACATGCACAGGACACACGTTTAAAGAGTTCTCTGGAACTAGGGTTTGTACACCAAGCTCCGGAAGAGGAATCATGGCTCCGGCTATTACCTGGTTGCGTAAGAGGGCTGCACTTCGTGTGGGTTCCTACGATCTGACCAGAAGAACAGGAGTCTGTCAAAAATGGGCTCCACATCTGCTATGAATGATTTCCCCTCTGGAAATATCCGCAGGATCCCACCATGTAGCTGAAAGACACAAAGAAGGGGGATTATTTCTTACCTCTCATGTAGTTTATCAACAACCATATTTCAGCTCCATTTAGAAACATGCCATCTGCTAACCACCACTCCAAATGCATGGTACCCCAGATTTTTACTTCAACCTCATAGTTTGTACCAATTTGAGATGGAGTTTCACTCTTGTTGCCCAGGCTGGAGTGCAATGGCACGATCTCGTTTCACTGCCACTTCCACCTCCCTGGTTCAAGTGATTCTCTTGCCTCAGCCTCCCGAGTAGCTGGGATTAGAGGCATGCACCACCATGCCCAGTTAATTTTGTATTTTTAGTAGAGACGGGGTTTCCCCATGTTGGTCAGGCTGGTCTCGAACTCCCGACCTCAGGTGATCCGCCCACTAGGGCCTCCTGAAGTGCTGGGATTATAGGCATGAGCCACCACGCCCAGCCACTTCGTACCAAATTTTATATCAAACTTAGCTAGAGATATCTCCTTATTCACCTTAAACCAAAAAAAGCACTCCCACCCCCCACAGTCATAAAGCCCATGGACGTAAAATAGAGTACTATTAGATTGAATCATACCGATTTGCCAATATTTGAGTGTTTTTGACTTAAAAAAAAATGCCCAGTGATCTCACATGGTTCCATCTAACCATTAACAACTTTCTAAGAAAATCATCACATGTAACTTCCCCTTCAATTAGAATTTACAGCTCTTCTGAACTCCCTTAGCTCCTATCTGACCTCATTAGTTGGAAGTTACATGCTCTTTTTACTGAACTCTCAGACCACCTAATCTGCACCTTTTATGACATACACCACTCTCTTCCTTGAATTATTTTTTTTACATGTCAACCTATTTCATCCTACTAGAATAACCATATTCAGAGTAAAGTTCAGGCCTCACACATCAATGTTTCTTCATAATACAACGCCTGACACTAGCAGGAACTCAAATATTTGTTAAATGATTCCAGACCTTGCAATTTATTATTACCAGTCTGATAACTTTATTCTCTTGTCTCTATCAGCACCTCTCAAGATTTTAAAGGAGACTTAATGGATGTATTCCAGTCATGTTACCAAACAGGGAGAAGAGATAGGCCTTTTCACTGATTCAATGGTTTCCCAAGTTTCGTTTTTCTGACTCTGGATAAATATTATTGCTTTATGACAGCCAGTATTTGCCTAATGAACAGGAAATTGAGATGCAGAAGGTTCAAAAGCCAAATAAGCTTGAAAAGTTATCTGACTTCCCAGACTCCTAAATCATTCTTAACTTTCGGAAAGCATACAGAGTCCAGATGAATGTCTGTAAGCATGGAACCAGGCTTCATATCTCCATCTATCTATAAGTTCTATAATACAAAAATAAGCCACAAAGCCTTTGGCATTCACAAACCATAGTAAGCCATGGCAAGCAGCCATCAATGAGACATACCACCCCGAGGGAGAGGACTGTGTGGGAAATCTCTCTTGGGGATGGTTTTATAGCCTACAGTTCTATTTTTGTGGAACTTTCTCAATGCTGCTGCTGGGAGGGAAAAGTGTATATCCTATTCTGCATTGAGTCAGAACAACTCTGAATTAAACTGAAAAAAATTAATCCTTAATCCTAATATCAAATTACCTTCCCTTCATCAACCACCCTTCCCAGAGGTAGGGTTAATAATCACCCTACCTACCCCACTCCAAATTAACTTCATTGTTTTCTTCTTAACAACTTTAGGACTAATTCCATTGTCGCAGGAGGTTATGAAATGGAAATAGAAATGTTTCATCAGTGGGAGATACGGCAACTATGAACTCAATATAAACTCTCCTCTAAGTTATCTGAATCATTTTCCTGTAGTTTCTAACCCCACACTCTACTCCCATTATTCAAAAGTACCTTGGCATCCCAATTCTTGTTCAGATAGTAGATGCAGGTGATGCAGCGACCATCACCGTTGGGGTTGTCCACGTGGCGAACATAACCTGTTCCATTTCCCGGATAGCAAGCCACCATTGCCTATGGAGAAATCCCAAGAAAGCTGGTTAACAAAGCTGAGACAGACAATCTTCTCCTCCCACTGGTGAGCAGATAAGTAACACAGTCTCCTTGGGTGTTACGTGACATTTACAGGTAGTTGCTGGCTTCTTAATTTCATGTATGGTACATAAATTTGGACTCTTCTGTGCACAATGGCCAGGTCATACTATGGCTCTGCCCAGTGGAAAGTAGTTCAACAATATTCCCACAGTTCTAGAACATTTTACACAGTCTTTCTTAAAGTAACCTATCTGCATGCCCTGTTTGCATAACCTGTTTGTATGCCCTGCCTTTCTTCAATACTCCTTTTTGGAAAAGCAGTTTCTAGTTTCCCATGCTACAAAATCAGAGTCACTAGGTGTGGAGTTTAGGGATTATGACTGTTTAGCAAGTGCTGCTGAATCACTCACACTGTTTCAGAACAATGGCTAAAGGTATTTGCATACACAAAGTGACAGAACTAATCACCAAAGGAGGAAAAGGTCAGGCTTACTCAATAAAATGCTCAGGATAGAAAGAATAGAGGAAGATCAATAGGAAGCCGCACCCTAACTTGTTAACACAGACAACACAGGGAGATTCCTTTCAGGAAAAAAGCCATGCATGTATCTTAATATGTGTCTTCTTCCTGATAATTATGTAATCAGGTGATAATCTGAAGTTCTCTTTGTCTAAGTGCTACCTGTATCAACCAGGTGGAAGAATAAAGTAGAAAACCGTACCAAAAATCCTACTGAAAATTACCATTAGAGTAAACAGACCTCTAATTGTTCCAAGGGAAAAATTATAACACAGAGTGGGGAGGGGGAAGAAAGCAAAGTATAGAAAGCCAGTTCTTTTCTTCACAGGATACCGCCATGTTTGAAAAATATTTTTTATAGGGATGCAGTAGGTGCAAGGAAAATATTAGAACCAGCAACACAAGATGAGGACAGGGATTTTTTTTCCTGTTCTACTCACTGATGTATTCTTAGCACCTAGGACAGTGCCTGACATACAGAAGGTGTCCATCTAAAATGTGATAAATAAATCAATGAACTAGCGAATGGCTCTTTCTCTAAAGAGTAAGTTCACATTTTACCTAGATCAATAGCTATTTCTGTCATTTTAAAAGACCTATCTTCAAACATACATGTAAAGATCCAGGCCATATATTTCCTGATAAATGGCAGCGTTGCTTCATTGGTAAAATGACCGTTTGAGTAGAGCCCCAAGCTAATGGGCTAGTGGTTCAATGAATCAGCTTCAACGTGGCTGCCGAGTCACTCTCAATAGTAGCATGAAAACACGGAACTAGGCAAAACACACCTTGCATGCCAGATCAATAATAAGGCTGAATAGTAACTGGACTTTACAACAATTTTAAAGCTTAAATCACCATCTCTCTCAAACTTCATATCCTCATGCAGCAAACAATCCCCATATCCTGCCTTTGAACATCAAAATGTCAATGTGATGTCATCCTTAGAGCTCAAGTTAGGCTGTTAGCTTGAACATCTTTCAGAAGGTGAAACTGTGAGGCGACGTCAGCAATGAAGATTTAACAAATGATGGTACCACTAAGCAAAGCATGGCTTGAGGAAGGGTGATTGGTAGCAAACAGAATTGATGGGCCTAGCAAGAGAAGAAGAGACAAATAAAGTCACCTATAATGACTAAAGAATTACCCACCCCTGGAAGCAGCTATTAGGATTATAAGAGCCACCACAGAGCCAATAATGAAAGTCGCTTAAGCCACAAACAATTACAGGCTGGATTCCCTATTATCTCAGGCTCCCCCCACTGAGTGTGTCTGAAAAGAAAAAGTATGACATCAATGCTATAATCTTATATGCTTAAACAGCTCTTCTCTAAGGAAAAGGTCAGTGGTCTGGATGCCTGCCATAGTTCACTCTGCAACTAACTGTGATCCCAGGCTGTCTCTTTCCTATAAAGAGGGGATTGGGTTACGCAGCTGTCAAAGGCCCAAGAAGATCTAAGACTTGATCTAAGCATCAACCCTTGAAAAAGCAACATAGTTCTTCAGGTCATTAAGGAGTGTTTCTCTGCCTCAGAACTCAGCTCAGATTAAAATATTGAAAAAAAAAAAAAAGATGGATACAAACTCACAAAAGTAAATCCTCTACCAAATGCCGCATCTATAAAACACACAGAGACAAAGCCAATTCCAGAGGACTTACTATTAGGACAAAACCCCTACATGTCAGCAAAGTATCCGACTGCTTAAGAGGGAGGCAAAGAGATAATTTTTCTGGCCAGAGTGAACATTCACCCTCTCTCCTGGTTCCAGAAACCACATGCATCAAGTTGGAAACAATGGAAGGAAATCATTTCGAGCATCAGTGGGCCAGTTGAGGCTACATTTGGCCAATTTTATCAGTGTGTTTTCTGGATGAGTGCCATAGGAGATGGGTCTTTGCTTGGGCACATTCCCAACTATTTGCTCGTCTTTGACAGGGTCTAAAACCATGAGGCTAAGGATGCACCGAGAAGCAAGCCTGACTTCAATAACTAGCCATTCACTTCTGTGCCAATTTGTGCACGGGGCAGTAACAAACTCCGGAAACAGATCAGTCCAACTGAGTTGCTATCTAAACCTCATCAAGCCGGGGAAGGGATTTAGTGTTTAACAGAAGAGAAGTCTTCAATGCTTTATTGTTAAAAGAACGGGCCAGAGTAATTTAATGATCATATAACAAACATGCCAAGCAATAAACTGACACATATCAAGAGGATGCCTACTTTAGTACAGGCTTTTTATTTTCTAAAACTTCCTGACTAGATTAATATTTGAAGTTTACGCAAGTTTAACACAGTAGTGTCATCTACAGCAGCACATACAGTATAGTCCTATAGTTCTATTCTTGGATATACTGATAAATCCACATGTCCCCTTACACATTTACCGCTCTGTCCACTGACATTATATAGTGTACCCACCCCACCTCCCACCATCCCCATTCCCAGAGGCCTCTCCTTAGCTCTGTAGCAATAGGAAATGAGTGGAGAGGTGAATCAGGCCGGCCCAGGCTGGCTCTAGACCAGAATATGTGCTCTAGACACGTATGCAGCCATGTCCAGACAACAAACGTATATGTATCCTTTGAAGATATACACAGATATATAGAACCGTAACAGTCAAAACCCAGTATAAAAAAGTGGTCCCCAAATGCCACAGGTGGAAAAGGAAACAGTGGTTCTGTTAAGAGTTACCAGTGAGCTGACTTCATAAAAAAAAAAAAAAAACCTATCTCATCAAGTCCAAAGGTAAAGTTGAAAAATAAAAGTCCAGGATTTCCATTCCAATGCCTAAACAGAATGCTCTTGAATGCCATCAACCGCAGCTTGACTGCATGTAAAAACCATTTCAAAAACTTGGCATCAGTGACCTCCACCATCCACTAGGCAATGATGATCATTTTTCAGACCCACAGGTGAGAAGGGGATACACCCACCCTGCCGTTACCACTTCTCTGCTAACAGTTGCAACATGTATTTTCATAGAAATGTATTTTACATTGCTCATGATTTGAGACAGATTCACTAGTATGACTCGATCTTGAACAAGTTATAATAAAGTGGCATTTTATACAAAATTTAACTCACCAAATTAAAGTACTAATTAGATCTCATTTTATTTGCAAAATTTCCAATAAATGAAAATCCATTGTTTAAGATTTGTTGAGAAAAGCGTGATTTCAAAACTATCTGGTTGAAGGAGCTTTAAACTAGTATTCTGATCTACCGACAAATGCTAGATCCCCTCCAGCTGCTAAGTAGAAATACCAGCCAACCTTTGTAAGGATTCATTTTGAATTAAGCATGGTCTTGAGCAAAGCGTACTTTGAATAAAATGCAACCTAAGTACGGGATAATCTGCATTTAGCTCATTTACACCTTGGTTTCTTCATCTGTAAAATGGGTTTATGCAGACTCAGGGAGATAATCCATGTAAAATGCTTAATGCACGGCCTGGCACACACTAAGTGCTTAATAAATGTTAGCTATTTTTAAAGATGATGTGTTATGTTTGTCTTCCCCTCAACTGAAGCTGTAGAACGTCTCTTCTTCAGAGACCCAATTCTACTTAAGTGTTTTGTAGTTTTGAACCCAGGACTGGCAAACTAAAATAGCTTTCGATGTTTGCGAGTAACAAATGATTGAAGCCAATCCGGTATACATGAGTCAGAACTCTGGTGTGTGTTATGCCACCTACACTGAGGGGACTTGCTGTTATTTTCAATGAGAGCAAATCTTCAGATTTTATGAGAGTAGCAGGCAATCAGATCTTTATGTAAACTCTCCTGAATATTGTTGATCCCAATTTTTTAATCAGGGCTATAAATAAATACACACACACACACACACACACACACACACACACATATATATATATACACACACATATATCAGGCTATATTTTGAGATCACTGTGTGAGGACTTCCAAGAAGTAAAGCTACTTTGAGACAGCTGCTGAGTGGGCACCTTCCCCATCTCTCTCCACCAGACTCAAACACATCCTATCCAAAGACAATGCCTCATCCTGAATGCCATCCACATTCCAATTGCATCCTGACACCTCGCTCCATCAAGTCCTTCCCCCATGTCCACCCAGTACAGAGCAACAGAGGCCCAGGATCCTTCCCTTCTCCACCATAAGGCACAACGACACAGGCACAACAACACAGACAACTAGATGTGTAAAGAGTTGGGGGCTGGGCGCGGTGGCTCACGCCTGTAATCCCAGCACTTTGGGAGGCCGAGGTGGGTGGATCACAATGTCAGGAGTTCAAGACCAGCCTAACCAACATGGTGAAACCCTGTCTCTACTAAAAATACAAAAATTAGTTGGGCATGGTGGCGCACGCCTGTAATCCCAGCTACTCAGGAGGCTGAGGAGGAGAATTGCTTGAACCTGGGAAGTGGAGGTTGCAGTGAGCCGAGATCGCACCACTGCACTCCAGCCTGGGCGACAGAGCGAGATGCTGTCTCAAAAAATATAAATAAATAAATAAGAGTTGGGAGGAAATACATGAGACCATGCACCTTCTTTTGCTTGGAAAAACAGCCAAGCAACTCATCACAATGTAGACTGTGATAGCTGAAGTTTTCTGGCCAGAAATGGGTCTCATTTATATTCGGGTGACAACAGCCTAGGTGACAAACTTGCCAATGTTTTTAGTCAGCTGTGGGTAGAGGAGCTGAAGGCTACACTTCCAGGGCTATTTTTCTAGGTGGTTTATGTTCAGCACATATTTTAACACACGCCTTGACTGTGGCCAGTGAGCAGGGCATCCCCATGATCACATACTTTAGGTCCTGCCTTCATCAAGGCACCCTGCTGATGTAGGGGCCCCATTTGGTAATTCATCTGAGGGAGGGGAAAGGGGATTAGTAGCTGGAACAAAGGCACTATATGTGCTAGCAGCAGCTCTAGATCTGAAATTCTCCTATTTAAAAAGAAAGAAAAACCAAAAAAACGTTTAGGTATTCAAACTGCTATATGCAGGCATACTGGAGGAAAGGCTGGAGAAAAAAAAAAACAAAACCTGAAAGAGACATGCCCTTTACAAGTTTTATTTAAAAAAAAAAAAATCTAAAGACAAATTAAGCCAAAATGTCCAATTCCATTATTTTCCACTTGGCTCTGACAAGGAGTGAGAGAAAAGAACTCAAAAAATCATTTGCAACTTAAATCCGGAGGACATGAAAAGCAAACTGGAATTACTACTTCAACCTTCTATCATCTCCCTTGTTCAGGGATATGTGATCTTCAAGGACATTTTGTGGGATCTACTGTTGTCAAGTAAATTAAATTCCTACAGAACAATGTTCACAGGGCCTCTTTACAAGACGATGGCAACTATGCAAAGCTTTCTCCAAGTTTTAAGAAAATGTCACTGCAAAAGTTCACATTTGCTGCCAGCTGGTCTTATCCTTTATACAGAATTGAACAAAAAAGGTCTCAATGTGATGATGAAGCAGTGCTAACTTGTAAGTATTAAAAGTGCTTTAGAATTTTTAGACATTCAAACTTCACCTAGACGGGCATGAAGAAAATAGTTGTAAGCAAACGTGAGCTCTTAGAAAAGTAAGAAATTTTGTGTAAACTGTCATCAGTTACCTTGGCATCTTGCTGGTCATCTTTGTTGTTGGTTAAGAGCAAGCCTAGCTATTCTATTTCCTGACTTCTAGTGCCTCTAGTTACAGACTGATGTAATAAAATGAGGGGGAAAGAGAAAATACACTTTTGGTGGGCCATAACACAAGCTGTGTCCAGCCACCGTGTTCACCTTTCCAAAGCTTCAGCATCTCACCAGACCATTTGGAAGATTCAGAATACCAGACAAATACCTGTCAGGTAGGTAATCCTTTCAATAAACCCCAAATTATTCATGAAAATGTTTTTTACTACTCTACTTCCACAATGCAGACTACTTCTGCCCTCCTCATTTGTCCTAAATCCACACTAAAAATAATTCCTCTCGCAGAACCTACTTACCCAGAACACTGCTACACATGACCTCTCTCCCAAGGTAGAACAACGGTCATCACATACCTACACCTGAATTTTCTAATATTGTAGAAACTTCAGAACTTCTGAAAATAAAAAATAAGAAGTAATAACCGACTCTCGGTTGCTCTAGTGAAGTGGGTCTGCCCACACCCTCCTGGCCAGGTGAGAGCACCGTGCCTGAATAGCAGAGAATTTACCATTCTCACTTTAAAACCTGTCCTCAGATGAACTTGGTCCTAGCTTCAGGATCATTAACTACCCAGAGCGTGGAAGCATCCATCTAGTTCTCCTGGGTCAGTGATGATAGTTCTACCAGGCACAATAGCCCTTTGAGATTCTTACATTAAAAGGATGTAAGAAATATGCACGCACACACAGAAGTCTGCACGAAATTCTAGGGGGTTCAAAGGCCTCTAAAGTTGAACTGTGCGGGATCAAGATTCTATTCCAGGAGATCCCGCATTTCATGCACGACCTTCTGAGTGAATCGCCCTCCCCCAAGAAGCCACTGAAAGGCTCAGAGGCCAGGAATTTAAGAGACTATTGTCATTCCTTTCTGCATTGTGGTTAATTCTTCTCCTTGGAGGGGATTCAGCCAGAGCCCATGCAATTAGGCACAGTAAACAGGCCCGGCAACATCGCCATATTAATACAGGGTGTTTGGGTTTGGGCAGGCCGCCCTTCCCGTGGAGGACTGGCTCTAAGCCAGCAGGGTGATGGCTGAGTGACAGGGCTACGTGCGCTGCGTGAGGGTGGCAGCCAGCCCACACCCGAGCACACCGCCAGGCAGCCTGAGCTGGGAACGGACACTGGGAACCATCCCCCTCCCCCATCTCTACCCCAGTCACCAGAGAAATGTTTTCAACCGGGCTTCCTCACAATTATAAAATCAGCAAAGGTCAGTCCAGCCCAGGGATAAGGACATCAAGACGCATTTAACCATTTCCTTTCTGATGCCTTTCCCCAAATATTAACAGCTGCTGTTTCCTGAGAATTCATGTAGCCCGGTGGCATTTTGCACATATCTTGTTTAATTTCCTGGTTACTGGGAAGGTGAGCAGCAGTGTGTGCCCTGAGTCACACCGCTCCAAGTCCTTGGTAGAAGTCATTAACCCTAGAAGTTACCCTATGGACCTAGAAGTTATCACAGGTATTTCTATAGAGAAACATAATATTCGACTTCCTTTGATATGAGAAAACAGCCTTATCAGAATAATAAAACATCACCTATGGCTCTCTAAAGGCTTTGAGCATAACAGAGACAAGGAATACTTGTGACTGCAGGCTCATCAGAGAATGGAATATTTGAAATTTTCATCTGAACTTAATCCTAAAGTACTTAAAGAATCCATAACTCAAAATAATTGGTAAGACAAGACTTTAATAATGGATAATATATGAAAAAACGAAGTTACCAATCAAAATGTCATGAAAAATGCCTTGAAACAATCATCTTTTTTTTTTTTTCTTTTTTGAGACGGAGTCTCGCTCTGTCACCCAGGCTGGAGTGCACTGGCGCGATCTCGGCTCACTGCAAGCTCTGCCTCCCGGGTTCAGGCCATTCTCCTGCCTCAGCCTCCCGAGTAGCTGGGACTACAGGCGCCCGCCACCACGCCCGGCTAATTTTTTGTGTTTTTAGTAGAGACTGGGTTTCACTTTGTTAGCCAGGATGGTCTCTATCTCCTGACCTCGTGATCCACCCGCCTCGGCCGCCCAAAGTGCTGGGATTGCAGGCGTGAGCCACCGCGCCCGGCCGAAACAATCTTAAAACAGGAGAAACCTACATATGCATTTCAGCACTTGGAAAAACAGATCTGCTGAATGAAAGAAATGACACACAGCAAGTTAGCGTAGATTAGAACTCATGAAATTCAGTGGCTATATTTATTTACTAAACAAACATTTGTAAAGCATTTACTATGTGCCCAACACTGTTCTGTGTGCTTCACAAATCGGACCTCCTTCACACTCCCTAACAACCGCATGAAGTAGGAACATTATCTCCATTTTACCGATGAGGAAATGGAGGCACAGAGAGCTTAGGTAACTTGCCTTTTTGAACCCAGTTGGTCTGGCTGAAGAGTGTGAGGTCTTAAGACGTGCTTTACCAACTCAGTTTATCTAATGTCTGACATTAGCAAATTCACCCCCACCTCATTTTTGAGGGAACTAAGATCTTTGGTTCTACTTGAAATATTTGACTCCACCTACCTCATCCTTGCCTATCACCCTTCCAGAGTGATAGAAAAATCACAAAATACAAACAATTGCAAGAATTTTTTTAAAAGAGTGTGCTTGGTATTCAGTCTGTAAACTCAAAGATCCAAAGGGGGAATTTTAACAAAGGCAAGAGGCCAAGAAAATTGACCCTACTTGTCCAAGTCATCTTGTCTTTGCTTTGGTTATTCCCAGTGCAGGTCAACCTCAAGCCCACCATAAAATCTCTGTAGCCCCTGCAGGGTCCACATAGGCCTCAAATGCAGTTGTCTTGCCAAAGGCCAGACATTCACCTCCATTCACCATAACAGGAGGGAACTGGTTCCAAAATTTGCTTCAATTCTAGTTCTGGAAAATTAAATATGCTGGTACAAATAATAGGCTATAAATGTGAACTAAAAATCGTTTTTTGTTTTTTTTTTTAGTTTTAGCAATAAATAATCTAATGTCTGATCAACTGACCTCTGACTTTCTTGTTAACAGGGAAACTGTAGGAAGATACGCCACCATCCCTATCTAATCTCTTCTTAATGCATTAACTTTACTCAATGGTTCTCAAACTTTAGCATGTATGAGATCACCTGGAGAACTTGTGAATTTCTAACTCAGGAGGTCTGGGGAGAAGATGAAGAATCTGCATTTACTGCATGTTTCCAGATAATGGTGATGCCTCTTATCCAGGGACCACAGAGAACCACAGCCCTTATATGGCAAAGTCGAGAGTTTTTGTGCAATGCCTCACCCTAAATGATAAAGGTAAAGAGGAATTAGTCAACTGCACTAGTTAATTTGGGGAGCTGAAAGTGGGTGGGTAGAGCAGTAATGAGGAGAATTACTCTGGCAGTTTCTGGCATCAGCTTTGCAGTGTCATTCCCGAAGCTGGCAGGAAACTTTCCAATTGTAACTTTCTAGCATTGCTGTTTTGTGCTGGGCTCTGCCTCTGAGGATTACTGTCATATCAGCGCTGGGGTTGAATGTCGGTGCGAGTCTGCTCTCTCCAGGAATCAAATAAAAGGCACTGAAAGCAACTATTTTCCTTCTCAAATGGAAATGTCATCTCAATGTTAATTCCTTATAATCCTAGAAGTAGACATACAGTATTATTGTGCCTATGTTATAGATGATGAAAGTGGGCTCAGAGAACTGACTTGCCCAAGATCATAGGAAGATGAAATAAAATCTGAAGTGTCCATCCTAGTGTCAAGTGGTAGGTGCTGACCAAATTTAAGTTCAAAAATGAAAACAAGTATCTAACTCATCCATAAAGAAGTGGAAATGGAGGACCATGAAACTTGCCAGGGGCTGAGCTAGGACCAGAACCTGGGGCCCTAAGCCTCGTGGCCCTGGCGTCTCTGAGCCAGACCTGTAGGTATGAGCTGCCAGGATCCAGGTGTGACTCGGGTATTTCTAGGGTGAAACCTAGGATTTCGAAACTGAGAAAAAAAAAAAACTTACAAAGCTAAGGTCCTCCATTGAGATGGTCTCACATAACATGTCACTCTAATAAAATATTTAAATACTTAGGCATCGAATTAGAGACTAAGCTGCAGCCACCCATCTTCCCCCGTCATTCCCCTCTATCCCCCCCAAAAAAAATTCTAGCTTTTTTTTTAACATTCAAATATCCATCAAAATCAAAGTTCCTTTTGAAGATGAAATTAAGCCAACAAGCACCTATGAAGTATAAGGGACTGTTCTAGGCACTAAAAGTATATACAAAGCTTAACAGTCTCTGCATTCAAGGAATTTCTAAGCACACGGTGGACAGCATAAACAGCCCAATAAATCCATGTACTGGGCAGCCTGGATTGAGCCACGACAGAGTTCTGGGGAGCAGAAGGGAAGACTTCAGGGAACAGGCACTAGAAGGCGGTAGAGATGGATTTTTGATGAGTGGAAGACAATGGGGAAGCTCATTATGCCTGGCAAATTAGTTTCTAGCATTTCAGGGACTGGGAGGAAAGGAAGGCAGTGGTGGGAAATTAAGTGTAGAAAGGTCAGATGTGGTCAGATGTAGAGGGCTGTCAAAGCTGGCTAAGTTTACAGTCTTTACAGTGTTGTATAGTAGATAATGAAGAAGGAGCATGGTTGGATTTTTGGATTATTTTGTTTTAAGCACAGAGACTACATGATTAGAATTGGAATTGGGACTACTACACTCTAGCAAAAGTACATAAAATGGATTACAGGAAGAACAAGAACCAACGGCAAGTGATTTATGGTTACAGTAAGTTACTTTAAAAAACTTCCCCCCTCAAGGATTTTTCTACTAAGAAAGGGCCCCTCAAGGATTTTTCTACTAAGAAAGGAAAGAAAGTTTAGTTAAAAAAAAAAAAAAGACAACTTGAGGTTCTATAGTGAACCTAAAAAGTAAAACTAAACAAAGAAAGCACAATAGGCCCTTCTCTAGCAATACTGCATGTTCTTGCCTGAATCTTCAATATTTTGTGTTTAAAAGGGGTTTTGTTGGCCTGGCCTGGTGGCTCACACCTGTAGTTTCAGTACTTTGGGAGGCCTGGGCAACATGGCAGAACCCCATCTCTATAAAAATAAATAAAAGGGTCCCAAACAGTATATCCTTACAGCTTCCAAGCAATGCTCAAATGAAATTATCCTGACAACTTCAAAAAGATGGAACTTCAGGGTCTCACATTAGAATAAAAAATAGATGTTATTGACACCTGGAATTGAGTTTTTCATTTTGTTTTCTTCCCACTGACAAAGAATTGAGGTTACTATCATATTATTTGATTCTTTGTATTCTGGAATTATTTTTGTATGGCAACAATAAGTATTTTGGCCTCATTTTGTAAAGAAAAACTAATGTTTAATATAAGATAGGCACATGTACTCCAGAACTTGAGAATCATTGTACCTTCTAAAGAATCAAAAATTAGCTTGATTTAATAAGGAGGTATTGACACTGTACTGAACACGGAGAACACTAAGTAACAAGGTACCAAATGAATCCAATACAAGATGTGAAAGCCTGCATTATACACCAGCAAACCCAGGGTCTGTAAGGCTGGGATTGTGTTAGGACCGGGGCAGGAAAACGTAGTCACTACAGACTCACCAAAAACAGGGACAGAAACTCACCCACAAATCAATATCAAAACAAGATGCAAAATTAAAGTAAATGTCATACCGGTTTAAGATGGAAATAATCGAGAGAAAGGGGGTACAAATTCTATGTATAATTAACCAAGACAACTAATCTTGCTTGGCAAACAGACACATAGCACTGAATCTGAGCCCAATCAACGGCTCCTGGCAATCTGCCAAAGCTGAACTCCTTAGTCTGGCACCATCAAATGATTTGTCTGTTGTATTTACAATTCCAGTGCCTCTGGATTCAGCTACCCACTGGGCACCCCTGGCAGATGCCCAGCAAAATAGATCTGAACTATCATTACTGTCAGAACATGTGCATTTGACAAACACTAGAGAAAAGCGACACCCGTTTCTTAGAGCAATATCACTTAACAACTACAAAGTGCTGCTACCAAGGAATTGTGGAGTCTGTTGCCGTAATAATTAACAAAAAGTTAATAACCTTCTCCATAATGTTAACCTGCAAGCTACTTCTTGGTCTTCAGTGGGCACAGATCAAAATGTAATTTAATTTACCTAGGGCTGCAAAGTTGGGTCAAAAGCAGAGGCCTTGCCAAACCAAACATGGCCCACAGGTGAGCAGCCTTCCAAGCTTTATCCGGAAGTACACAAGATGCTGGCAGTGCTTAAACTCTGCTCATTAGAGGTTGGGTAGAACGCCACCCTGACCTTTAAGCTTCCTCAGAGAAATCTTTCATACATGGTGTGTTCTTGGGATAGGGTCATAAAATGGAGGGCTGTTTGTTACTTATGAAATTACAAGTTTTTCCAGGAGATTCAGGAATCAGGAAAAATTTTACCAATTTTGCTTGAGCTGAAGCAGAAAGGTTAGAAAGGGAAATCATTCATGATACTCCAAAACCTTATGCAGAGACAGGCTTGCATAACTCCACTTAAGGGTGTTTATCAATTTTCAGTCAGAATTATATTTAAAATTCCCAAATAAAATGGTGATGCCACTGAATTAACCTACTGACCCTGGTCCCAGTCTGTCTGACCCAGCCAGCGTAGCCCCTTCTCTATTTTCTTTTTAATTATTATTATTATTTTTCTTGAGATGGAGTCTTGGTCTGTTGCCCAGGCTGGAGTGCAATGGTGCAATCTCGGCTCACTGCAACCTCCACCTCCCAGGTTCAAGCAATTCTCCTGCCTCAGCCTCCTGAGTACCTGGGACTACAGGCGCAAACCACCATGCCCGGCTAGACTTTGTATTTTTAGTAGAGATGGGGTTTCACCATGTTGGCCAGGCTGGTCTCAAACTCCTGACCTTGTGATCTGCCCGCCTCGGCCTCCCAAAGTGCTGGGATTACAGGTGTGAGCCACTGCACCCAGCCACCCTTTCTCTATTAAAGTACCTTTTATCCATCCCTTCCCAAGGATCTGCTCAAGATATCATCTCTCCAAATATGAAAACAACTGCTGAATGACTGAGACATTGGATAGATGTGACTTCTAATATCTCTCTAGCCCTAAAAACCCATATTATTAACATCCTGTATAGTTTTGATCACTTGTTCTGGTTGCTTCATTTTAAATTAACAGAGAAATTGGAGAAAACCCAAAGAGAAACAATGACTAATGAGCGTAAACGTGCACTTTTTAACCAGAAAAAGAGAAAGAATTGGTGACAACCACTGCACACTACACTCAACTCTCAGCTTAGTTCTTCAGGTGGTTTTGTAATCACTGGGCACTTCCCTTCCCCATCCACGGACAGGTCTCCCACAGTGTGCAGCACTGAGTGATCTGTGAATGAATTAAATCGATATCCCTTTATTATCCACTTCTCTGAAGCAGATAAGGTTATAGTGAAGTGGCCAGTGGCCCAAAATTGAGCAAAAGAAATTACAAATTAAACACACACACCCTCCTGCCTTTTTTGTTTCCAAATGTCATTCACAAAATAGACAAAAAACCCCATGAAAACTTGCCCATTGGAGAGACTTGTTTCACTGTCACTGGGACTGTATTCTGTAAATTATTACTGTGGAGTAATTTCCTTCCTACAGGAGCTAAGTTATTTTTAATACAAAAGCTTTTATAGGAATCCCTTACATCCTTACAGAAAGATGATCCAGAGCTTCAAACTCAGCACTCCTTCTCCCCAAAATACCTTATTCACAGTGTTCCAGAGCTTCAAACTCAGCAGCACTCCTCCCCAAAATACCTTATTCACAGGTAGATTTCTAAGATTCTAATTGCAGAGATACCATTTATGGTATCCAGCTCTCAAACTCTGTGCTCTAAGAGCTATAACTCTCATGGGCCCTGGCAACCATATTTGTGATGCATGGTTTCCACATGCCTCCCACTGTGCCAGACTACGGCTGATAGATCCCTTGAGCCAAGGTGAGACAATCAGACTTTCTCCCAGGCGATGAAAACAGGGATCCAGGAATGTTACTGAAGTCTCTGCTCATCTGCAACTAAAGGCTGAGGTGGCCATTGTGGGGCAGCCATCTTGAGCCATGTGCATGGGAAGGCAGCAAAAGCTGGATTGAAAAGAGGATAAGAAATGAAGAGCAAAAGCAGGGAAGCAAAGATGGAGGTCATGAGGCTCCTGAGAAAAGAACACACCAGCTGTCCTGGATGTTAAGGACTTTCTGCTTCCTAGTTCATACCTCTAAGCTTCTGAGAACCCTGACTGCATTTCTTGCACTTGGATCCTGCGAGATCACTTCATAGTACATTGCTTCATTTTTCCCTTAAAGTAGTTTGCAACCATGATAAGCTCCATTAAATAATGTATATTCCTGACCTCACATGAGAAGGGTGGGCCAAAACTGTTATTGCTCAACAGCAAGGAATAAACACACCACCTTGCAACACATCTTCTTTAATTCATAAATGTTTTGCTGTTTCATCATTCCTCCTTATTGTTTCCAGGGGAGGACCAATTGGTCTGTTCACAATGCAGTCCTCACAATGCCACCTTCCAGAGCTAGTCTGGTCAGGAATCCTACGAACAAACCCTATCAATAAATGTTTTCCTAAAAATAACAGTAGAAGCCGGGCGCGGTGGCTCACACCTGTAATCCCAGCACTTTGGGAGGCACCAAGGCAGGCGAATCACCTGAGGTCGGGAGTTAGAGATCAGCCTGACCAACAAGGAGAAACCCCGTCTCTACTAAAAATACAAAATTAGCCGGGCATGGTGGCGCACGCCTGTAATCCCAGCTACTCAGGAGGCTGAGGCAGGAGAATCGCTTGAACCCAGGAGGCGGAGGTTGTGGTGGGCCAAGATTGCGCCATTGAACTCCAACCTGCGCAACAGGAGCAAAACTCTGTCTCAATAAATAAATAAATAAATAAAACAGTAGGAAAACATCAGCACAGTACTCTATTTTTTTCTTCAAATGTACTCAACTGACCCACTTCAATGTTTGAGGGTTTTCTTAAGCCTAAGAATTAGTCAAGTGTGAATGAGACCATCCTACAATTCAAAGTATACGAAAGTATAAATTCGTTCATCATGGCACCACCACCCCTGCACAGCATCCCACACAGGCTGAACACTCCATAACATTTGCTGAATAAATGAAAGGTCGGAAGTAGGAGAGAATAAAAGGAAATAACACAGTCTCTGGAGTTACACAAATCTAGGTTAGGATCCCAAATTTCCCCTCTGGAGACTTAAAACACTGATGAAGGCTCGGAATTCTGCTAAACATTTCATAAACATCATCTTATTTAATGCTTCTTCCTCCAACAGCTTTACGGCATTATTTCCTTTCATTTTGCACCTGGTGTAAACCAAGCAACTTGCCTAAAGCCACGAAGTTAGTTAACACTGAGCCTGAGCTCCCAGCCCCCATTTAAACTGTTTCTTACCACTGACTTTGAAACTTTGGGCACAGTATTTAATCACTCAATATGTTTAAGACTGTGTTTCTGAAGATTAAGCAAGATAGTATTTGTAAAGTGCATAGCACAGTGCCAGACAATACAAACTGCTCAATAAAAGGTAGTTCTTCTTATTAGAGTCACTAACTAGTGAGTCTACAGTGAGCTGTTTGAAGCAGAGGGACTTTTGGTTCTAAAAATTATACATTCTCTGGAAAACAGCCATTTTCAAGATCTAGGCAGCCAAAGAAAAAGGAGCAAATTATGACCAATATTTATCTTGGATATGGTCTAAAATCTCCAAAAGGGAGTAGCGAGCGGATAAATCCTTTGCTAGCCTGAAAGCAATGATCATGCTTGAAGTTAGGGGGGGCCATACAGCTGTACATTACAGGAACCACTTCCCAAGGGGTCTTCAACACCCTTGGATTTTTCTCCAGCAAAGATGAGGTAGACAAATTCTGACCATTAACAACTTTCTTGGCAGGAAGCAGAACCATCTAATATTTCTTTCTATATTCTTCCACAATTTCAATTTTAGGTCCAGTGTATCTTTCTGTTTTACTCCCAATATCTTTGCTATTGTTTCATTGAGATAAAGGGCAATATTATTCAATGATCTTTCCAAGTCTAGCAAAGAACAAAAAAAGAAATGAAATTTGGGTAAGTGCATGAATAAGCATAACCTCAAGAAATTTAAAGTAGCTAAAAAAAATTGGTCTAAAACAAATGTACATATTGGCAATTGTTGAAATTGGGTGATGGGAGCTCATTATATTAGCCTCTTATGTTTATGTATGTTTGAAAATTTCCTTAATTAAAACTTAAAAATAAATTTAAGGGCCGGGCACAGTGGCTCAAGCCTGTAATCCCAGAACTTTGGGAGGCCGAGGCGGGTGGATCATGAGGTCAAGAGATCGAGACCAGCCCGGCCAACATGGTGAAACCCCGTCTCTACTAAAAATACAAAAATTAGCTGGGCAGGGTGGCGTGCCTGTGGTCCCAGCTATGCAGCAGGCTGAGGCAGGAGAATCACTTGAACCCAGGAGGCAGAGATTGCAGTGAGCCGCTACAGCCTGGCGACAGAGCAAGACTCCATCTCAAAAAAATAATAATAATAAATAAATTTAAAACTTTAGTTTTTCTTGAAAACACGGGTGAAGGATGAACCGGTAAACTGGGTCTCTATCACTGCTCTGGAAAGCAGCACAAAATGAGGAGCTCAGCTGAGGGATAAAAAGTGAGTGAAGAAAAAGAAGGATAAATTAATGTGAAACCAATAAAAATCATGTAGAAATGGAAAGTGTTTCTACCATGACTTTAATAATGAACTTCAAACAAGAAACCCAAGACCACAAGACATCACTAAGGAGACTTCTGTATACAAGCAAAGCACACTTAAAAAAAATTTAACTACACTAGTTGTTTGCTCAAGCCTGGTTTGCATTTGGTTCTAATTGGCCAGGGAATATTCCAATCGAAAGGTGATTTATCTAAAGGGCAGGGAGCTTTGTGACAAACCAGCCAAAGTAAACCTGGAAATCTGGGGGTGGGACAGGATAAATTTTATTTTCAATTCACGATCACCTTCTGACAGGGTCACCTGGAAAGTTTTTCATTCCACCCAAAAGATAACCTAAAATTGATGAATCATATCTACAGGATCTTTCTTTCCCTTACCCTAACTTACACAGTGTTTTTCCTTCCATTTGAGTTAAATTCTAGTCTGAAACCCTATCCCTATCCATTAAGTCAAAGCTAAATAAAAATATTTAACTTTCAATGTTAGTGGCCTCTTTCCATACCAATTAATCCTGACCTCCCTCAGAGCAAATTCTGCTCCTAGAATGATGAAGAAAAACTCCTAACACCTAAATTTACAAGAAACATTTAAAAACCCAATAAGAAGCCGTCTGCTCTTCCAGGTAGAAACTACCAGCATCTCAGCAACACTGAGGCTGACCCTTCCCCTCCCCGACACACCTCCACCACAGAAGACAGCAAGGTCATTTAATGCAAAAATCAAACTAGTCAAAGACGAGTGACTAATCCACCACCAACATGATGGAAGAAGAATAAAGAAACACTTTAGCATCAATCTCCTACAGAGTTCAGCTCACGCGGAATTTTTTTCCCCAAAGTAAAATTTAGAAAGCAGTATCTTCTAAGATTTACTTTACTTGGGTGCATTAATAACGATGCTTTCAGATATTCTATTCATGGCCTCTTGGCTTGGAAGTTGTACGGCAAACTGTGACTCCCCACTGCACTCATCCACCTCCACCCCTTCACTCCCACACGTTTCCAATCCTCACCACTTAGCCTTTATTCAGAGTGTTCCTCTCAGCGTATTAGAGAAATGAGAGAACAATGGTCTGTTCTGAGACAGGATCAGTCTTGAGACTGATTTGAGAAATACTATATTTATTGTCAAAGAGTGGTACATAGGTGAGTGTTCATCTTCCCTCTCATGCCGGTATACTCTGCTTCGCTGTTTCAGTAAAAGTTTTCCGTAGTTCTGAACGTCCCTTGACCACACCATAAGACAAGCGCAAGTCACTCAGAATTGCCACTGGAAAACTGGCTCAACTATCATTTGAGGAAAGACTGAGAAAGCCTATCCCAAAGTAATGGACATGCACCAACATCGCGGTACCTACATGTTCCCGTTTTTCTGCCAATCTACCTGTGTTTCCAAGATAAATTACCACCCAGGGAGTCACTTCCTGCTATGTGAACAAAAACCCGGTTTCTTTCTGGAGGTGCTTGACTACTCTCTCGTGAGCACTTAACTGGTTGTTTTGAGTGGACTTTGCCATCAATTCATAGTTAGGAAAAGGAAGGTGGTGGTGCAGGGCTCAGCATCAGGAGAGAATTTTCAGTCAAGAAGATGGTCTAACAATGTGCTGGGTCCCAGGGGGCAGAAGCAGCATTCAGAAGTGGAGTTTTACCCTTTCACACCTGCCCAACTCCACAAACCAACTGCCACATGGCAAAATCACAACTGCCTCCAGAATTCTGAGTGCTTTTGTAGAAATCTCTTCTGACCACAATGAAGGGCAGTATTAGGTGGCTTTAAAGTAGGCATTTAAGATCATGAGGACACGTGTGTCTCAGATGATACACAGTGTTTCCAATACCCTTTCCCTCCTTTGGATCTTTGAGAACCTCGTCTTAAAATCGGACCACAGCCACAGCTTGTCTGGCTTTTGTCACCCACAAGAGCCAATATTTCAAAGTCAACAGAAGGTCATCATCATGGTTCACCTGAGCCCCTTAACGTTGACTTTCGCTCAGAGGAGCTGGGGCGAGGGGTGGGGGGAAGCAGCGAGTAGAGACAAACCAGGCTGACTTCTTGGTTAAAAAACAAAGTTCGCTTACGGCCCTGGGAAGTCGACATACAACGGACTCCGAGTGCCTCCCGTCCCCGCGGGAGCAGCTGCGGCAGGGCGCCGAGCGCGTCCTACCTTAGACCTCTCCTTGACGTAGTATTTGCCCAGCCGGCTCCCGCAGTAGAGGACCAGCCTGTCGATGAGGGACAGGAGGAAGCTGATGGCCTCGCAGCCCTCCTCGTTGCCCCCGATCCACGTGATCTGGTCGCCCCGCAGGTGTCGCTTGGAGACGCCGGCGCGCGGCCCCGCCAGCTGGCCGTCCCGCAGGGCCCCGGTGCAGTGCAGCTGCTTGACGCGCTCCAGGACGCAGTCGCCCACCACCTCGCCCAGGAAGTTGTCCAGGTAGCAGAAGCCCACCTCGTGCAGACAGGGCACGATGTACTCCAGGGCAATTTTCTCCAGGTCCAGCCTCATGATGTGTCCCAGGGGCATCTCGCCCGCAGAATCGAGGTCCGGGATCCCCAGCGTGCAACCAGAGAGGGAACGATCTACACGAGCGCGAAGCCGAGGCGCGGGGAGCGTGGCCCGGGGTTCAGAAACCTGCGGCTGCCACGGTACCCGAGCCGCTGCAGCGTCGGGGACAAGGGAAAGTTTCTCGCAACTCTCGGGAGAAGGGATCTGCCTTCGGGAACCAGCGGGAGTGGTGCGGAGCTCCACGACCCGTTTCCGGACTGGCCCGGCGAGCAGTGCGGCGCAAGGAGTCGGAGGGCGCCTTTTGGGGATGGGAAGCCACCACTGCCGCGACTGCGGCCAGACTCCGGGAGACGCTGAGGTCCGGCCCTTAAGCCGGCCGACTCCGCGCGTCACGGGCTCCGCCCCGGGACCGCCTCCGGGACCGCCCTTTCCCCCGCCCCGCTGCCAGTCACCCCCGCCTGCTCTGCCCCTCCGCGAAGGATCCCAGAGAGCCCGGCGCCAACCTTAGTTGTTTGTGACCAGGGGAGCGGCTGGAAAGCAGACTGAATTTTTAGAATGCGCTGGATTTGCATATTGTTTTGCATAAAATCACATAACAAACTTGAAAACCTGGATCCCACACTGAAAATGTAAATAGAATTAACTGCCACATTCTGGGTTGGTCACCTCATAGACTTTTGAGCAAAATAATAACCCCAAAAACGAATATATTTATTAAGCAGTGGTCTTGTTCTACCTTTACCGGGTGTCTTTCCTTATTTACCCCATTCCTCTGCTGTTTGACCCAGTTCAAGCCACTGAGAGATTAGGAGGTATCTAGTTTTAACTAAAATTAATGCATTAACGAATATTTCCCTCAGCCCCTACTGTGTGCAAGGCACTATGTGCTTGAGGAGCTGGGGATGAGCACAATGAAGAAATGCTGAGTCATATCTGATTGAACTCTGCAAATGGTGTATTTTGCTTTGCTTGATGTTTTCCTCTACTTACCTTTCAAGCTTCCTATTAAAATATGATGTTCCGAAATTCTACCTTCCAAATTAATCACATGCTTCTGTAACAGTCAGAGGTATGTCCCCCAAAAGATACACTGTATTCTAGGTCTCTCACTTTTCCCACAAGCAGCTGTACTTTCACAAGAGGGACAGACACCACTGAGAAGACTTTGGTTATCTACAGATAAGCTGATTTGCTTTATGGAGTTTTGATTCCCTTTCCTACTGAACACCAGCGATCAGAATCAGGAAAAAATTCATAAATTGCATGCAAAGCTATTTGTACTTCTTTAAAAAAAAAAAAAAAGGAACTGTATTTTTTTTATTTATTTATTCTGAGACGGAGTTTTGCTCTTGTTGCCTGGGCTGGAGTGCAGTGGTGTGATCTCTGCTCACCACAACCTCCGCATCCCAGGTTCAAGCAATTCTCCTGCCTCAGGCTCCCAAGTAGCTGGGATTACAGGCGCCCGCCACCATGCCTGGCTAATTTTGTATTTTTAGTAGAGGTGAGGTTTCTCCACATTGGTCAGACTGGTCTCGAACTCCCGACCTCAGGTGATCCGCCCGCCTCGCCCTCCCAAAGTGCTCGGATTACAGGCGTGAGCCACCGTGCCCGGCCTATTTGCACCTTTTTTACTTCATATGAGTGCACACTTGGGTTCTTCATTTAAGTTGAAGAAAAGAATGTACAGGTTTTTCGGGTATTGTTTATTGTGGAAGCAAATTTCTACAGCTTTTTCACTTTTCTTCTTCCTCCAGCAGCCCTCTCCTCTCTGCCTCTGAGGGGAGAAAGGGAATGACATCCAGGACAAGAACAAAGAATAGAAGAGGAAAGGTGCTGCTACAAGTTGGAAAGAAGCAGACAGAGGCACGTGGTTGAGTAAGAACCTGGGGGATGGTGAAGGAGAGCAGTCAATGGTGGAGTGCTTAAGAAACTTTGATGAAACTTCTAGTTATATTGAGAGAGGTTCTCTGCCAAGTCAGTGATTAGTTGGCACCTTTGGTATTACCTTTGAGCAGGAGGTACCCCTCCTTGGGGTAAAGGCCATCACTGCTCAAAGAGCTCTTGTCTAAATTCCCAAGGCAGCTCCATGATGAGAGGAGACCATCATCCTTGGAACCCCAGTGTTTAGCACATAGTGAATGGCTAATAAATAGTTACTGGGAACTCAATGTCTGACCCTGAGCCATAGCAGCCTCCACTTGGGATTCAGTATGTCTGGGCTTATCTGGAAGGATCTATTTGCAAAAGGGGCTGGGGAGCCTCCCCAAAGAGAAGTCACTGGAAAAGAGTCAAGCAAATTAGCCTGACCCAGCACAAAAGCTTAGAGGCCAGTGGAGGGAGAACTTAGGAGTTCTACAGGGCATTTGTCTCTCAGCTTTGTCTATCTGAGCAGTGGACATTTGAGTGGTGGGAGCCAGAGACATAAAGTGAAAACTGGAGGACTGTTAAATTGCAGCAAAGGGCCAGGCACAGTGGCTCACACCTGTAATCCCAGCACTTTGGGAGGCCGAGGTGGGCAGATCACCTGAGGTCAGGAGTTTGAGACCAGCCTGGCCAACGTGGTGAAACCCCGCCTCAACTAAAAATACAAAAATTAGCCACACATGGTGGCAGGCATCTGTAATCCCAGCTACTCGGGAGGCTGAGGCAAGAGAATCACTTGAACCCAGCAGGTGGAGGTTGCAGTGAGCTGAGATTATGCCACTGCACTCTTGCCTGGGTGACAAAAGTGAAATTTAGCCTTAAAAAAAAAAAATTGCAGCAAGGAGTGAAATGGAGTGCAGTACCAAAAAGGAGGAAAGCCCTCCTCTCTACTTCTGCTTGAACCCTGCACAGAAGGAACTGCTTTGCCTCCTGCAGTGATCTCCTCCAGGGGCACTATGGATAATGGGGTGACCAGGAGAAACCTGGTCTAAGACAGCCTGAATGTAGACCCTGGTTGGCATTGGGTCGTGCATTTTGCAGCTTTGGGGACTGTGTAAATCTCAGAAGTAGATATCCCTGAAGAGGGACAGAATCAAAAAGGGGGAAGGTGACAGATAATCCTTAGTAACTAGCTGAAATGTTTCTAGCTGGAGGCTTTTTGTAGATACACCTTATTCCTAGGAACGATAAGGAGGGAATTTACAAAGGAATGGAAACCTGCAATCACTGGTAGAGGGGTGGTGGTCAGTAAAATACAGAAAATTATACAACCACCTTCCAGAATGAACATGTTGACCCAAGACTTCAAATCCCAGGAGTGGGTAAATTTAGTTTACTGTTCAAATAATATTTCAATAATTTCACAGTAAAATTGTAACTCGTTATAACTAGAGCAATAGTCTAAGTGAGTCCTAGTGACAACTGTTCTAGATTATGTTGGTTGTAAAGCATGGGCAGTTTAGAAAGGAATTCAATCCCTTGGCACCATCCCTGCTTGGCAAGGGCACTCATTAATCAATCAAGGACCTCCCGATCAGCTTAGGGCTGCCAGCACTGCATTTGGCAGAGGAATCAGAGATACTGTGACTGGCAAAAATCAGAGTGTGTGATTGCACGGAGGAACACAGACAGGCTGGAGCCAGGCACAGGCTGTGGGTCTGAGCATCAGAGAGGGAAAACCCAAGCTAATTGTTAAAGTGCATTTGCTTTAGTTATTTGTCCACTAATTTGTGTCATAATAATGAATATTAAAATACCTTTCCATAATAACTAAAGCAAATTAATTTCCCTGTAATTTAATTACAGCAACATTGTCTTCCAGTGTGCATCTGCAGTATAGATGCAGTCATTTTCAAGCATGTGGAGGAGTAGGGGAGAAAGAAAAATGTTGAGTTTTCTTACCTTTGAATTTGAACTGGAAGAGATATTAGTGGTCACCTAGTTCAACTTCATTTTCCTACAGATGACGAAACCAAAGAGTCTCAGTTGAGTGGAAGAGGAAGCATGGGATGCTTCTGCCTTCTCAACTGTAACACTGTCCTATTTATATATGTATGCATTTTGACTTTAACGAGGTAAAATTCACAAAACATAAAATTTACGATTTTATAATGAACAATTCAGTGGCATTTACTACATTCGCGATGTTATGAAACCACCACCTCTCTCTAGTTCCAAAACATTTTCACCACCCCAAAAGAAAACTGTGCCTATTAAGCAGTTATTCCCCATTGCCTCCTCTCCCAAGCCCCTAGCAACCATCAATCTGCCTTCTCTATGGATTTGCCCATTCTAGATATTTCCTAATAATGGAATCATATAACCTGTGACCTTTTGTGACTGGCTTCTTTCACTTAGCATGATGTTTTGTACCATTTACCAAGATTTTATTTCTTTTTATGGCTGAATGATAATTCCACTACGTAGATATACCACAATTTGTTTATCCAGTCATCCACTGATGAGTATTTGGGTTGTTTCCACTTTTTGGCTATTATAATAGTGCTGTTATTAACATGCATGCATAAGTATGTTGAGTACCTGTTTTCAATTCTTTGGAGAATAGACCTAGGCATACAGTTTTGGGGGCATATGGTAATTTTATAACTCTTTCTTTTTTTTTTTTTTTTTTTTTGAGATGGAGTTTTGCCCTTGTCGCCTAGGCTACAGTGCAATGGCGCAATCTCGGCTCGCTGCAACCTCGACCTCCCGGATTCAAGCGATTCTCCTGCCTCAGCCTCCCAAGTAACTGGGATTACAGGCACCTACCACCACACCCAGCCAATTGTTTGTTTGTTTGTTTGTTTGTTTTGAGACAGAGTTTCGCTCTTGTCACCCAGGCTAGAGTGCAATGGCACCATCTCGGCTCACCGCAACCTCCGCCTCCTGCGTTCAAGCGATTCTTCTGCCTCAGCCTCCCAAGTAGCTGGGATTACAGGTGCCCGCCACCATGCCCACCTAATTTTTGTATTTTTAGTAGAGATGGGGTTTCACCACGTTGGCTAGACTGGTCTCAAACTCCTGACCTCAAGTGATCCACCCGCCTTGGCCTCTCAAAGTGCTGGGATTACAGGCATGAGCTACTGCGCCCGGCCTATGTTTAACTTTTTGGAAAACCACCAAACTGTTTTCCACAATAGGTGTACCATTTTACATTTCCAACAGAAATATGGGAAGGTTCCATCGTGTCCTTTTTTATTTCTGATGAAAAATGTCTACATGTCTTCTTTTCCATCAAAGTACTGCCATACCTGAGGTTCTCTTCCTCCTAGCTGGTATCTGAATATTTTGTGTGTGTGTTTTTACCATCCTATATCATCAGAAGGTTTATCATTATTTTGCATGACTTCACTGTGAGCAAAGGCAACCTTATTTATTGATCCATTAAACATTTTTGCAACACTTAGTACTGTGCTAAAAGTTTACAAACATTACTTCAATTAATTCTTATAACACCACCAGGAAATCGGTACTATTCTTCTTCTCCATTATGAAGATGACAAAAGTGAGAAATAAAGAGGCTAAGGAACTTGCCCAAGGTCACTCTGCAAGAGAATAACAATGTAGGACAAAATTTGAGAGATTCAAATGTAGTAACATGGGGGTGTGGAGGGAGAATCATTTTGAGCCAAGTGTCTGGCATGAAACTGTTTCTGCCCTTAAGTACTCTTTTTCTTGTTGTAACTCTAGTTAGAACACTTTCACCTGTAATGACTATTTTAATTATTGGTTTCTTTACTGATATTTGGTGCAGAAGGGAGATAAGCAAAACTTCCCATAAATTATTTAGTACACTACATTAAGAGTCATTTTCCAAACTACAAATTAGGTTTTGCTCTTTGCTCCATTCCAATTATGGCCAAGGATTTCCAGGGATCAACATAAATTCAGTGATGCACAGGTCTGTGGAGAACAGTTGGGAATAAGCTGCCCCTCAATTGCTGGAGTGTGTGTTCCACCCCTCGGGATGCAGGAATGAATTTATTTTAGTGGAGCTGATGAAGTAAGAAGAAGCTTATGAAGTAAATTTATGGTCTGGAGCTCACTGGTATAAAGTGGGTTTAGAAAAGGAAGGATCTGATTATGTCCCTCTCTCTCTGAGGAGTTGAGCTATCCTACCCCTTCTCAGCTCTAAAAGGATGGCAAAGAAAGTTACTTTCTCTATCAGTTCTTGTTTCTCAGCACGTAGACAAGTTTCAGCCTCTCTCATCTGCTCTTTGATCATTCTGGCCATGTGCAGATTCTGGGAAGTGTGACATTATCAGGAATGTTCTTTAATATTTTCCAACTCAGCTCTCATTTAAGCCGAAAATGTCTAAAAAGCCTTTGCATAGATCATAAAAAGTGTCAAATTGTGTCTATGAACAGTGTTCATTGCATCTTTTTTGGAGTAAACTTTTTATTTTAGAATACTTTTAGACTTACTGGCAAGTCGGGAAGGTGGATACACAGAGTGCCTCTATACCCCACACCCAGTTTCCCCTGTTGTTACCATCTGACATTAGTATAGTACATGTGTCCTAATTTACGAACCAATACTGATGCATTATTAACTAAAGTCCTGATTTTGTTCAGATTTGTTTTTTACCTAGTGGCCTTTTTCTTTTCCTGGATCCTGTTGAAGTTTGCAGAGGTAGAAGTAAGTCTGTAGGGTTTTTAGGGAAGTTTATACCAAATCAGTCTTCTTAGCCCTTTAGGCCTACAGAAACGGTTCTCGAGATCCCCAGGGTCCAAATGAATGGTTACCTACAGAACGTGCCTTCTTCCCTTCCTCAACAGTATATGTCAGTGGCTGAAGGTCGCTGGCACCGTTGCTGTGAGGCCCTCTTTCTACAGCCAGGGGTCTCTGGGGTTCAGGTAGCTGATCCCAATCTTTCCTGCTCCTGGCCTGGAAGTGGGAGTAGGTAGTGCTAGGCTCCACTGGCCCTAGACTTTCCAGTTCCGACAGACCTCTCTGCTTCTGTTCATATATTTACCTTCTCCCTCCCTCCAGAGAAAGAACCTGATTGCTCTAAGGCAGTGGGTCTCAAACTCTACTGGCCATTAGAATCACCTGGCAAGCTTGTTAAAACACAAAGTGCTATGCCTTACCCCTAGAGTTTCTGATTCAGTAGGTCTGGGATGGGGCCTGATAATTTGCATTTCTGACAAGTTTCCAGGAGCTGCTTCTGCTGGCCTCAGACCACATTTTGAGAACCACCATTCCAAGCCAATCAGTTTATGGCATTACCCTGCTAACTGTTAGTGGTCTAGAGGTGGGCAGGTGACCTGCACCAGCCAAATCTGGTGGTTGAAAGCCCTGGTTGTACCGTAGAATCACTTGGGAGCTTCTGAAAAATGACTCTCAGCTGGGCCCCACCCCAGATTAATAAATTAATATTTTTGAAGATAAAGCCTTAGGTATCTGCAGTTTGAAAAGAAAAAATAATGCTACATAATACGTTATTAAATAAACAAAATAAAAATAAAATAATAGCAATAAACAAATACAGTCATGCCTTACTTAACAAAGGGGATACGTTTGGAGAAATGCATCACTAAGCAATTTCCTTGTTGAGAACATCATAGAGTGCACTTACACAAACCTAGATGACATAGCCCACTATACCCCAGGCTCTGTGGTATGGCCTATAGCTCCTAGCCTACCAACCTGTACAACATATTACTGTAATGAATACTGTAGGCAACTGTAACACGATAGTATTTGTGTATCTAAACATCTCTAAACAGAGAAAAGGTACAGTTACAATACAGTACTGTATTATAATCTTATGGGACCACCATCCTACATGTGGTTCATTGTTGACCAAAATGTCATTATGCAGAGCATGACTGTAATGAATACAGCTCTAGCACTTTGGTGACTTCAATGTGCAACAGTACTGAGAACTACTGGCCTGCTTGAACTGAAGAGAATTGATATTAAAGGGAGAGGTCTCTCTCTTTCTTTCTCTTTCTTGCTGCACATGAAGAAAGGAAACAGGCAGCCCAGTGGCCTCTGGCAGCCGTCACATCCCCATGAAGGGAGCCAGTCTCAGGATGCAGCCGACATGGAGGAAGGCAGAGCAGAGTACTGAAAGAACTTGGGACCTTGGTGACATTACTGAGCTGCCTTATCTTACTGTCCCTGGAGCCTGTCCTACCTCTGGACTTCCAGTTATGTGAGATAATACATTTCCTTATTTGTAAAGCCAAATTAAGTCACAGCTTTCAGCTACTAGCAATCAAAAGCATTCTAACAGATAACACGAAAGAAATCTGTGGTCATCCCATAGCCATAATGAACAGTCCCTACCCTTAAAGACACTTTGCCTGGGTGTCTTGCGTTCTGCACATTCCGGAGGACCAGCTTCCTCATCAGAAGTCTGACTCCATGGAAACCAGATGGGGCAACGGGGTGGTTCTAGTGCAGACTGTAGCTGCAGCTCCTCTCCACCTCTAGCCTGCTCATTTCCAGCTCAGAAATTCTACTAATGGCGTTTTTTCTTCCTGAAAAAGGAAATGAACAGGGTAAGACCTGACATTTTACCTTATAGTTAAAATCAATAGTTTTCTTCTTTTACCTAAGCAAACAATCACATAATAGTCAATTTGGAGGTTACAATTGTATTATTCACAAATGGTTTCCTTAAATTGCAAATTTGTCTTCAGACAATGCCTTTCTTAATATTTATAATAGGAAAATGTTTGTAGAACATAAATAACACTGGAAGCTAGTTGGAACAAAGTAAATGTCCAGCCAATGTTTTATTGTATGCATCTAGTATAATGGGTTATGAGATGGAATATAAAGTAAGAGTCCGTGTGTGTGAGACAGAGAGAGAGACGTGCCAAGATGTTATTAATGGTTGTTTCTGAGTAAGTGGGAATATGGACCTTCTTATGTTCTGTTGTTTGTGTTTCTAATATTTTTCTAATGGGCACATATTGCTTTTGTTGAAAGAAAGAAAAAGAACTTTTTTAAGGATATGAGATTGTTTTGCCACTTAAAAATAATCTTTCACTCCTCCATGGGCTGGCCATTGGCTTGTTTGAGCTAAGTACCATTCCCAGCATCCTGCGCACTGCTTTGCTTGAGGTGGCTGAAATCCTGTGAACTACATTTCCCAGATTCCCTTGCCAGCTGGCCCACTTAGATGCTCCAATGGGAAGCACTGGTGGGAAGCTGCATGAAATGAGAGACCCATTTTTCTTGTTGTTGTTGTTGTTGTTTTGTTTTGTTCTTTGTTTTTAGGCTCTGGCAAGGGGTGCCGCAGTGACTTGCAGCTGCAGGGGCTCCAGTAGCCTTTAGCAGTTCCAGCAACCGCATCGGTGTCAGGCAGTGGCCAGCTCCAGCAGCATCAGCAGCTTCCTGCACTGTCAGATGCCAGACACTCCTGGGCTCTGATAACATCACCCCCTCCCTGGTATTCCTCCTGCCTTTCAAGTGGTAGTGATTTCCTGCAGATACTTATCTCTAGGTTAGCACATCTTCCCCTTTTGGTTCCTCCAAATTTCCCAACACTGCTAAGACTGATTTCTTATGTTAAATTCCTTCTATTTAAAAATACTAGAATGAGGCCGGGCGTGGTGGCTCATGCCTGTAATCTCAGCACTTTGGGAGGCCGAGGCGGGCAGATCACGTGAGGTCAGGAGTTTGAGACCAGCCTGGCCAACATGGTGAAACCCTGTCTCGGCCGGGCGCGGTGGCTCATGCCTGTAATCCCAGCACTTTGGGAGGCTGAGGTGGGCGGATCACGAGGTCATGAGATCGAGACCATCCTGGCTAACACGGTGAAACCCCGTCTCCACTGAAAACACACACACAAAAATTCTCCGGGCGTGGTGGCGGGCGCCTGTAGTCCCAGCTACTCCGGAGGCTGAGGCAGGAGAATGGCGTGAGCCCGGGAAGCGGAGCTTGCAGTGAGCTGAGATCGCACCACTGCACTCCAGCCTGGGCGACAGAGCAAGACTCCGTCTCAAAAAACAAACAAACAAAAAGAAACCCTGTCTCTACTAAAAATACAAAAATTAGCCGGGCATGGTGGCCCATGCCTGTAATCCCAGCTACTTGAGAGGCTGAGGTAGGAGACTCTCTTGAACCCAGGAGGCAGAGGTTGCAGCGAGCTGAGATCGTGCCATTGCACTCCAGCCTGGGCAACAAGAGCAAAACTCCATCTCAAAACAAAACAAAAGACATACTAGAATGATGTCTGTTTTCCCAACTGGACACTAACTGATATGCTCTCATATCCTCAATTTCTACATCAAAGTCACGAGCAAATCTTGTCAGTTCTACTGCCAAATTTAACTCCAACCTCTCCTCTTCCTCTTCTGTCCACAGCTATCACCAGTTCTGATCACCATCATTTCTCACTGCAACAGCCTTCTCTCAGATATCCCTACTTCTGCAGTTGCACCACGTCAATCCATTCTCTACATGGAAGCCACAGCCTTCTTCCTACAGGTTGGTGCAAAAGTAATTGCTGTTTTTGCCATTGAAAGTAATGGCGGCCGGGCGCGGTGGCTCACGCCTGTAATCCCAGCACTTTGGGAGGCCGAGGCGGGCGGATCCTGAGGTCAGGAGATCGAGACCATCCTGGCTAACACGGTGAAACCCTGTCTCTACTAAAAATACCAAAAAAATTAGCTGGGCGTGGTGGCGGGTACCTGTAGTCCCAGCTACTCAGGAAGCTGAGACAGGAGAATGGCGTGAACCCGGGAGGCGGAGGTTGCAGTGAGCCAAGATCGTGCCACTGCACTCCAGCCTGGGCGACAGAGCAAGACTCTGTCTCAAAAAAAAAAAAAGAAAAGAAAAGAAAAGAAAAAAAGAAAGTAATGGCAAAAACAGCAACTACTTTTGCACCAACCTAATAGGATGTCAGCATTGTCCATCTCAGCTCCTTGTTTATTTCCTACATAGTCCCTACTAAAACTTGACATTTTTGTTTGTCTGTTTGTTTAAATGGGTGTTTTATGTCTCTCTCCCATAGGAGTATGAGGGCAGGGACCTGTTCACCACAGTATTTCCAGTGCCCAGCACAGTGCCTGACACAAATCAGCTGTTCACTATATGCTAAATGAATACTCTGCATATTTAACTGTTTCCATATTCATGCATAGAAATGAAGAAAATTTGATTTAATTTCAGTAAAGTCTGTACTGTTAGATGCTTCGATTGCTGTGTTTCTCTAGAGAATAAGCCACAGGTTAATTAAAATCTTAAAAAGCAGGAATAAAAAAATAAACATTTTTGGAAAATAGACCAAGTGGATAAAAGATAAATAAAAAGCTGAAAACATTTTCTGAAGATGTCATAGCAAAATTTTCTACCAAGTCTAATTTGGCATAAATCCAAATTCTTCTGTTGACAAATTTGCTTTGACCTAAATTGATTTAACTCTATTAGCTAAAGTTGATGCAGTTCTCTAAACCGGTTTCTAAGTCACTTTTAAGGCTCTGTGAAGGACAACCAGAGATTTTCACTTACAATCAGATCAAGTTCTAGAAGCAGTTTTAGCTGTTGCTTTCTTCAGTTAGGCATCTGTTCCATTCATTCAGACAACAAATGTTTTCTTTCATTCTTTCCGTGTGCCAGGCACCGTACTCAGTGCCAGATGCACACACAAAGAAGACAGACAAGATCCCTGTGCTTCTGAGGACCACATGCAAAAGAAAGACAATAAACAAGGAAGTACATGAATGAGCACAACAATTTCAAGTTGTGATTGAATGCTGTGAGAAAGTGAAACAGCTAAATGCAATAGGTGTGGAGGGGTACCACCAAGTCTGTAGTGGGAGAAACTGCCTGAGAAGGCAACACTTGCCATGAGGCCAGAGTTACCAGGAGGAGCCAGCAGGGCCACGTTGAGACTTTAAAGGTCTTACATGCACATGAATGTTCATTGCAACACTATTCACAACAGCAAGGACATGGAATCAACCTAATTGCCCATCAATGACAGATTGGATAAAGAAAATGTGGTACCTATATACCATGGAATACTATGCAGCCATAAAAAAGAACAAGATCATGTATTTTGTGGGAACGTGGTTGGAGCTGAAGGCTATTATCCTTAGCAAACTAATGCAGCAACAGGAAACGAAATACCACATGTTCTCACTTATAAGTGGGAGCTAAATGATAAGAACTTACGAACACAAGAAGGAAACAACAGACACGGGTCTACTTGATGGGGGAGTGTGGGAGAAGGGAGAGGAGGAGAAAAGATAACTATTGGGTACTGGGCTTAATACCTGGGCGAGGACATAATATGTACAACAAATTCCTGTGACATGTGTTTACCTATGTAAAAAAACTTTCACATGTACCTCTAAACCTAAAATAAAAGTGTAAAACAATTATTTTTAAAGAGAGACTTTAGAGGTCTTAAACATGGTGATATTATAGTGTCTTCTCTCTCTTCTAACTCAAGTAATTAAAAATAAAAATAATCAACCAAGCCTTAAAATAAATGCAAACAGCTGTGCGTGGTGGCTCACACCTGTACTCCCAGCACTTTGGGAGGCCGAGGCTGGTGGATCATTTGAGGTCAGGAGTTTAAGACCAGGCTGGCCAACATGGTGAAACCCCATCTCTACTAAAAATACAAAAATTAGCCAGGCACAGTGGTGTAGCAGGACAACCCGCAGACAAAACTCCTCAGACACCAAGTTAAAGAAGGAAGGCGTTTATTGGGCCGGGGCTCAAGAGCCGAGTTCTCCGAGTGAGCAATTCCTGTCCCTTTTAAGGGCTCACAACTCTAAGGGGGTGCACGTGAGAGGGTCATGATCGATTGAGCAAGCAGGGAGTACGTGACTGGGGGATGCATGCACTGGTAATTGGATCGGAACAAAACAAGATAGGGATTTTCACAGTGCTTTTCTATACAATGTCTGTAATCTATAGATAACCAATTAGGTCAGGGGTCGATCTTTAACTACCAGGCCCAGGGTGTGGCACCGGGCTGTCTGCTTGTGGATTTCATTTCTGCATTTTAGTTTTTACTTTTTCTTTCTTTGGAGGCAGAAATTGGGCATAAGACAAAATGAGGGGTGGTCTCCTCCTTTAGTGGTGTGCCCCTGTAATCCCAATTACTCAGGAGGCTGAGGCAGGAGAATCGCTTGAGCCTGGGAGGCAGAGGTTGTAGTGAGCCAAGATCGCACCACTGCACTCCAGTCTGGGTGACAGAGTGAGACCCTATTTCAAAAAAAGAAAAAAAAAAAATTTCAAACAAGGTCAACACAATTCTGCTTTCTTCCCAATGGCAACTACTTGAATACTTTTATGATAATATCTAAAAACTCTTCTAAAATTATTTTCTTGTTTTAGGTCCCTGCTGATTCTCCAAATATGTGTCTAATCTGTTTACTGAGTTCCATAGCACTTGGAGCCATCCATGCAAAAATCTGTAGAAGAGCATTCCAGGAAGAGGGAAGAGCAAATGCAAAGACGGGCGTGAGAGCTTGGTGCATACAGCCATGGGCCAAATAAAGTTTCCTTGGAATAGCCATGCCTGTTCTTTCACATGTCATCTGTGGCTACTTTCACACTTGCATGACCCTGAGAGTGACTGATTGCCTTAAACTTTGTTTCTTTTATGGCCTCACTAGTGTAGCCAATCGCTGCCGCACAACAGCACAGCAGACACGGTATCAGGCAAAACCTAAAATATGTGGTCCATTACAGAAAAAATTTGCTGACCCCTGGGCTTGCTTATTTGTTTATTTATGAAGTGAGATTAGGAGCCATTGGAGACTTTTTAGCTGTGGAGGATGCAGGACTTCATTTTTATTGTTTAAAAGGTGGCGTTGGCCGTGGTGTAGAGAATGGATTTGGGGGTAAGGCACCACAGAGGCAAAGAGAACAGGATGATGCTTTGGTGCTAGCTGCTGGGGCTTGGAGTTGGGTGAGAGCTGTAAGCATCAAATCTTCTGAAGGGATCAACCCTCATGTAGTTACAACACGGGCTCATTTTTCTCTTGAAAGGGCTCTAAGAGTCCTTCACACAGTGTCCATCCAGCTCTTCTCAGTAGAGGGCTCACTCCCACAGGACTGCTGCCACTTTGCAAGCAATTGGTTGTCACCTATACTTCTGATCAACTGGCTATAAACCGGGGTTCCCACCACCCACTCCTCCAGTTTGATTAATTTGCTAGGATGGCTCACAGAACTCAATGAAGCACATTTCGTGAATAGCCAGATGAAGAGGTGGATGGGGCAGGGTATGGGGGAGGTGCTACCGAGCTCCCAAGTGCTCTCCAGGAACACCACCCTCCCAGCACCTATGCATGTTCAGTGACCCGGAAGCTCACTGAGGATTGTTCAAGAGTTTTTACAGAGCTTAATCTCTATCGCCCCTCTCCCTTTCCTGGAAGCTGGAGGGTGGGGCTGAAATATCCTACTCTCTAATCCTCTCCACACTTGGTCTTTCTGGTGACTGGCCCCACCCTGACTTATCTCATCAGCATAAACTCAGGTATGATCAAAAGGGGCCCATTATGAATAACAAAAGATGCTCTTATCACTCAAGAAATTCCAAGGGTTTTAGGAGCCTATAGCAGGTACTGGGGACAAGGATCAAATATATATACTTTTTCTTTTTACTTGGTATAATTAAGCAACTTTTATTTGGTGTTCTGTAAGAATTTATTTCTTATTATGCCACAAATACCTTTTGAGTCTTCCCATTGATTAGCCCTCTTATTTTAGAGGCCTTTGACAGTGTTTCTGCCAACTTTAGGCCTTAGGAAAAGCCTCTGAAACTTAAACTTTGGTATCCCATTCAGGTACCAGATGTCTTGAAAAGCCCCCTAGAGCCTCTGTAAGCCCTCAGAGCCACAAGGAACACACCATGGCTGCTGGTATTCATTCTTCAGCTTCTCATGGTGACAAGCTGGTGAAAACCCTGGGGAGCTAAGAGTGGGGGACTGGTGCTGAGACTACTCCTTGCCACCCCAACCTCACCCCAACCCACACTATGCCCCTGTTCCAAGGTCCTCATGGCAGGGCACACAGCCTTCTGGGCTTGGCAGATGCACCTACCCGTGTGGGCTTCCCTGCTCGAGCTCTGAGTCCTGATGTGAGGCAGGCATGTGCCCCTTTAGTGTGATCCCCAGCAACGCAGCCTCTTTTCTCTAACTTGAGTCAGCCGCCTTTCTGGTAGCTGGCACCTCATTCTGCCTCTACTTTTTTCTGCCAGTACAGTTGGCCCTCCATACCTGCGGGTTCCACATCCTCAGATTCGGCTGATCACAGATCAAAAATGTAGTTACACCTGCAATGGTTGCTTCTGTCCTGAACATATGCAGGCTTTTTTCTTGTCATCATTCCCAAAACAATACAACAACTATATACGTAATCTACAGGTGACTTAAAGTACACAGGAGGATGTACTTAGGTTATGTGAACCCACAAGTATCTGAGACAGGTCTCAATCAATTTAGAAAATTTACTTTGCCAAGGTTAAAGACACGCCCGTGACAGCCTCAGGAGGTCCTGAAGTCATGTGCCCAAGGTGGTTGGGGCACAGCTTGATTGTATACATTTTAGGAAGACATGAGCCATCAATCGGTACGTGTAAGATGTACATTGGTCCAGTCTAAAAAGATGGGACATCTCAAAGTGAGGGCTTCTAGGTCATAGGTAGATTAGGGACAAAAGGTTGCACTCTTTCGAGTTTTTGATCAGCTTTTCACTGAATACGCAATTTACATGTGAGAGTGGGGTGGCGGAATAGTCACTTATGGCTTAGTCTGGCTCAGTGAATCTGCATTTTTACATAAACAATAGGGAGGAGGAAGCAATCAGATATGCAGATATCGGGTGAGCAGAGAAATGACTTTTTAGTTCTGTCGGTTGTCTGTACCTGTTAAGATAAGTTATCAGTTTACATTGCCAGGGCAAAATTCAACAGAACCATTTTAGGGCAAAGAACTTGACGTCCACAAGGAATTTCCTTGTGAAGAAATTGTGAGGGAGGTGTGTAGCTTTTTATCTTTGTGGCTATCTTATTTAGGAATAAAATGAGAGGCAGGTTTGCCTGACTTCATTTGGCTTAGTGATTCTGGAGTCCTGAGATATGTTTTCCTTTCACAGTTATATGGAAATCCTACATGATCTTATATCAGGGTGTATTAGTCCATTCTCAAGCTGCAATAAAGAAATACCCGAGGCTGCGTAATTTGTAAAGAAAAGAAGTTTAGGCAGGCATGATGGCTCACACCTGTGATCCCAGCACTTTGGGAGGCCAAGGATGGCAGATCACCTGAGGTCAGGAGTTCAAGACAAGCCTGGCCAACATAGTGAAACCCCGTCTCTACCAAAAATACAAAAATTAGCCAGGTGTGGTGGCACATGCCTGTAGTCCCAGCTTCTAGGGAGGCTGAGGTAGGAGAATTGCTTGAACGGTGCGGGAAGAGGTTGCAGTGAGCTGAGATCGCTCCGCAGCACTCTGGCCTGGGCGACAGACTGAGACTCCCTCTCAAAAAAAAAAAAAAAAGAAAAAAGAAAGAAAGAAAGAAAAAGAAAAGAGGTTTAATTGACTCACAGTTCCACATGCCTGGGGAGGGATCACGAAATTTAAAATCATGGCAGAAGACAGCCCTTCACAGGGTGGCAGGAGACAAAATGAGTGCCAGCAGGGGAAATGCCAGACCTTTCTAAAACCGTCAGATCTCATGAGAAATCACTCACTATCACAAGAAAACGGCATGGGGAAAACCACCCCATGAATCACTTACCTCCCACTGGGTCCCTCTTACATTATGTGAAGATAATGGGGATTACAATTCAAGATGAAATTTGGGTGGGGACACAGCCATACCATATCACAGGGACTTGCGGATCCTCAGAGTTTGGTATCTGTAGGGGTCCTGGAAGCAATACCCCACAGATGCAGAGGGAAAAACGATTGGGAAAAAAAGTGGAGGGGGCTGCAGAGGGTAATGGAGGTTGCAGGGTCTGACAAAATTCCTTGACTGATCAGGAGTGGCTGGTTTCTGCCATATTTCTTTTGTTTATGCTCAATATAACTATATTCAAGGTTGAATTCAATTTTAAAGAAATAAGCCGCTTTCTCCCAAATCATTGTGGATTTGAATTGGAATCTTTAACGTGGGCACCCCCTGAAGGTGCCTTCACTTTATAAGTCTGAAGGCAAATCAGATGAAGGCAGAGCCTCAGAGGCACCACAAAATCATATTAATCACAAAACTCATATAAAATATTTTTAGCTATTTTTACTCATTAAAGAGAAGTCAGGAAGGGGAAGGAAGGAAGGAAGGGAAGCAAGCAGGCAGGAAGGAAAGAAGGAAGGGAGGGGGAAGAACGAAGGAAGGACTAAAACAAGGGTAGCCTAAAGCTGTCTCCTTACATATTTAAGTTCAGCCTAAAGGTTTTTCTGTATGTCATAAACTATACCAAGAAGAGGTGTAAACAGACTGTAGCCTACACTTGGGCCAATCACCGAGTTTTGGCCAATCAAATGTAACCAACTGCTCTGACCGTGTTCAAAAAAGGCAAACACTGAGCTGTAACCAATTCAGCTGTTTCTGTTCTGTACCTCACCTCCATTTTCTGTATGTCACTTTCCTTTTTTTGTCCACAAATCTTCTTCTACCACGTGGCTGTGCTGGAGTCTCTGAGCCTATTCTGGCTCAGAAGGCTTCCCGATTTGTAAATCATTCAGTGCTCAATTAAACTCCTTTAAATTTCATTTGGCTGAAGTTTGTTTTGTCTTGTTTTGTTTTGAGATGGAGTCTTGCTCTGTTGCCCAGGCTGGAGTGCAGTAGCGTGATCTTGGCTCACCGCAACCTCCACCTCCCAGGTTCAAGCAATTCTCCTGCCTCAGCCTCCTGAGTAGCTGGGATTACAGGCACATGCCACCACACCCAGCTAATTTTTGTATTTTTAGTAGAGATGGGGTTTCACCATGTCGGCCAGGCTAGTCTGGAACTCCTGGCTTCGGGTGATCCACCCGCCTTGGCCCCAGAAACTGCTGGGATTACAGGAGTGAGCCGTTGCACCTGGGCAAACTCAGCTGAAGTTTTTCTTTCATCAGAAGGAAGGAAAGAAGGAAGGAAGGAAAATTAGAAAAGTAAATGGAATCATGTCTTACTAAACACAGTGGCACTACTCTTAAGCCTGCCTCTCCATTTTCCAAATGTTCCATGGCTCACCTCCCTTGCTTTAAAAAAAAAAAAAGTGGTTAAAAAACCCCGCATAACTTCACTTCTTGATTTATGTGACTGTGATGCTTCCTGCTAGCCTGGTTTACTCCCCATTTGGCCTCCTCAAAATTTCTCCAAACCCTCCCAGCAGCAGCATCAATTTTGTCTGACAACTGGCAAAAAGGAAACACATAAAAAGTGAATACTCAGGCAATTTTTAAAAGATGAGAACTGTTTAGAGGCTGCTTGCCTCCAAGAAGACTGAGGAGCTTAGAGAATGATCTGGGAATGTCTTCAGTGTATTGCTATCTTCTTGATAAACGTGAGATGAAGAAGGGTAGCTGCATTTCAAATTAGAGATCAGAAAACCCAGGAAGAGGAAACGACTCTGGAGTTAGGATCCACCAGTCTGAGCTCCTTAGGGGCACTTCAAGGGCTGGACGAACTAGGCTAATAAAGGCAGGGAGTTGTGATTAAATGGATGAAGGACACCTGAACTTTGCCTGCAGCATTTAGTCTTCATGTGAAAGTGAGAGTGGTTTTGGAGCCTTAAGGAGAACAGGGTGGAGGGCTATGCAGGGTTGGGGACTCATGCATTGAACAGAGAAGTGGTGGATTTCAAAGTGGTGGAGCACATCATAATCACCTGTGGCACGTTTTTCAAACTCTCAGTTTTGTTCCATCCCTGTTCTCTATTGCACCCCACTGCCCATGTTCTCTTTTTTAGTTTTAGGTAAACAGTTTAGTTTTCCTCAGAAAACTAAAAATAGTACTACCATATCCCCCTCCTATCACTGTGCAATGGAGCCTGTGTTACTCACAGGAGATTATCTATCTCCCAGTTGTGTTAAGGTTAGGAGTGTATCCAAGCTTTGTGGGTACGGAAACTGATACAATTTTAGGGAGCCTCTTTAAGAAAATAAATACAATTTCTATAAAAATTACAAAACATTGATGTGAGAAATTAAAGAGGACACACAGAAATGAAGAAATTTCATGTTCATGGATTGGAAGAATCAATATGATTAAAATGTTCATACTACCCAAAGCAATCTAGACATTACAATCCCTATCTAAATACAAATGGCATTCTTCACAGAAATAGAAAAAAAAAATCCTGAACTTGATATAGAACCACAAAAGATCCAGAATAGCCAAAGCTATCCTAAGCAAAAAGAACAAAACTGTTGAAATCACATTATCTGACTTCAAATTATATTACAGAACTATAGTAACCAAAACAGCATGGTACTGGCATAAAAACAGACACATAGACCAATGGAACAGAATAGAGAACACAGAAACAAATTCACACATCTACCATGAACTCATTTTCAACAAAGGTGCCAAGAACATACATTAGGGAAAAGACAGTCTCTTCAGTCAGCAGTGCTGAAAAACTGGATATCCATATGCTGAAGAATGACGCTAGCCCCCATCTCTCACCATATACAAAATCAAATCAAGATGGATTAAATAATTAAATCTAAGAATTTAAACTATGAAACTATTCAAAACAACATTGAAACTCTCCAAGACATTGGACTGAGTGAAGATTTCTTAAGTAATACCCCAGAAGCACAGGCAAACAAAGCAAAACTGGACAAATGGGATTACACCAAGTTAAAAAACTTCTGCACAGCAAAGGAAACAATCAAAAAAACAAAGAGACAACCCACAGAATGGGAGAAAATATTCGCAAACTATCCATCTGACAAGGGATTAATAACCAGAATATATAAGGCACTCAAATAACTCTATAGGGAAAAATCAAATAATCAGATTTAAAAATGGGAAAAAGATCTGAATAGACATTTCTCAAAAGAAGACATACAAATGGCAAACAGGTATACGAAAAGGTGCTCAACATCACTGATCATCAGAGAAATGCAAATCCAAACTACAATGAGATATTATCTCATCCCAGTTAGAATGGCTTTCATGCAAAAGGTAGACAATGATGAATGCTGGTGAAGATGTGGAGTAAAAGGAAACCTCGTACACTGTTGGTGGGAATGTAAATTAGAATAACCTCTATGGAGAACAGTTTGGAACCGTTTGTTTTTTTTTTTTAGTTTTAGTTAAACAGTTTATTTTTCCTCGGAAAACTAAAAATAGAACTACCATAGGCTCCAGCAATCCCATTGCTAGGTATATACCCAAAAGAAAGGAAATCAGTATATTGAAGGGATATCTACACCCCCAAATTTATTGAAGCACTATTCACAATAGCCAGGTTTGGAAGCAACCTAAGTGTCACCAACGGATGAATGGATAAAGCAAATGTGGTACATATACACAATGGAGTACTATTCAGCCATAAAGAATGAGAGCCCATCATTTGCAACAACATGTATGGAACTGGAACTCCTTATGTTAAGTGAAATAAGCCAGGCCCAGAATGACAAACTTTTTATGTTCTCACTTATTCGTGGGAGCTAAAAAAAAAAAAAATTAAAAAACAATTGAACTCATAGAGAGTAGAGTGGGGTAGGGAGAGTCAGAATGGTTAGTGAGTACAAAAACATAGTTAGATGAATGAACAAGAGCTAGTAATTTCATAGCACAACAGGGTGACTGCAGTCAACAGTAGCTTATTGTAGATTTAAAAATAGCTAAAAGACTACAATTGTTCGTAACACAAAGAAAGTATAAATGCTTGGGGTGATGGATACCCCATTTGCCCTGATGTTATTATTATACATTGTGTGACTATATCAAAATATCTTATGTACCCTGTAAATATATACATCTACATACTTAATGACTTCCAGTTCCATCCATGTTGTTGCAAATGATAGGATCTCATTCTTCTTTATGGCTGAATAGTACTCCATTGCGTACTATTTACCCACAAAAGTTAAAAACTTAAAAAAACTTTAAAAATTAAAATTTAAAGAGAAGATAAATACAAAATAGAGAATATAAATGCCTATAGTCAACATAAAACTCATTCAGAGCACTCCGGGGCCACATACAGATCTGCATCATTCATTTTAGTAATGGCGTGATGTTTCATTGTGTAAATACACTGTAATTTACTTGCCCACCCCCATTGATAGATCTGTATATTGTTTCCAGTCTCTTGCTATTATTCTCTATCCAAGGTTGCCATGAGTACTTTTGTACATATATCAATTCCCATACTTAGGAGCATATCTGAAAGGCAAATTGTAGAAGTGAAATCACTGGGTTAAAGGGTTTGCGCATTTCTAATTTTGGTAAATATTACTAAATCACTCTCTATAGAAATTGTTCCAGGTTATAGTCCCACCAGTATAATATGAGGGAATCTGTTTTCCACACCCTTGCTGATACAACGTTATTATCAATATTGTTTTATCTTTGTCACTTTGACAAGTTAAAAAAAATTATTTCTCTCTCCTTTTTTTTCACCATCAGTGAGTCTGAGCACTTTTTCACATATCTGAGCCGCATACGTAAGGTTCTTCTTGTTGTTATTGTTTTGATGATCCGTTCATATCCTTTGCCAGTTTTTTTTTCTATTGGGTTATTGAATTTTTTCTTACTGATTTGTAGAAATCCTTTATATTTTAGGGAATTTAGTCCTTTGCCTATTATGTGAGTTTCAAGTATTTTCCCCAGTCTTTTGTTGGTCTTTTGAGCTGGCTTATATGGCCTTTGCCATAAATATATTTTTTAAATGTCATTAAATTTAGCATTCCAGGAATGGGCTATTTTAGCTTTGGTGGTCAGTGAAGGCTCCTCTGAAAAGGTAGCATTTGAGTGAAAACCTAAATTTCATGCCACAGGCAGGAGACAAGTGCTGTAGTCAGGAGGCTCTGGGGCAAGAATGTGCTCGGTGTCTTTGGGGAACTGAAAGAAGCCCTGGAGAACACAATATACAATGGCACACCAGGAAGCAGCGAGTCACACCAGGCCCAGGTAGGGAGGTTTGGAAGCCAGGGACAGACATGGGCTAGCTTTTGGGCCCCAGAGAGAAACCAAAATCAATGGGGAAAAAAAAATGATGTGAAGGCAATTTTAGGTTCTATTTAACTATTAGACGAACATTCCAATAATTATCACAGTCCAGTGTGCAGCGGGCTCCAGGGGTATTTGTCAGCTGCTTTCCTGTCCCTGAAACTTCTCAGGCAGAAGTGTAAAACACAGCTGGGTGGAAACACTGTAGAGGAACTCAAGCGTTAGATGGGGGTTTGACTAGTTGACATTTATCTCCAGTCTAAGCTTAACAAGATTCTGAGATTTTCTGCGGTGTGTATGCCCCTGCATTTGTCTTTCCTTATGGTTTCTCTCATTTTCTCTTCTTTTTTTTTTTTTTTTTTGAGACGGAGTCTCGTTCTGTCGCGCAGGCTGGAGTGAGGTGGCGCGATCTCCGCTCACTCTAAGCTCCACCTCCTGGGTTCACGCCATTCTCCTGCCTCAGCCTCCGAGGTAGCTGGGACTACAGGCGCCCGCCACCACGCCCAGCTAAATTTTTGTATTTTTAGTAGAGACGGGGTTTCACCGTGTTAGCCAGGATGGTCTCAATCTCCCGACCTCGTGATCCCCCTGCCTCGGCCTCCCGAAGTGTTGGGATTACAGGCGTGAGCCACCGCGCCCGGCCCTCAATTTCTCGTCTTAAATATACTTTCTTTCTTTCTATTATCCTCCCTCGTGTGATAGTACTGCCAACGGTTTCTTCTTGGCTCCACCGATACCTCTAAAGGCCAAGTTTATACACTGTTTACATGGAAATATCTTTCTATTTTCAGTGACACCTGTTTATGTCTATGGCTTTCACATCTTGCACATACCTGACACAGGAACCTTCTTTGACCAGGAGTTTCTGAGGACAGGAACCACATCATTTCCCTCCTGTGTTGTATCCGGGTACAGAGAGACGGAGCCTCTGGGCGCTCAGTAATCAGGTGATGCTAATATGCATTCACAGGCTGTTTTTGCAAAATTGCTAATGACAGACAGTATGGTTTCCTCTCAACAGTTGAGATCTAGGAAAAGTGAGGGTAAAGAATGCCCTGAGGAATCAGGATAGGAAACTGAGTTGGAAGCCTTCCCTACAGATAAGTTAAAGCCACAGTTATGGATGGAATCACTAAGGCAGGTTGCAATACAGAGGGTACAAGGAGGCATGAAAATAAAGAAAACATCCATGAGATTTCTAGCATAGAAACACCTTAAAAACTGGGAGATGCCCAATAAAAAAACAAGTCCTAAAATGCTTTTTAAAAATCCACCCTGGATTTTGTGGGAGATGGGAGTTGTCCTGCCTCAAACACATTTAGTACAATTAGATATACAAACATAAAGAAGCCTACATTTTATGATTTGCTCACTGTTTATGTTTTACAATTTTTTGCATACACAAGCAAAGGAAAACATTAGCAAATGGGGAGGAGGGGTAAGCAGCCCAAAATAGCAATGAACAGGAGTTGATTTTATGCTTTTTAAAAAAATCTGAAAATCCATTCCACATGACAGCTAATTCATTTTACTCCTTGCTTACCATATATTCTTCTTATCAATGGGTACATTAAAAAACAACTACAAAATTGTTATTATAGAACAAGGTCAAACAAAAAGAAAAAAATACAGAACATAGTGAATATTTCCTGTGTAAATCCTGAATTTAGAGTATGAAAAGCCAGTAGAGATTTGACTTATGCTAGGCCCTTGAAAAAGTTTCTACTTTCTTTCTCTTTTCTTTTCTTTTCTTTTTTTTTTTTTTTTTTTTTTTTTTTTTTTTTTTTTTGAGACAGAGTTTTGCTCGTTGCCCAGGCTGGAGTGCAATGGCACAATCTCGGCTCACTGCAACCTCTGCCTCCTGGGTTCAAGTGATTCTCCTGCCTCAGCCTCCCAAGTAGCTGGGATTACAGGGATGCGCCACCACACCTGGCTAAATTTTTTTTGTATTTTTAGTAGAGACAGGGTAACCACTCCATGTTGGTCAGGCTGGTCTCGAACTCCTGACCTTAGGTGATCCACACGCCTCAGCCTCCCAAAGTGCTGGGATTACAGGTGTGAGCCACTGCACCCAGCCAAAACTTTCTACTTTTCTGCTTTCTGAGGCTTTGAATTTAAAACTTTTTTTATTCACTATTTGCCAACAGGACCCCAGTTCTGACTGTCAGTTGGTGAGTGTGTGAGACTTGGAGCAAATCACTTCCCCTCTCTGGGTCTCGGGATCCTCTCCTACTGAAGGACACAGGATTTTACAGATTCTCCCAGACACTGTCTCCTATGGTTCTATGAAAACTTTACTTTCCACTGCCTTTTCTCATTCGTTTTATGGTCTAGGAAAGAGCTGCTGAATTTTCAAGCAATGCTAGGATTCTGTAGAAGGAGATACATCTGGTCTGCTGGTGCTTTTCTTAAAGTAATATACATATGTTCTGTCCATAAAACATCCTAGCAGTGTCTTTCTGCACCTTCTCCTAGAAGTCTGCACAACTTCTGTCTCTGTGATAAGATCACACAACTCCAGAAGCATAAGTCATTTATGTTGTGAACCAAAAGGCCATGGCTTGATTTTATTTTCAATCTAATCTAGCCTGATCATAAACGAATCATTTGGAGCAACTAGATTTTGAGTTGCTCCAAATGTTTTTTAGTTTACAATTGTTTTTATTTGTTCTTTGACCATGGTAATAATAAACAGTAAACCATTCACAGAACCTACATTTGTGTAACTTATGTGGTGCATGTCCATTTGATGAACCTTGATACTTAGGAAATGTGGAATCCCATAAGAGCAGGTTTCCTCAAGGCAAACCACTCATGAAAAGAGTCAGAAGTTTGTGTCTAATTCCTGTTTTAGAAATGTTATAAACTTGCAAATTTATTTTCCATTTGATTCAATCTGCCATCTCTAAATCTTTAGGGAGAATTACAGAAACGGAGATAAAATCTTGGTAATTTATTCAATTTTATCACTTCTACTGATCCCATAAAAAGACTCCATCTGTCAAATTATCTTTTCTTAAAAAAAAAAAAAACCTTTTCATAATTTTCTTCATATGGGTATGTTGAAATGAGTAGTTTAAGTATCTGTGTCATGAAAACTATTGACGTTCCAATAAAATCTGTTCTTTCTAAATTATCTGTTCTTTAGCCTCTTTTGAGAGGAAAACTTCAGCTTCTATCATTTGTTTGTAATTTGCTTGTGCAGCATAGGATTTATTGCTTTGGGTGAATATATTATGGCATATTTGAATAGTGTAGAATAAAATATTCTTATGTTAACATATTCTGTGATTTGGATCCCAATCCATAATCAGTACATCTTTCTTTTTAAAATTTCTGCCTTGGTTTTCTTGAAAGTCAAATTGTAAGAATAAATGGTAAGAATAAAAAGAAACCTAGTTGAATCATATCTTCGATCATATATTTTATTTGTTTTCTTTTTTTTTGAGACGGAGTCTCACTCTGTCGCCCAGATGACTGGAGTGCAGTGGCACGATCTCAGCTCACTGCAAGCTCCATCTCCTGGGTTCACACCATTTTCTCCAGCCTCAGCCTCCGAAGTAGCTGGGACTACAGGCTCCCGCCACCACGCCCAGCTAATTTTGTTTTTGTATTTTTAGTAGAGACGGGGTTTCACCGTGTTAGCCAGGATGGTCTCGATCTCCTGACCTCGTGATCCACCCGCCTCAGCCTCCCAAAGTGCTGGGATTCCAGGCGTGAGCCACTGCGCCCAGCAATATAATGTGAAGCTATTAAAAATGATGATGCGTGTTCTCACTTATAAGTGGGAGATAATCTTTGGTGCACACAGACATTAAAAAATGGGAACAACAGACACTTAGGGACTCCAAAAGGAGTGGCGCAAGGGCTGAAAAACTTCCCACTGGGTGCTGTGTTCACTATTTTGGTGACAGGATCAAATAGAAGCCCAAACCTCAGCATCACTAAATATACCCTTGCAACAAACCTGCACACGTGGAAAGCAGCACATTTCAATCCTGTTTTCATAAAACAAGTAAAATAAATACTGTATGAATCTGAAATTTCAAATGATGTATGCCGAGTGTAAATACTGGTACTTTTTTTGGGTGAACTATTTGAATTTCTATATTATCTTGGATATTATAGAAGTTCTTTTTATTTTTGGATACTTTTATTATCTGATTTTTAAATAATGCTGAAAAATACCTACTTAACAAAGGGTAGAGTCAAAGAGTTTTGAAGTAGAAGGGAAAGTAGAAGATTCCCTAATCCAAGTCCCCCGCCCCTCCTATCCCCTGCTACATCCAGTACTAGAATCCATTCTGAGGGTTTTTGACAGACTTATTTACTAAGGAACATCCAGACTTAATTAATAGGGAACACGCAGCTTTTCAAGTGTAACAATATAATACTGATGGCAGCAGAATTGTATTTAGGGAAAGAATATGGAATACTTTGTAGTACTGTAGGTATGGTAAGACCCCAAGAGCATGGGTGTAAACCAATGCTAAAGTGCTATGTAAGGGATAAGGAGAATAATGTGTGTTCTTTTGAACATATTTTTGCACCAACCACTATTTAGGTTGGTGCAAAAGCAATTCTGGTTTTTGCTATTGAAAGTAATGACAAAAACCACAATTACTTTTGTACCAGCCTAAAGTGGGAACAAGGCTTGCAGAGGAAGATGAGTGAAGTGGGCATTTAGCAAGATAGAGAGAGGAAGGCTCCACTCCCACTGTCTCTGAGTGAGGCTGGCTGGAAGTCTTTCCACCTAGCGCTCCATGAAACTGTTTTGTTTTGTTTTGTTTCTTTCCTTCGACGTTAACAGCTGCTTGTCTCCTTTGCTTTGTTCCCTCCCACTCTAGTGCTTTTTTTGAAAATCAAAATTGGAGATAAGTTTTACATCTGGATTGATGTGCTACAGAATGGCACAATTGAAATCAGGCACCTGGAATCAGCATTAACCACAAGAAAATAACTTGCCAAACTCTTAGGGACAGCTCTGGACTTTCATCTTGTGAAAACTGAGGGATAGGCCAGGTTTGGTGGCTCATGCCTGTAATCCCAACACTTCAGGAGGCCGGGGAGCACGGATCACTTGAGGTCAGGAGCTTGAGACCATCCTGGCCAACATAGTGAAACCCCATCTCTACTAAAAATACAAAAATTAGCTGGTCATGGTGGTACGTGCCTGTAATCTCAGCTACACTAGAGGCTGAGGCAGGAGAATCACTTAAACCCTGGGAGGTGGCGGTTGCAGTAAGTCGAGATTGTGCCACTGCACTCTAGCCTGGGCAACAGAGCGAGATTCCATCAAGAAGGAAAAAAGAAAGAGAAAGAAAGAAAGAAAGAGAGAGAAAGAAAGAGAGAGAGAAAAGGAAAGAAAGAAGAGAAAGAAAGAAGAAAGAAGGAAAGAAAAAAGGAAAGAGAAAAAGAAAGAAGGAAAGAAAGAAAGGAAAGAAAGAAAGAAAGAAAGGAAAGAAAAAGAAAGAAAGAAAGAAAGAAAGAAAGAAAAGAAAAGAAAAGAAAAGAAAAGAAAAGAAAAGAAAAGAAAAGAAAGAACTGAGGGATAAAAATGAGTCAATCTTAGGTGTCAACAGGCAGAGGCCCCGGGTGACATGTGGGTCACAGAAGGCAGATCCCATCATAGCTTCACAGCTCTGCTTCTTCCTCCCTCCCATCAACTCAAAATTGGCTTCTGTATATCCCCATTTCTTTGGTCCTACAGCACAGAATCAGTTTAATCCCTGTTCCAAATGAAAGATAAAAGAAGGATGAGACTCTTGAAATATTAAACCAAAGTAATTTTCATTCCCCTTAAGTGGTGGTGTCCTATGACCCCTCACTCGTTGAATCAATGAGTTTCACTACCTCAGGGGAAGGCTGAATACCTAACTAGAACAAAGTCATTACTCAGCTTACAGTGTCAAACTAAAATTCTTAAGTTCACAGCAAGATCATTCCAAGCTTTGTTCAGAGAAAAAAGGGTTTTGCTGAAATTCAAAAAATTTTCTTTTCCAATGTTTTAAGAGCAAAGCTCCGGGGTCTGAGCACAGAACTTCACTAGAAGGCTGTGGTCTTCCTGTGGTGTGTGTGTGTACCCCTGGAAGTACACGAAGACTTCCTCAGGACTTCTTGGGCACTGGCAATTTTAAGAAAAAAGTTTTTGACATTGTCAACTTCCATGTGTATTCTTTCCTAAAATTAATTAATTTGCGTTTAGAATTGACTGTGATTGGCTGGTCCTCCTTACCCAACCCGTCTTTTCAAATGGTTTGCTCTCCTAGTTTACAAAAGAAAAATATGCCTCTCACCATCCAGAATCCTAAAATAGCGCATGTTCCCAGGGTACAAAAACCTCCAGGACACCAAATGACAGGACAATTGGAGAATGCACGCTCCTGAGGGAGGTTGTTTCCTAGCAGTGCCAGGTGAGCTCGTAGAAAAATCTCGAGGGCCCTGGGGCCTCATTTCATCCAGGTTGCAGAGCCATATGCAGCCCTATGCCTCATCTGCTTATCTTTGGTTCTATGTATTAGAATTCAGAAGTGATATGGTTGCCATGAGGACGCATATGGAAACATTAACTTAAATTGAAAAATTAAATCAAGACTTGTCCTGACAGAAAGTACAGCTGATTTGGCTGGACAACAAAAACTAACTTTGGCCATTAGGATCTGTGCAGACATTTTCCATATATTGAATGAGCAAAATCTAATGTTCTAACAAAAAAATATATTTATGTAACAGTGAAACAGCAAAAGAACTAACATAACTAACTCCATTTTTGTTTAAAGGGCCTTTACCCATTCACGCACATAGGCTAGGATAATTTTATTTTATTTATTTATTTTAGTTTTGTTTTCCTTTGCTTTGAGACAGGGACTCACTCTGTCACCCACGTTGGAGTGTAGTGGTGCAATCACAGCTCACTGCAGCCTTGACCTCCTGGGCTCAAGGAATGCTCCCACCTCAGCCTCCATTAGCTGAAACTACAGGCACATGCCAACATGCTCAACTAAGTTTCTAAAAACTATGTGTAGAGACGGGGTCTCCCTATGTTGTCCAGGCTTGTCTCAAACTCGGAGGCTCAAGCAGTCCTCCCGCCTCGGCCTCCTAAAGTGCTGGGATTACAGGCCTGAGCCACCATGCCCAGTCTAGGATAATTTTTAGAGCACTGAGATAATACACAGAAACAGCAATCATGTAGTTTTTGAAACTAACTCTGGGATTAAAGGAGAAGTATGTAAACAATAACTATGTTTTGTTAAAGATTTATAGGAGCGTTGTGACCTGATCAAGAACAAAGAAGTCCCCAGTCTCCTGGGACCCTTGCTGGTGCCCAGATGTCTGTGGCCATCAATTACCTCAATTCCAACCACTTCCTCTTCCCCCAGCCCTAAATGTAAAAAGAGCCTGAAATTTGTACTGACTTAACAGGTACCTTAGAATCCTAGTTTACTACCTTCTTGGTTTTGCTAGCTTTCCAAATAAACCTGCTTTTCCTCCCACCAACCCTCATCTCTTGTGTCCGGCTTTTGAGCAGCCAGCAGCTGCACCTGGATTTGGTTACATTTAGAGGACATATACAATATAAAATGCAGCAGAGATTATGTCTTTTGCAACTACTAAACTTATGATAAAAAATTTTTAGATGTCAACCTAAAAAAAGTGCACGTGTTTCAGAATTCCTTAAGAGGGAAGGAAAAGAAAACATGCTAAAAACCAGTATAGACAGGTGCGGTGGCTCATGCCTGTAATCCCAGCACTTTGGGAGGCCAAGGTGGGCGGATCACCTGAGGTCAGGAGACCAGCCTGAACAGCATGGAGAAACCGTGTCTCTACTAAAAATACAAAATTAGCCAGGCGTGGTGGCGCATGCCTATAATCCCAGCTACTCAGGAGGCTGAGGCAGGAGAATCACTGGAACCCGGGAGGTGGAGGTTGCAGTGAGCTGAGATCACGCCATTGTACTCCAGCCTGGGCAACAAGAGCGAAGCTCCGTTTCAAAAAAAAAAAAAAAAAAAAAAACCCCACAAAAACCAGTATAGAGAAGCAGGCTAGGGTGGAGAGGCATTTGGGGTTAGACGTGAAGGTGAAGTAGGAAGGGGAGAAGAAGTGGAGGGCAACAGATCAAATGTGAATGTGGGAGCTCCCGCTCACCCCCACTACCCCACTATAGGGAAAACTTAAGGGTCAAAGAGCCAGTGGGGAGTAGGGAATATTAGGAAGGAACAGATATGCTTGGGAGAATCCAGAGCACAGGCACTTGTCTCTTGCCCTCTAGGAGCTCTGGAAAATTTCAAGCCACTACAATATGGGCTAACCAAAAGGCAGTGGAAATTGTGCCAAAATATTGTCAGGTAGAGAAAGCACTGAGAGACCACCAGGCCTGACTCCCCACGGCTGCCCTGTGGTGGAGGGGAAATTTCCAAGGGCCCAGGTGACCTGAGGTGGGTCACAGTCCACAATCAATAAATAAATCTGGCCGGGCGCAGTGGCTCACGCCTGTAATCCCAGCACTTTGGGAGGCTGAGGCAGGTGGATAGCTTCAGGCCAGGAGTTCGAGACCAGCCTGGCCAACATGGCAATACCTCGTCTCTACTAAAAATACAAAAATTAGCTGGGCATGGTGGCAGACACGTGTAATCCCAGCTACTCGGGAGGCTGAGGAAGGAGAATCGCTTGAACCTGGGAGGTGGAGGTTGCAGTGAGCCGAGATGGCGCCATTGCACTCCAGCCTGGGCAACAAGAGCGAAACTCCATCTCAAAAAAAAAAAGAAAAAAGAAACAAAAGAAACTCAGCCCCGCATGGTGGTGCACGCCTGTAATCCCAGCTACTCAGGAGGCTGAGGCATGAGAATCGCTTGAACCTGGGAGGCGGAGGTTGCATGAGCCAAGATGTCACCACTGCACTCCAGCCAGGGCGACAGAGCAAAAGACTCTGCCAAAAATAAGTAAATAAATAAAAAGAAATTCTTATCTCACAGTTTTTTTAATCATATGCTAATTGCTAATTTTCGGGAACAATCCAGGAAGTATCATAATTTCTCATTATACAGAGGGCTGCTGAGGATTCCACAGGGCAGTGTGTGAATATAGTCTAAAAGACTCTGCCATTGTTAGCATGTTCTAATTCCAGGTTAACCATCATTTAAGACAGCTTCTTGGGGAGGTGGAAGAGTAGTACTAACCAACCATAGGACCCCTACCCTGCATCTGAGAGTCATAAGTAATTTAGACATGCAACAACTCTTTCATCAGTGTAACATATAGGGAAGGTCATTGAGTTTTAGAGCTTGAACGTACTTAAAAAATTGTTTGGCCTTCTGCTCCCATTTGGCAAATATGGAAACTGAAGTCCAGGGCAGTAAAGGGAGTAGGCCTATGTTTGGGAGCTGGTATCAGAAGTGGTGATTCCCACTGGCTCACTTTAAGACTGGGTTCTCTGTAGTGCTTTATGGTACCAGCCTTCTCGCGCTTTAGATTCTCCCCACTCAGTGTGGATGCTCTGCAATGTGCTCAATATATCTTTAGGTTCACTGAGCTGTTGATGCCTACAAGGTATTCAGGAGCACTTGCCTTTTTTTTTTTTTTTTTTTGAGATGGAGACTAGCTCTGTTGCTGGGCTGGAACGCAGTGGTGCGATCTCGGCTCACTGCAACCTCCGCTTCCCAGGTTCAAGTGATTCTCCTGCCTCAGCCTACCAAGTAGCTGGGACTACAGACGCCCGCCACCACGCCCAGCTAATTTTTGTATTTTTAGTAGAGACGGGGTTTCACCATGTTGGCCAGGATAGTCTCAATCTCTTGACCTCGTGATCTGACCACCTCGGCCTCCCAAAGTGCTGGGATTCCAGGTGTGAGCCACCACGCCTGGCCAAGCACTTGCCATTTTAAACTGGTTGACTATATATGAAAGAACAACAGTTGGAGACAATGGGGTTAGGAATTGTGGAAATGCTTTATAGGGGGCTGCCCAATAGGACCCTGTGCAATTTTGGAAATGTTCTATATCTGCTATTGTGGCTACCAGTGAGTAAGGCTATTGAGTACTTGAAATATAGCTAGTGTGATTGAGGAACTGAATTTTAAATTTTGTTTAATTTTCATTAATTTTACCTTAAATTTAAATCACCACATGTGGCTAATAGCTACTGCACTGAATAGCACAGCCATATCATATTCACAAAAATGAAGTTTCTCTTCTTTTTCCTCACAGTTATTAGGAGATTGGTTCAAACTGATCATTTTCTGGCTACATACCAATGTTTTCTTCAGATGTTTTACCTTCCAATTCTTGAGGAGACAGGCTTTTATATTGTGCCAATGCAATCATTCTCTGCAAAACCAAATGTGTTTCTTTGCAAGCAGAAGTTTGAGAATCAGTCTTTTGGGCATTTGTTTTTTCTTCAACTTTTAAGTTCCGGGGTACATGTGTAGGATGTGCAGGTTTGTTACATAGGGAAATGTGTGCTATGGTGGTTTGCCGCACAGATCAACCCATCACCTAGGTATTAAGCTAATAATAATTAGCTATTGATAGCTAATTAATGCATAAGTTATTCTTCCTGATGCTCTCCCTCCTCCCACCTCCTGATAGGTCCCAGTGTGTGTTGTGCCCCCACCTGTGTCCATGTGTTCTCATCTTTCAGCTCCCACTTACAAGTGAGAACATGTGGTGTTTGGTTTTCTGTTCCTGCGTTAGTTTGCTGAGAATAATGGCTCCAGCTCCATCAATGTCCCTGCAAAGGACATGATCTCATTCCTTTTTATGGCTGCATAGTATTTCCTGGTGTATATGTACCACATTCTCTTTATTTAGTCTACCATTGATAAGCATTTGGGTTGATTCCATGTCTGGGCATCATTTATTTAAACTTTAAATTTTTTTTATTGTACATGTGACTTTCAAAATTAAACTCAGTTCAGAAGTCACCTTCTCAGCTTTAATAGCTTTAACTTCTAAATAATATTTTCCTTAAGGTCCCTTCTTTTTCAGATGGTGTTTGATCTTTTTTTTTTAATAATTTCAATATTTATTTTATTTTTATTATTTTTTTTTTTTTTAGTATTTATTGATCATTCTTGGGTGTTTCCCGGAGAGGGGGATTTGGCAGGGTCATAGGACAATAGTGGAGGGAAGGTCAGCAGATAAACAAGTGAACAAGGGTCTCTGGTTTTCCTAGGCAGAGGACCCTGCGGCCTTCTGCAGTGTTTGTGTCCCTGGGTACTTGAGATTAGGGAGTGGTGATGACTCTTAACGAGCATGCTGCCTTCAAGCATCTGTTTAACAAAGCACATCTTGCGCCGCCCTTAATCCATTTTACCCTGAGTGGACACAGCACATGTTTCAGAGAGCACCGGGTTGGGGGTAAGGTTATAGATTAACAGCATCCCAAGGCAGAAGAATTTTTCTTAGTACAGAACAAAATGGAGTCTCCCATGTCTACCTCTTTCTACACAGACACAGCAACAATCTGATTTCTCTATCTTTTCCCCACATTTCCCCCTTTTCCACTCGACAAAACCGCCATCGTCATCATGGCCCGTTCTCAATGAGCTGTTGGGTACACCTCCCAGACGGGGTGGCGGCCGGGCAGAGGGGCTCTTCACTTCCCAGATGGGGCGGCCAGGCAGAGGCGCCCCCCGACCTCCCAGACGGGGCAGCTGGCCGGGCGGGGGCTGCCCCCCACCTCCCTCCTGGATGGGGCAGCTGGCCGGGTGGGGGCTGCCCCCCACCTCCCTCCCGGACGGGGCGGCTGCCGGGCGGAGGGGCTCCTCACTTCTCAGACGGGGCGGCTGGGCAGAGACGCTCCTCACCTCCCAGATGGGGTCGCGGCCGGGCAGAGGCACTCCTCACATCCCAGACGGGGCGGCGGAGCAGAGGCGCTCCCCACATCTCAGACGATGGGCGGCCAGGCATAGACGCTCCTCACTTCCCAGACGGGGTGGCGGCCGGGCAGAGGCTGCAATCTCTGCACTCTGGGAGGCCAAGGCAGGCGGCTGGGAGGTGGAGGTTGTAGTGAGCCGAGATCCCGCCACTGCACTCCAGCCTGGGCAACATTGAGCACTGAGTGAGCGAGACTCCGTCTGCAATTCTGGCACCTCGGGAGGCCGAGGCTGGCAGATCACTCGCGGTTAGGAGCTGGAGACCAGCCCGGCCAACACAGCGAAACCCCGTCTCCACCAAAAAAATACGAAAACAAGTCACGCGTGGCGGTGCGCACCTGCAATCCCAGGCACTCGGCAGGCTGAGGCAGGAGAATCAGACAGGGAGGTTGCAGTGAGCCGAGATGGCAGCAGTACAGTCCAGCCTCGGCTCGGCATCAGAGGGAGACCGTGGAGAGAGAGGGAGAGGGGTGTTTGATCTTTAGCACTTCTGTACTAGTTATCTATTGCTGTGTAACAAATTATCCCAAAATGTAGTGGCTTAAAACACCAACATTTATTGTCTCCCAGTTTCTGCCGGTCAGGAAGCTGGGCAGCTTAGCTGGGTCCCCCACCTCAAGGTCTCCCAGAAGGCAACAATCAAGGTGTCAGCCAGACTGCAGTCATCTCAAGGCTCCACTGGGGGAAGATCTGCTTCCAAGCTCCCTCATGTGGCTATTGGCAGCCTTAAGTCCTCACTGACTGTTGACCAAAGATGTCAGTTCCTTGCCATGTGGGCCCCTCCATAGGGCTACTCACAACATGGCAGCTGGCTGTTGCCTGCTGGCTGCCCTCAGTTCCTCGCCACAGGTCCCCCTCCACAGAGCAGCTCACAACATGGCATCTTGCCTCATCAGAGAGAAAGCAAGAAGGGACAGAAAGAGAGAATGTGAGCAAAAAGCCCAGTCTTTTGTAACCTAATCTCAGAGGCGACATCCCATCACTTTTGCTGTATTTTATTTGTTAGGAGCCAGTCACTACGTGCAGCTCATACTCAAGGTGAGGGGATTATGCAAGACCAGAGGGTGAACACCAGGACATGGGGACCACTGAGAGTCATCAGAGGAGCTGCTTTCCACAACTACTCTAAGGAGCCTTCCTTAGTCTCCTTTCTTAGCCGGTCTGTCTGGAACCTTAGCTTCAGGGCCAGCTCTACTCAGAGTGTGTGGGAGTCCAATGTCCCCCATCTGGACAGTGGCAGGATGAGAACTAGAATCCAAGACTCCTGGGTTCCTGGTCAGCCTTGTTTTCTGCTGCATGTGATGCTTGGTTAGACCTCCAGCACAGGCACAAGAAGCCCCACAATGCCAAGCAAAAGCATTTTAACTTCAAATAATAGGTACTAAGGTTTTTGAGCAGGACAATGCTATGACAAAAGTGAATTTTTTTTTTTTTTTTTTTTTTTTTTTTTGAGGCAGAGTTTCACTCTTGTTGCCCAGGCTGGAGTGCAATGGCACAACCTTGGCTCACTGCCACCTCTGCCTCCCAGGTTCAAGCGATTCTCCTGCCTCAGCCTCCCAAGTAGCTGGAATTACATGTGTGCCCCACCACGCCCGGCTAATTTTTGTATTTTTGGTAGAGATGGGGTTTCACCATGTTGGTCAGGCTGGTCTCAAACTCCTGACCTCAGGTGATCCACCTGCCTCGGCCTCCCAAAGTTCTGGGATTACAGGCGTGAGCCACTGCGCCCAGCCTGACAAAAGTGATTTTTAAGAAACATTAATGTGATGACTATGTATACAATGACTAGAAATTATATTAACTCCTATTTATTTATAAGTAGCATATGTTTATGGCCTAAAGTTTTGTATTCTGTTCTTATAAAAATATCCAGTGAAGTACTAATAAAATGGTCTGTGAAAACATTACTTGGGCCAAAGATATATTTAGTAATATATTACAAGGCCTGTGACCAAATTCTATGTTTAACACGTGATATTTTCAGGTGTATATTGAATTAAACTCTCAAAACTATTTCCAATGAATATATAGGGATTTCCAGAAAAGGTTGTTTTCTACTAACATAGGAAGCTCCTGGAAACCCAGGACCCACAAACCCTGAGAAACTACTGTAGACTGAAAAATGTTTTAAAGTATCAGACTGTGAAGTCTCCACCCCTAGCAATATCGACACACAAGCTTGCATCTAAATTAGTAAGATGGTGTGGCAGTCTTCCAGTTCCATCAGTACTCATCCTCACCTTCTCATTTTCGTAATACATTTTCTAAAGCTTAGCCGGGCACATCGCCCCATGAAGACTACATTTCCCAACATCCTTTACAGTTGGGTCAGCCACAAGAATAAAGTCTGGTCAACGGGGTATGAATGGAAGAGATGTGAGTCATACCTAGTTGTGTCCTTAAAAGGAAAGTTATGTGCTCTCCTTGCTCCTTCTCCTCTTCTTACTGGTTGGTATGCAGATGTGAAGACAGGAGCTGGGAGTAGCAACCTGGTAGTCAGTGATGGATGCTCCCATATCAGCCTCGTACCATTTATCTCTGGAAATTTCCATGACAGTTATAAACTTCTTTATTACATAAACCACTCAATCTTGGAGTCTGTATATTAGAACAGACTCTATAACTTTACTACTATAATAACACATCCACCTTTCCTTTTTGTTGGTTCTCTACATGCCCCCCACCCACCAAAATAATGGGCAGGTGCCTAGGCAAAGTGACAAGGGGGATGTATCAGTCCATATTAAATTCATATTGTCTTCTCCTGCTTACCTGTAATACCACCAGGATCATAATATCATCAACAAACTTCTATTGTTTTCTTGTTTTTGTTTTGTTTTGTTTTTTGGTTTTTTGCTATTTGGCTTTATTCCCCCTCCTTATTTGCCAATAATTAGAGGAGCAATAGTATCTTAAGTTCAGACTTGCTAATGAGCCAGGAGTGATTTTACATTTTCCTCTCTCAGGTTCAACCAGGGTCAGGGTCTAGGGATCCATCCAGTAATGTGCCAATGAATGTTTAACAACTGGCTGTCTAGGGGAAAACCAGCCCTGATTTGTAGTGTTTGCCAATTTCTACAGTGTAAATACTCCTGCCATTGGTCAATTTCCAGCCAGCAGTATCATGTCACTGAACATAAAGTCGGAAAGAAATGTACACAATCACCTCTTGTAAGCTAGTACTATTTAGCTCCCGAACATCACTGAGATCTAGCCATCTATCTCAGCCTGGGACTGCTTCTGATTTCTTCTCTTGGTTATACTCCAGAGGAGGATGCTAAATTTACTGTGATGTGCAGCAGGAACAGTAAAGACAATGTTCGGAGTGGTTCTGATGATCTTTGAACTACCCCTGTGGCCTTACCGTCATCTGATCTATGATGCTCTTGTAGTAACATTTCATCCTTTTGGTTAAAGGCAGTGGTTGAAAAATTACCTGCATATTGGAAACACCTGTGGAGTTTTAAAAACAAGCAATCCCTGAGTTCCAGCACCAGCAATTCTGATTCTATTGACCTGGGTTTGACAGTGTTGAAAGCAGATGATTTTAATGCGTAGCCAAGGTCGAGAACTATTGGTTTAAGGTAATACATCTCTAATTTATGTGACAGATGGTTGGTGTTACTATTTTTGCTTTAAGCATAAAGAGGAAAAAATTTACATGGCCTGGTGACAAGAGAAGAAGTAAAATGAATGGCAAGGCTAGGATAATTCCCGTAGTGAAAGGTAAGGTTGAAAAGAAGAGGTCTGTACTCTGCCCCGTCTATGGGTCCTGAAAAGAACTTTAAATATTATTTTTTGAATCCTTAGAAAGCACTAGTGATTCTTCCTTTTCAGTTAGAAAGTTTAGTGAGCATAGGAAATGCTGAAATTCTAGAAAACTGTCACAGATAATTTAATCATCTCTGCTATATTTTGCATCTGTATAAACTGGTATTATTCATTGTGAAATCCAGTTCAATTTCTTTCCCTCTCTATTAAACTTGCATTTATTCTTAGAGGCAGATGCTAAATTTTACTTTATTCAAAAATCTCTAGACAGCTACATCTTGTATTTTTTGAACATTAAGTTAACCTTTGAGGTTGTGACTTGAATTTTACATATTGATAAAGGTCCTAGTTTACTAGTGAATCATTTTCATGTAGTAACATTTCATACAGTACTCCATACGTCTATATGTAGGAACACAGATGATATAATCAAGATGATAAAGATTCGTTGAGCCTAGCATATGATAAGTAGAGCAGAAGAGGGTCAGCATGGACGAACATCGGAGCAGGAAGACCAGGAAGCCTACGTTCTAAGCTTTGATAATGTACATAAGTCTGATGCAGTTTCCTGATCTATAAAATGAGGGCATAGAACAAGATGACTTTGGTCCCTTTAACTTTAATATCTTGATAAGTGTCTCAAGACTGAAACCATTAGTAGTGTCAATGAACCAAATATCTCATGGGTTATTTTCTCTAGTTGTGGCAGATATTGACAAACTCTGAGGATGAGTGTGTACTTCTAGACTATCTTTTTCTGAGTTTATATTCCTTCTAGATCAGAGGTTGCAAATAAGTTGCATTTTCAGGTAGTAGCCACCCAAAGCACTGTGTTGAGGTTTCTGAAGCCAGGACCAAGCTTGATGGGAGTTAATAGTGCCATGATAAATAAGTGGTGATTGTCTTGGGCCTGGAAAGACAGAAAAACAGTATGTGTGCCCTGTACCTCATCCCTGTTGCCAACCTTTTCATTTAGATCAATATTTCCTTTATCTCCTATTAGGTAGTTCAGAGCTGAAGGAATTTTGGGGGTTCTGTATTCTGCTACTTTCCACCAGGAAAATTGAATTCATTGTAAAAGTGCTTTGGATCTGAATGTAGTTCAGCAAAGAAAATGTAGCTACTGCATCTTTGATAAGCAGCTTCAGTTTAGGTTACAAGTTTATAATGTTTAAAACAACCATCAGTGGATTCATTTAAACAACTTAATATATTTAAAGATTTAAAAACCCTGTTACTTAATATTGCTTTGGCTAAAACAAAAAATGCTTTTTGATTCTTTTGCTTTTAAGCCAGTCCCATCAGACACAGCCTAAAAGATAGAAATCGTGACCTTCCCTTACTTCCACCTCCTTAGGTCTGGATGGCTGCAGTTTTCTCTTTAGGCCACGTGACACCACAGCATGATCTGGAAAGTAATTAACTACTTTAGAAGTTAATCCAGCATATACTTTGAAGCACAAGCAATTCCATCCCTAATCGTTGCTTGGCAGATTGATTCTTCCTTCTGGCTCTTGAAACTGTACGTAGTAATTGCCCTGGAATTTAAAAATCATCTGGGGAATTCCTTGTTCCACATTTAGGGCACAAACAGCTAATGACTTAGACACGTTGTAGTGTGTGTGTGTGTGTGTGTGTGTGTGAGAGAGAGAGAGAGAGAAAGAGAGAGAGAGAGCATGTTTTCAGGGGGTGGAAAGGCAGTGTCACTGTGTGGATAGGAAATGTGTCTCTTCCTCTCACTGTAAGATCTGAAAATCTCTTATCTGACCAGATTGTAACACTGAGTTGCCAAACTAGCAAATTGATAAAGTGTTGGAATGTGTTTGCAGAGAGGAATCTTGATGGGAAGGGCTTCTTAGTTGCTCTTGTACACAGGAACTCTGGTTGCAGAACTGCCTACTTTCACGTTGGTTCTGATGATGCTGTTATGTTTGCAAAACAGTGCCGTGACTACTATCTTCAGACCAGCAATTAGCCAGCTTGTGAACTAACCATTCATTTGCTTTCTTTCCTCCATTTTTTTTTTTACAGTATCTTCATGACATTCAAACATCCATTTTTTCATCAAAAGATTTTACTTTCACTCTGTCCTCGTATGATTGATTTCCTTTTGTGTCTGTTATCTTTGTTTGATCCTTTGACTGTGTTGGGCACACCATCCTCCCTAAACTTACCAAGTTCCCTGACTTTGAGGGTGTGGGTCAGGCCCTCTTCCATTTTCTTCCATCTTCTCCAAATTTGCAGTCTCATCTAGCACTTGATTCACAAAGAAGTCTTCATTAAATGGTGTGCGAATTGACTATCATAATGGTTGTGTTTTGTTTATATTAGTTATTTATACTGTATCTCTTCAAAAACTGGGGTTTTCAACTGGGGTTTTCAGTTACCAGCTATCCGTCAATCAATATAAATCTCTGAATTGTCAAGCAGACCTCAATATTTTAGTAGTTTGAAATAATTAAATGTAATTGAACCAGTAAATTACTCCCAAACCAGAGTTGAGTCTTTGTTTTTTTAAATGTAAACTTGGCATAATAAGCACCAGTGCAAATAGAACATGTTGCAGTAACATCTCAATGTTTGCTTCCAAAGGTGTTTCTCTGTCAAACACTTCCATTCACTGAAAGAAAATAGCTTATCTTTAAGAGAGTATGCTTGCATTTGCCTTATTTATTTATTTAATTTGAGACAGAGTCTCACTCTGTTGCAACCTCCTCCTCCTGGGTTCAAGTGATCCTCATGCCTCAGCCACCTGAGTAGCTGGGATTACATGCATGTTCCACCATACCCAGATAATTTTTGTATTTTTAGTAGAGATGGGGTTTCACTATGTTGGCCCGGCTGGTCTCAAACTCCTGACCTCAAGTGATCCACCTGCCTTGGCCTCCCAAGATTCTAGGATTACAGGTGTGCACCACTGCCCCTGGCTGCATTTGCCTTTTAAATCTGTATATACAAACTTGCCATAATATATACCAATGCAGAAAGAAACATGATTTGGGAATAATTCAAGAAATCGGTCAAGAAGAACTTATTATTTACTTATAGTAAGAAGAAAACAGAAAACCTGAGCTTTGCTCTCAAGTTGGTTGTGGTTTAGTTGGAGGAGACAGGACTAAGGTGCATGAAACAACACTTACAATGTGAGCATTTTATTACAAGGCCCTAACCGTGCTCTGTAATTTCAGAGAGGAATAGGAACCCTAAGGACTGGTTGAAGGATTCAGGGATGACAGTATTGAACCAGGTGAAAGGAGAACAAGGTTTGGAAAGGCAGATGTGAGATGGTAAGCATTCCCAGTGAGGCATCTACAGGGACAAAGCCCTGGAAGGAATAACCAGAGTGATGGTCAGTGGGGCAGCCAGCCCACCCAGAGCACGAGGCTGGGAAACTGTGGGAATTATGTAAACTTCATAGGAAGGGCTCAAATTATGGAGGGGCTTTAAAGCCACACAGAGAGGCTCGAGGTTAATGTAATGGAAAATAAGGAGCCACTAAAGGATTTTGACCTAGGGAGTGATGATATAAAAGTGGTTTTCACACTCTATTTTGGGCAGTGATACATAGGATGAAGCAAGATGCGGGAAAGGCAGCTGAACTGACCTAGCAGTGAGATAAAACAGGACATTTTGGCTATGCAGGGGACTGTGGGGACAGCGGCAAGAACTAGGAGGTCAAAAGAAAATTCAACCAGTCTTGGTGTCTGGCTAGATGTGAGGATAGGGATAGAGCAAATCAACAGTAAATTTGAAGGTGGGTGAAGCGGGTGGGGAGGAGATTGATGACCGGACCAGGAAGTTATAGAAGATCTGTCTCTGAACGTGTGGAATTTGAAATGACAATGAGCACTGTAAGGAGGTAATGCCGAAGGAGACTAATTTGAGGAGGTAATGAGACCTTTTTTCAAAACCTGAGTCTGCAGTTCAAGGCTGCAGTGAGCTATGATTACACCATTGCACTCCAGCCTGCAACAGAATGAGACTTGTCTCTAAAAACAAAAATCACCTGAGTCTAAGTTGTCTAACCTCACTAAGTAGGATGATAGTACCTGGTTCACCTGGCTATGGAGCTGATTAACTGTGGTAAGAATGTAAAGATGTTTCATAATATGCTATGCAAATGCAAGCCTTTGGTATTGTACTGTATGTGTATCTCCTCCCCAGTTGCATATGCTACTGAGTAGGTATTAAAAACATAAACCCCCGATCATAAATTTCACACCAGTATGTTTTGAGCTGTATCTCTTCCAGTAGCAGGTAGACTGGTAGCAGTAAAATAGATAAGAGACAATGATGAGGGTCTAGCCCAGAGCAATGACCGCGTAAGGAGAGCTAAGTAGACTTATTTGCTTTCTAGGAGGAAAAACAAAATGACAGACTTTAATGATTAATTGTATGTGGGAAATGTGTAAGAGGGAGGTTGCTAGGATGATGTCCAGGCTTCTTGTGTGGGCAATTGATGGATTGTGGTTTAAATCTTTGAGATAGGAAAGACTGGAGAAACAGCAAATTTGAACAGGGAGGAATATCAGGAATTTAGTTTTGGACATTGTGGTAGGCAGAATAATGAACCCCTCCCAAAGTTATTCACATCCTAATTCCTAGAACTTGTGAATATGTTCCTTACAGTAAAAAGGGACTCTGCAGACATGATTACATTAAGAATTTTGAGATAAGGAGATTATCCTGGACTGTCCAGGTAGGCGCAATGTAACCACTTACATCCTAAGTGAAATAGGAGGCAGGAGAGTAAGATTCAGAGTCATGTGATGGAAGAAAGAGAGGCCATTGCTGGCTTTGAAGATGGAAGAAGTCACAAGCCAGTGCAGACAGCCCCTACAAGCTGGAAGAGACAAGAAAATGGATTCTACCCTAGAGCTTCCAGGAGGAATGTAACCCTGCTGATCCCTTGATTTTAGCCTAGTGAAACCTATATTGGACTCCTAACCTCCAAAACTTTCAGACAATACATTTGCATTGTTTTAAGCCACTACATTTCTGGAAATGTTTCCAACAGCAATAAGAAGCTGTTTGAGGTATGTGGGCGTTGCCCAAATAGAGATCTGGAGGACAGTTTACATAGCAGTCTGGAATAGAATTACAGATTTTGGAATCATTGGCACATGCTATCTGTCTATCTATATCTTTATCTATATCTATATATTGCAAGAAACATTCTGATTTCAGAGATGTTAAAATGCAATATATATATGATATATAATGCAATACATATATATTATATTATATATATATGTATTGCATTTTAACATCTCTGAAATCAGAATGTGTCTTGCAACTGATAAGGATTACAATCATTACAGGCAACAAACACACAGCTGTGTATGTCCAAGTGACTGGACTGGACAAATGTAACACTTTGGACATTTCAGTCAACAAAACACTTAAGCACTATTCAAGAAAGCACATGACTCCTGGGTATTGTCTGAAGACTTTCTATCAGTAAGTTTTAGAATGATCAAACAAGAGCCAACATCAAAACTTTCAGAGTGGGTGTCAATGACTTGGAAGAAACTCTTTGGGACATTAGTAGAGGTCTTGCTCTGTTGCCCAGCCTAGAGTGCAGTGGCAAGATCATAGCTCACTGCAACCTTGACTCCTAGGCTCAAGGGATCCTCCAACCTCAGCCTCCCAAGGAACTGGGACTGCAGGTGCACACCACCACACCCGGATAATTTTTATTTTTTTGTTTCTTGTAAAAACAAGGTCTTGCTATATTGCTCAGGCTTGGTCTTGAACTCCTGGGCTCAAGTGATCCTCCCACCTCGGCCTCCCAAAGTGTTGAGATTACAGGTGTGAGCCCCACACCCAGCTGAGAATTCTTTTAAGTAATGCTGATTTATCAATACTTTAGATGGAATAAGACACAATACTGTGATGGAAAAATAAGGATAAAGATAGTTTGAGTTAAAATGTAACTCTGAGAAGTTAGATTCTGAAAAATGTCAGATATATAGTATTTTGCTTGTATTTCATTTTTTATATGCACAAAAGTCTAAAAGAACTTTTTCAATACTTATGAAATAAACATTTTAAGTGATAAAGCATTATATCAACCTAATTAACAACACATTTTCTTCTGTCATTCATAAAATAATGGTGCATTTTACAATTGAATGGTGTCTCAAACTTGATGGTCGTTGTAGCTGTAGAGAAGGGTGAGATGATTGAAAGAGCATAAAATAAGTGGAGCAGAAGATCCAGAGGAAAATCTCTAGAAACATTACCAGGTAATTTGATAATATATATCTGAACCATAAAAATATTTATACTCCTTTATCCTGTTTTGGGTAATTCATTCCAAGGAAGTCATCTAAGAGGAGAAAAGAAAATAATTATATTAGGGGATGGTGGCTTACTTCCACGGGGAAGAAAATGGGCATGGACAGTAGTCTCAGAAGCTGGACTATGACCCTGAGTCCCAGCCCTCTACCACTGGCAAGGACACAGTGTTTGTGCCAAACTAGAGACATGGTCCATTGTTATTCAGAATGTAGTAGCAGCTCTGGTGAGCCAACAGCTTTGGTGTCCTGGTCATCTTTTTCTGTCTCCAAAAGGGTATGCAGAGCATCCTGACTGCTCTGTGTATCTCACATTTATTCTCACTGAGAGAGAGGAGGAAACTGGATCCATTTGATACCATCTAATATGGTGCCCTGCTATTGGGCAGTCTCTTGTAGAGCCTCTGCATGGGCCTTTCTCATGGACATGGCTGCCCTTTGGCCCAGGCACAGACCCCCTGGCTCAGTAGTAGTCATAGGAATGGCAGAGTCACATGCATAGAGCATAATGACTATGAAGAAAGACTTGGCTTCTTTCCCCAGAGGCAGGCTATGGGCATGGTGGGCACTTAGAATTTAGAGATTACCCAGACTACACAATTTGGGAAGAAGGGAAAGGGTGTACTTTTTATTGTAATAAAAAAAAAAGAAAGGAATCTAAATATCTGAAAATAGTGAAATGATTATTCCATTATTTTAGCACATTCACTCAATAGAATTGTATGCACATTTAAAGGGGACAATTCTGATTAACAAGAATAACAAGTAGCAAAATGGAAAAAGGAGACTATAATATTGAACATAGCTATGACTGAAATTTCATAAAAATATACATTATATGGAAAATTATAATAGTGAAGCAAATGGGATTATGAGTGACTATTTTCTCTATAGTTTGAATTTTGTGCAACATTTTTACATTATTTGATAATCATGATAGAGGTAGGAGAAAACATGATTTTAACAATTGTAGTTTATGAAATAAAGCCATCAATCCAACTTCCTAAAAGATGGACAATCTAGAGTTGCAAATTGCTAAACTATGAAATAATTAATAGAAACTATAGACAAGTGACCAATAAAAAGGTCTGACCTAAGTAAGTGGTGCTTTGAAATGGACTCAAAAAGACCCAGGCAGAATAATTCATTTCCCCTCATGTTTCTTTCATTAAAAGTAAATTTGTTTCCAGTGCAATCGTTCTTGCAAAAACCAAAATAGATTTTAATATCACTAATACTTTAAAACATCTTGACTTCTTCAAAGATCTCAAAGGATTTTCACACATAGTGAGCTTCTCTACCCTGGCGATTGGGTATAATTATCAGTCCCATTTTATGGAGGAGAAATTCGCAAAGACCTGTCTAAGATCTAGCATTGCTGAATAATAATTTTCCAGCTAGCAAAAGCTTATCAAGTTTTTTCAATAACTTTCCAGCTAGCTAAAGCTTAGATATCAAGTATCCCTGTATTTCTACATTTACCATTACTCTCTTTCATCAATGCATTAAAATTTTCTCTGCCTTCTTAAACAGGATATATTCAACATAATTTCACTTTTAAAATGGAGGGTTCTAGTTATTAAAATAAATATCAATAATTATATGCTAACTTACTTTATTACTTCATAGATTATTTAAATTTCTAATTATTGGTATGGAAAAATGGCCTCAGATACGATTTTTGCCTTTTGCATTGCTGAATCATTATTCCTGAATTTATGTATCAGGGTGTGTGTGTGGTGTGTGTGTGTTTGTGTGTATGAAACTATATACCCACTTCATCCATGTGGTCATAATGGAAAAAGCCGTAATTGGGAAATATGATCTGCTCCCACATAGGACCATAAATGTTTGGTACAGGAGTGGGCACATGACTGAAGATGTGCACGCATGAGCGCTCACAGACACACACACGCATACACACTCACACACACACACTCACACACTCACACACACTCGCATACACACACACTCGCATACACACACACAGTCGCATACGCACTCACCCACACACACACTCTCTCACACACACACACACTCAATCACACACCCACTCACACTCATATGCCATCCAGGCTCAGCAAGCCTGCCTTTCTTACCACTCCTCTTTAATTCTACTTCTGATTTGCCTTGGACATAGAGCCTAATAAGCAAGTTGTGTAAAATAAGAGTTTAAAACTTTTGTGCTAGGTACTTTTCTATATACAATTCTATATGCAAAATTATAAGCTTTGATATATGGCTATTCAGAGACTCTTTCATGGAGTGTTAAGATTGTTGGATAAAGAAGCCCCAATTAAAGGAAGGTTGAGAGATAGCTACGTGCTAGGCAAGGACATGATTATATTTGTGCTCCACTCCATAATTTCTGGAAAAGCTCCCTCATTTTATCTGGAATTGTTCACCCCCTCTATTCATATGATTATAATTGGAAAAGCCATGGTTGGGCAATGTGATCCCCTCTTCCCATAGGGTCATAGAGGTTTGGTACAGGAGTGGGCACATGACTGGCATTCAGTTTCTTCCCTGGACATTTGAAATAGGAAGGGAGGGAGGGAAGAAGAAGATCATTCTCTTTCCAAACGGCCAGACCTGTCAAATGACAATTCTGAGAGCTGTAGGTCATATTTCTGTCATGTGAACTTCAAGGCAGAAAAGGCAATAAGAGAGGATGGAGCAGACGCACAGAGATGAGAAATAAGGAGAAGCCTGACAGCCCCCGAGAGTCTGGGTCTAGTCCCTTCAGGAGGCCCAGCTAAATCTTTGCCCTTGGATTCCATGAGATACCCATGCATTCTGAGGGTGATATTCAAAATAGTTAATATGAAACTGGGGGAGAAAATTAGAACAGACAGGGCCAGACACCTGGTACATGGTTCTAGAAGTCCACTGCCATTCCACACGTTCCCTCTTTTGCCATGAAGTACAGAGAGCCTGAGAAATCCCCAAGTGGCTGAGGCAGACAGGAGGCATTTGGGGGTGTCAGAGTAATAGGAACAGAGGTATTTTACAATGTAAACAACCAGTATCCCCAAGCAAGTGCAACCGGCTATCAGCCCTGTCTGTATTCTTACAAGAAATGCTGCTAAGCTAGTTTTAGTGGTTTCTGATACAATTTTAAGAGTCCTAAAGAATATGATTTGTGCTGTGTCATGGTTTGCCATCTATTTTGCTGACCAAATTTGATGGTAACCTCATAAAGCCTCGGGAGCTGGAACAAACCTTGAAATAATTGTCTAGTTTCCTAACCAAATTTATTCTTCATCCTAATAATTTATTGCAAGGTAGAAAAAAAACTGTGTCTTGTAATTCAATATAAGCATCAGAAATACAACTTACAAATTAACTTTTTCTTATTACAATGTAATATATGTTCATTGTAGAAAAAAGTTAAAAATATAGGTGAAGAAAGCAAAAAATTTAACACTCACTTATTCAACCACCAGTTAAGGAATAAAAATCACTACTAACTCCTTTGTATATATCCTGATTTCATGTATTTATATAATTCCTAGTTTTTGAAAGAATAATTTTACATGGGAACCATATTTTACTTAATGTATTATGATCTTTCTTTCTACAAAATCCAGGTTATTTAAAAAAATCTCTAGTCCTATATTTCATTTCTTGGATGCTCAGGCATTAGAGGGAACAAGGAGGACAGAGCTTCAGTGTTATTTGAGGTGCAAGGTTTATGTAGCTCTTTACTCCTTGCTCACAGTCCAGATCTCATGAGAAAAGGCTGAAAAGGTTGACCTTATTTCCCGGCAGAATTACTCATGTTACCACTTTTACTTAGGATGCTACTTAGCTAGTTGTGTCTGACTATCTGAGAAAGGATGAATTTACACATTCAGCAGCAGACACACTGAAATCAACAAAGTCCATTATTTAATCTCCAACATTAGCTTCTCATTGCAGAATGAGGGGAAGACGAATGAGTTATGGAACTTCCTATATCACTTAGCTTCCTTCACTTTTATCCATTGGGAAGTAAAGTTTTTTCAGTAAGAAAAGCAGTTTGCATTTAATCACCAAGACATATATCCAGAGTATTGTGAAAGTGATACAAATTGCTGGTGTTACAGAGGATGTGCCAGGTCAAAGGAAGTGGCAGAATGGAGAAGAAATGGAGATGCCTGAGGATTCCAATGGAGAGGTCACAGACAAAGAGTCACAGTCACAGTAACAAATGTTGGTGAAGATGTTGAGAAACTGGAACCTTCATACACTGCTGGTGGGAATGTAAAATGATGCAACCACTCTAGAAAATAGTCTGGCAGTCCCTCAAAGTGTTAAACATGGGGTTATCATATGGCCTGGCAATTCCACTCCTACGTATATACCCAAAAGAATGAAAGCTTACATATACACAAAAGCATGTACACAAGTGTTCATAGTAGCGTCATTCATATAGCCAAACAGTAGAAATAATCCAAATGTTCATCAACTGATAAATGGGTAAACAAAAATGTAATTCAAACAGTGAAATATTATTAAGCTACAAAAAGGAATGAAGTGGCCAGGCACGGTGGCTCACGCCTGTAATCCCAGCCCTTTGGGAGGCTGAGGCAGGTGGATCACCTGAGGTTGGGAGGTTGAGACCAGCCTGACCAACATGGAAAAACCCCGTCTCTACTAAAAATACAAAATTAGCCAGGCATAGTGGCGCATGCCTGTAATCCCAGCTACTCTGGAGGCTGAGGCAGGAGAATCACTTGAACCCAGGAAGTGGAGGTTGCAGTGAGCTGAGATCGCACCATTGCACTCCAGCCTAGGCAACAAGAGCAAAACTCCATCTCAAAAAAAAAAAAAAAAAGGAATGAAGTATTGACACAGGCTATAATATGGATGAACCTTGAAAACATTATGCAAGTGAAAAAAGTCACGAAAAACTGCATGATTTCATTTATATGAAATGCCCAGAATGGGCAAATTTATAGAGATAGAAAGTAGATTAATGGGCTGGGAAAATAGAGGAGGGGAAATGGGATTGATTGCTAGTAGGTACAAGATTTCTTTTGGGGATAATGAAATGTTCTAAAATTAATTGTGGTGATAATTACACAACTCTTATCTGTTGTACTGTATATCCTAAATGGGTGAATTGTGTGGTATGTAAATTATATTTCAATAAAGATTTTTTAAAACAAGAGAGAAAGTTATACTTCCACAAGTCCATTTCACCTTCCTCAACTTCTCTGGCTGACATCAAGCCCGTTGTACCAAGATACCAGTCTAGAAATAGTAGTGTGGTCTTTCTGTACAATGTTCAACTGTGAGTCAGGGCTTTAAAACAAAGCCCAGATGATAGACCAATATAGCAAACCAAATTTAGTCCTTGTTAAAAAATACCACAAATGGAAATGTTAGCTTTAGGGCCTCATGAGCTATTGCAACATAGTTAAAATTACTATAGATATGAGATCCGTCAAATGGATCAAACATTTGCCAGTCCCTGATTTGAGTTAAAGTCTTCCAAAGATCATAAGAGAATACAAGAGTAGTTTTTTAAGGCCTCAGAAAACAAAAAAAAAAAAAAAAAAGGAAGGAAGAAAGGAATGAACAAGAGAAGGAAAGACAAACGAAGATGTTCACTAAACAAATAAGTTCACCAAAGGGCTCAAATGCATTCTTCTTCTTCTTCTTCTTCTTCTTCTTCTTCTTCTTCTTCTTCTTCTTTTTTTCTGCTTGCCTTGCCTTGTCTTTCTAAAAGAATTGAATGGTCCTGGTGTTCAGGGCCCATGGGCCCCCTTTTGAGTTCTTCCATGGCATTTATACGGCCCTGTGAGAGTGAATTCTAATGACCTAAGGCCCTGCATAATCCAGCTTGTGCTCACAACTTGCTTCATCTCATTCCACAGCTGCCTGTGCACACCCCGCTCCCACACACCGGCTCCTTCCATTCCTCACATCTGCCAGGATCCCCTGACCTCAGGGCCTCTTACCATACTGGTCCCTCTGCCTGAATGCTCTTCCACACTCTTTTCATGGTTCCCTTGTTTTCATCCTTTAGGTCTTAGCTTAAATGTCATCTGTCAGAGAGGCCCTCCCTCACCACTGCATATGAATTAAGTAGGTTCCCGTGACAGTCTCTCATCTCATCCAATCAGTTTACTTCATAGTATTTATTGCAACAACATTCCACAAATAATTATGCAGTCCCTGCTTATGCACTTGGGTACTGTTTTAGGTGCTGGGGATACAGCAGTGTACAAAACAATTCAATCCGATTTGTTGTTTCTTGCTTCTTCGTTGTCTTCCCCATGAATCTAGAACTTCTTTGTAAGCAGGCACTGGCTGCAAGGGGAGACAGCATGGTGAAGTAATCTTGAGCAACAACTCCAAGCCAGAGCCTTGGTTAGAATCCTGGCTCTTATTACTTGGCCAAATGAATTAATTGCTCTGAACCTCAGTTTCCCCATCTGTAAAACAGGCATAGTGACAGTACCTTCTTCTTGGGGTTCTTATGAGGACTGCACAAGTTAGCATGGTTTAGTCACTTGGAATAATGCTTGGCAAATAGTAATCCCTATAAATATGTTTGTTAAAGTTTTTTGATTGTTGGACCAATACAGTACCTAACAAATAGTTGGTTTTTAGTTAAATGAATTAATAAATTGTGGTGCCTGCAGTTAAGCCTACATTTATAAGCAAGCCAAACAAGAAGACAGAGCAGATCAGCAAGAATAAAAGGCTCCCTTTCCTCTTGGAACTATTTATTGGAAGAAAGCCTTTGGTTTTATAGATAGAATGTGACATTTTTGGTCAACTCCAAAGAAGTGGCAGGATTTTCTTTGGAATTTGCTGGAAATATTGTGGTTGTTTTCTACTGAAAGAGGTTCTGGGGCTTTCCAGGGAGGAAGGGCTGTCAGCTCCAGCTGAGTCTGTCATCTGGCTTCCACTGTCACATGAAAGAAACTATCTGTCTCCAGGAGTTGGTGGAAGAATCACAAAGACACTTCCGTACTTATCCTCGATTTCTCCTGTCCTCTTCTCATTGCATACATCTACAATTTCTAATTTGATATATTTGTCCACTAGAAAATCAAGGTTGAGTTGTGAAGGAGCTAAATGCAAACTATTCTGATGGCATTCCCAGTAGCTCCTTCCAGTGAACGTTAGCTATCACATGTATGAAACGCAGCGCGTCAGCACCTGAATGTTCTGTATGTGCAAACTGCCAGGAAAGACAAAATCAAATAGAAGAATGATGATTCAAGTAATCAAAGCCATTGGGAGCCATTGGCAGGTATTTACCAGGATCCTACTAAGCTCTGGCATTTTTGAAGATGCCATGGGAAAGACCAAAAATACAAGAAAACAACACATTTTGCCACAGATTTGCCTTTAAGAAGTCAATAGTCTGTTTGGCTCAAAATTTTCATACATCAAAATGGGGGAAGTTTTATAAAGACGTATATATATATGTGTGATAGGCAGAATAATTCCCTCCCCAACTCCGTCCCCGCAAAGATGCCCACATCCTAGTTCCAGGAACTGTGAATATGTTAGGTTACATGGCAAAGGGGAAATTAAAGTTGCAAATGCAGTTAAAATTGCTACATCCATTGACCTTAACATGAGGAGATTATCTTGGATTATCCAGTGAGCCCACTCTAATCACAAGAATCCTTAAAAGTGGAAGAGGGAGGCAGAGGAAGAGAGCTAGAGAAAGAGATACGACTAACGACTATGGGAGTGGGATAAAGAGGTTATATTGCTGGCTTTGACGATGGAGGAAGGGGACCTCAGCAAAGGAGGGCAGGCCACCTCCAAAAGGCGGAAAAGGAAAGGAAACAGATTCTTCTTTAGAGCTTCCAGAGGGAACTCATCCATCCTGCCATCTGGATTTTAGCCCTGTTCAACTTCTGACCTGCAGAACTGCAAGATAATAAATTTGTGTTGTTTTGAGCTACAAAGTTTGTGACAATTTGTTAAAGCAGCAATAAAAAACTAATACAACATATCATAAAATCCTAAATTGAGTAGTATGAGAAAATAAATTAGGAAGCAGAAAGAGAGCAATGCTGGCTATAGTTAAAGAAAATGACAGAGTGAGTGCGGTTTGAGATTGCTGTTTTCACAGCTTGTAGGACAAATGTGGAAAGACAAAAGCTGAGAAAGGATATGTATCAAATCCACAATATCATGAAGGGAGCAGAGATTTTTTTTTTTTTTTTTTTTTTGCTAAACCCCAGATTATCAGAATCAGGAAGCACCTCTCTGAAACTTGAAAGAGGGAGCTTTAGGATGATGGAGAGGAGGGAAACAGAAAGGAAGAGAGTGGGGAAGAAGGAAGCAAGGAAAGAAAAAAAAGAGAGAGACGGGAGGAAGGAACTGCTTTATGCAATTTAAGACCTTTTTATCCTTTAACAGAACAGAAGCTGAAAATATTAAAAGCTTTAAACTTTTCAGATAAATGTAGGGATGCCAGATCCAAAATGAGTTCTGGGAAACCAAAATGTTTGGGGTGAAAATCAATCCTTTGTTGGATAATTTGCTCTCCCCTGGCCTGAGACACTAAATCCTGTCAGAGACAGACCTAGCTTTGAGCGACTTAGAGCTGACACAGTACGGCCATTTTTGTTCTTATCTCTGGTTCAAGGATTCCTTGGAAAATAACAAAGTTGGCTTAAGTGTTCCTCTGCCTCCAATCTATAATGCGCCTGTTTTTCTGGTCTAAAAAAAGCAATCAAGAAAGGTCCTCATGCACTCTTTTAGGGATGAAATTGAAACCTGAGGTCTTGACCAGCTCAGAGCTTCTTTCATGACTGTGGGGGTGTTAGTCACAGTTGTTCTCTTGCTGCACAGATATGTAATTATTCTTCTATAGAAACTCTTTCCCCCTCAGACTATATTCTCTGCTTCCTACTGGAGTGCCTTCCTCTGAGCTATTGAACAGCATTCTACTCTTCAGGATGCTACAAAATAACGGGAGGTGAAGTGATGCCTGTGGAACTTGCCAGGCCTCACTGGTTGTTGCATCCTGCAGCACAACCCACATTTGCACAGATGGAATACGTGGGCTCAGTTTGGATGTGTTGCAGGAGAAAACTGACCCTGCCAGCCCATGAAGCTGGACACTTGGGCGTTGAGGAAGGAAGCATTGGTGGGGGCATTACTGCAACTGTTTTCACAGTTATGGGACGAAACCCAGAGGCCAGATGCTCAGCATTACTCACCCTTGGAGTCTCCTGTGCTGACGTGTGATAATCTCCTAAAAGCCTGTGAGTCCAGTTAACCAGTAAGGTTTGGGAACTGGATATGGTGGACACCTTCTGATCCATAGTTTGACTAGACTCAAAAAAAAAAAAAAAAAAGGAGAACTTAACCTACCAATCTCATCCATTTGCTTTCCCATGGAAATGGTCACAGTGACTATAAAATCAGCTGTAATTCATTTTTAAAGCCAAGTAAGTACCTGTCATGTTTCCTTTTAAAATGATGGACTTAAAAATGTTTTAGGTTCCCAGCAGTTGTTCAAAAGCAGATAGGAACTATAACTGATACACATAGACTGCTAAAATAAAACCATTTTAACCATTAGATAAGGCAGGTCTGCCTCTTTTCACTTAAAGATGTCACTGGACATTTATAAAATTTGGGAAGTGGAGGGCTTCTTTGACCAACATTATTGACCGTCACTCTTACAGGAAGTAACCTTATTAACACCAAAGGAAAACCTTGGAGCTAGTTCAGTACGTACTTTATTTTATTCTATTTTTTTTGAGACAGAGTCTTGCTCTGTCACCCAGGTGGGAGTGCAAGTGGCACAATCTCAGTTCACTGTAGCCTCCACCTCCCAGGTTCAAGTGATTCTCGTGCCTCAGCCTCCCTGGTAGCTGGAATTACAGGCACAAGCCACCACGCCCAGATAATTTTTGTATTTTTAGTAGAGGTGGGGTTTCTCCATGTTGCCCAGGCTGGTCTCAGACTCTTGACCTCAGGTGATCTGCCTGCTGGCCTCCCAAAGTGCTGGGATTACAGGCATGCGCCACCATACCCAGCCTAGCAGGCATTTTAAATGGACTGTGTTATCAATTGAAGGCCAAAAGAGCAGTCGGAAACAAATGACCTTAAAGTGAATTTTCTGCTGTTGAAAAAAAAAGCCTTAGGAATTAGCATCTCTGCCCTGCTATTCCATTGATAGGGATTTCCACCGATATTCAAAGAACTTTGCTTTTTTATCCCTGCCACAATGTTTATTTCTATATCAACCACCAATATATTAGGCAATTTTGTGCATAAGGTCTTTCCTAAAGCTCGGCTCAGTTCTATTAACCTTTATGCAGTAATTTATAGCTAAGGTCTAAATGGCACTGGTGCATGTAAATAGTGTCTGTGGGCTCTGCCGTCATGAGGAAAGCACTGTGCTTAAGTGGCTCCAACACATTTGCTCAGAAAATTGTGGAAGGAACTGCTGCGATCTCTGTAGGAAATTATTTAGTGAAATTCTACAGAAGATTAATGTTGCCTTGTAACAGACTCTTTGTTGTGTTGAGTCTACAAGTTTCAGTGTGGAATCTAAGGCTTTTTTCTTTTCTTTTCTTTTCTTTTTCTTAACATCAGTCTCTGAGCTGCATCTAAAAAGAAGAAATTTTGGAAAACAGAAATCTGAGGGGCTTTCAAATTTCCTTGTGATTTGTCAGCAAGGATGAGTGAATTTGAGAACTCTTTCTACATTTTAATAGTGAATGCGCAGAAAGTAGAGATCCCCTTGGCCAAGTTGATGCCATGGAACAGATTCTTCAAACTTCCTTACAACCTTCCTTTTACCTTTCTCATCCAAAAGCAGTCTCTGTCTCTGACCACTCTGCAGACCTGACTATGCAGACTTATGGAGACCCTACGATATTCACCTGGCCCAGTGAATCCACTGTTCAAAGGTCTTCAGTACAGCCAACAAGAGCTAGAAGGTCAGTGTGGTCAGAGCATGGCAAATGGGGTAGGGAAGTGGAAGATCAGGCTAAACCCCACCCTTGGAAGGGCTTAGGAAGAAAGAGTTGGGTCATCTCAGCTTGTCCCCAGAGCAGCCAACATTCCGAACCAGTGGCCCTTTTCGGGGGTCTCAACCTGGGTGTGCCCTGAACCCTGCCAGACCTGCATTCCTGGGACCTGGCTAGACAACACTGTTCCAAAGTATAAGTGATGTACAGTCAATGAGGAGCATCAACACCGAATACAGTGTGTGGACCTGGCTTGAATCCTCATTTGAATAAACCAACTTTAAGTAGACATTCTTGGGACATTGAGGCAACAGGATTCAGACTAAGCAAAGATGAAATAAAGAAATTACTGTTAATTTGTAGGTTAAAATGGTGTTGTAATTGAGTAAGGAAAGTTCATCATTTTCTGAGTTTTTAAGAGTGAAATGTCATGATATCTATGATTCAAATTAAGTTAATTCAGCAAAATGTACAGGAGACATGGCAAAATGTTACTAATTGTTCTGCTAGGTGATATGTGTGTGGAAGTTATACTATTATTTTTACATTGTTTGGAAATACCCATAATAAAAAGTTTAGAACATAAAAAGGAAAAAAATACCATTAGTTATTAAACTACATACTTAAAGCCAGGGAGGAAGGACTGAGGGTTTGTAACCAAAGAAGTAAAAACGAGGTGCTTTTTTGTGAACAGAGGCAGCTTTCCTCCATCATTTTCTGCCTGAGGCACTGGTTTCTAGTCATTAATTTATTAAACATTAGTTAGAAACTACTTGGAGTGAGCCCCTAGGGGAGATAAAAAAATGAAGGATAAGACACCCCCTCCACCCTCAAAGAGTAAGAGTCTAGGAGCAGAGAAAGTATGCAGATTCCATAGTTGCACTCTGGAGCCAGACCACCTGGGTTCCGATTCCAGCTATGACACATACTAGGTGTTTATCCGTACCAGTTATTTAAGCTTTGTGTGAATACTAAGTGGATTTATCTTGTAGGCTGTCATAATCATTAAATGAACTAATGTAAGAAAAGTTCTTAAAATTAGTACTTTGTTTATATTTTAAAAAAAAAAGCAATATACAAAAAACACAGTGAAAGTTTTTCTAGAAAGAGATTTTGATATAATCCCAGTGGGGAGAATTCATTCCAGGATTCAGGGCACAATGTGAGCAAAGATTCAGAGAGTAAAGCATAAAGAGCGCTTTGGAAATAGCAACTAATCCATTGCAGTTAAGACTTTTGGGTCTGTTAAAAGGAGTGCTGAGAACTGAAACCAGAAAGGCAAGATGGGCCCGGATTACCCAAAGGGCCAAGAATACCAAGCCAAAGAGCTGTGGCTCTGTCCTGCACGCGCTAGAGGACCACCAAGAGTGTTTGAGCCAGGGAGAAGCATGAATGTTGGAGAAACACTAATTATTCCCTGTGTTTTAAATAATCACTGTGTTCATAGCAAGTGCCAGACATTGTGGGCAAAATGGTCCCTGCCCTCATGGAAGCTTCAGGTTAGAGGAGGAAGGAGATGTTAAATAACCGAACGAATAAGAGTTGTGAAGGAAAAGTGCAGAGTGTTCTGAGAGCTCGTAAGACACCTTAACGTAGATGGAGGGGTGAGGAAGTCAGGCTGAAGAGGTGACACCGGGCTGAGATGTAAAGATATGCAGGAGTGGGCCGAGTGGGCTGGAGAGAAGAGTTTGCTGGGCAGAAGAACAGGACGAGCATAGGCTCTGTGGCAAGAGGGGAAATGACACTCCAAACCTTCTGGGAAAAGGCCAGTGGAGGTAGAACCAGGGGCCTGGGAGATTGTGGTTTGAGATAAGAAAGTGTTAGGCAGGGTTAAATTACCCACCACCTTGGCCACACTGATTGAGCCAGGTATCAACACCTGGCCAAAAGACAGGCTCCTTTAGACTCCTCCGCCAGGTCATCATAAGGTGACCTCGAGTGACACCAGATAGTTATTGCCAGAACCAATCAATGCCTCTCTCTTGGGGAGTTTGAACGTGAAATAGACAGGGAGAAAAAGACTCAGGAATAGAGAAAAACAGACTGACAGATAAATAGAATACAGTGGCAATGCAGAAACAGACATAACATGAACCCTGTAGGCGATATTAAGGATCTTGGTCTTTATGTCAAGCACAAATACCGGTAAGAAATGATGGGGACTGAAAGAGGATTACAGAAGCAGAAATGAAGAAGAGGGGGTGGTAGTTTCAAAAATATGTCCATAAGGACACTTCTCACTTAATTCCTTCTTTTTGAGTGTAGGCTAGACTTAGCTGTTTCCTTTTAACAAACAGAATATGGTAAAAGTAATAGTGTGTGACTTCCAAGATTAGGTTCTAAAGAGGACTGCAGCTACCACCCTGAGCACATACGTTCTCCCCCAACCCACTCCTCCTCCTCTCCCACTACCCCTCCCCAAGTGGGGAAAGTAAACTGTCATGTGGTGAGAAGCCCTGTAGAGAAGTCCATGGTGAGGAACTGAAGCCTCCAGCCAATAGCCAGGAAGGAACTGAGATCTGCTTACAACAATGAGTGATTTTTTTTCTTTAATTTCCATGTTAATTTTAGATTCAGAGAGTACATGTGCAGGTTTGTTACAAGGATATTTTGCTTGGTGCTGAGGTTCGGGCTTCTACTAGTCGTGTCACCCAAATAGTAAACATAGTACCTAATAGAAAGTTTTCCAGCCCTTACCCCCCAAACTTTGAAGTCCCCAGCGTCTATTGTTGCCATCTTATGTCTGCGTGTAGCCAAGATTTAGCTCCCACTTATGAGTGAGGACATGAGATAATTGGTTTTCTGTTTCTATGTTAATTCGCTTAGGATAATGGCCTCCAGCCACATCCGTGTTGCTGCAAAGGACATAATTTCATTCTTTTTATGGCTGTGTAGTTTTCCATGATGTATATATACCATATTTTCTTCATCTCATCAGCCATTGATGGGCACCTAGGTTGATTCCATGTCTTTGCTATTGTGAACAGTGCCAAGATGAACATACGAGTGCATACGTCTTTTTGGTAGAACGATTTATTTTCTTTGGGGTGTATACCCAGTAATGGGATTGCACGGTTGAATGGTAGTTTAGTTTTAAGTTCTGTGAGAAAACTCCAAACTGCTTTCCACAGTGGCTGAAGTAATTTATGTTCCCACTCTGCAGCCTCACCAGAATCTGCTGGGTTTTGTTTTTTTTTTACTTTTTTATAATAGCCATTCTGGCTAACGTGAGATGGTATCTCATCGTGGTTTTGATTTGCATTTATCTGGTAATTAGTGATGGTGAGCATTTTTTCATATTTTTTGGCCACTTGTATGTCTTCTTTAGAGAAGTGTCTGCTCATGACCTTTGCTCACTTTTTTTTTTTTTTTTAATTAAACAGGGTCTTGCTCTGTTATCCAGACTGGAATGCAGTGGTATGATCATGGCTCACTGCAACCTCAAACTCCCGATTTGCCCACTTTTTAATGGAGTTATTTATTCCTTGTTGATTTGTTTAAGTTCTTCACAGATTCTGGATATTAATTCTTTGTCAGATGCATAGTATATGAATATTTTCTTCCATTCTATAGATTCTCTATTTACTCTGTTGATGGGTTATTTTGCTATGCAGAAGCTTTAGTTTAATTAGGTCCCACTTGTCAATTTTTGGTTCTGTTGCAATTGCTTTTGAGAACTTGGTCATAAATTCCTTGCCAAGGCCATTGTCCAGAAGAGTATTTCTTAGGTTTTCTTCTAGGATTTTAATAGTTTGAGGTCTTACAAAGTCTTTAATTCATTTGAGTTAATTTTTGTATATGGTGAAACATAAGGGTCCAGTATCATTCTTCTGCATGTGGCTAGCCAGTTTTCCCAGCACTATTTCTTGACTAGGAGTCCTTTCCTCATTGCTTTTTCTTGTGGACTTTGTTGAAGATCCATTGGTTGCAGGTATGCTGCATTATTTCTGCCTTCTTTATTCTGATCCATTGGTCTATGTCTCTATTTTTCTACCAGCACCATGCTGTTTTGGTTACTGTGGCCTTGTAGTGTAGTTTAAAGTTGAATAATGTGATGCTGCTGGCTTTGTTCTTTTCATTTAGGATTGCTTTGGCTATCTGGGCTCTTTTTGTTGTTGTTCCCTATGAATTTTAAAATAGTTTTTAAAATTTTTAAAATAATATTAGAGATAGGGTCTTGCCATGTTGCCCAGGCTGGTCTTAAACTCCTGGGCTCAAGCAATCCACTCACCTCAGCCTCCCAAAGTGCTGAGATTACAGGCATGAGCCACCCGGCCTGGCCAGTTTTTCTAATTCTATAAAAAATGGCATTGATCATGAGTGATCTTAAAAGTGGTTCTCCATCCGTAGTCAACCTTTAAGATGACTGCAGCCCCAGATAACAACTTGCCTACAACTTCATGAGAGATCAGCTAAGCTAAGCCACTCTCAGATTCCCAGCCTTCACAACCTGTATGAAATAATGGACATATTTTAAGCTGCCAAGTTTTGGCACAATTTGCTATGCACATTGCGTAATGAACACAGAGAGAGATGAATGAAATTCATATTATATAGGTGGAATTGCCAGGACTTTGTGATCATAGCTATTGGGTATAGAGTTGCAAAAGAAGTAAAAAGAATCCCGAGCTTTGGACTGGCTCACTGAGGTTCTATTTTTAGAGAAGGGGTTGGAACACGGGAGGAAGAATTTTGCGGAGAAAGAAAATAATTTCCATTTTGAACTCATTAAATTCGAGAGGCTGATGAGATTTTCAGGTGAATATGTCCCCTGGAGATTTGAAAATATGGCAGGGTGTTAGAGTGGAGAGGGCTGTATGGATAGATATCACTGGGGTAGAGGAGAACCATGGCAGTGGAGGGTATTTCCAAGGAGAACAAGGAGATAATAAAGGCAGATGAAGGACAAACAGCAAGAATTAGATATATTTTTGGTCCCAAAAGTGGAAAAAGAGAAGTAATGCTAAAAAAAAAAAAAAAAAAGAAAAACGGTAAAAACTCTAACGAGAGTTTTGATAAGAAGATATTCAACAGTATCAAAAACTATAGAAAGAGATCCCTATGTCTGGAAAGTTTGGCCTCACATTATACATCTGCATATTAGATTATCTATAAATCTCCTAGTTGGGGTAAGTCAACACTGGCTGCACAGATTAAATCAAATTTCAAGAGCTACAATGCAAAAAACAAGAACTGAATTGTGGTCACCCCAGCAAAGCACTGGCCACCATGTGAAGCTCCCCACAGGTGGTCTATGTGTCTTTTTACAATACTCCTCTCAAATTACAACAGAAGGGACGCTCATGGTTCTCTCTAGACAACCTGCTCGTTTTAGAACGGGGGTTTTTCAAGTTGCAAAATATGGAGACCTTCTCGTTTACTCCAGGATAAAGATACTTAGGAGGCTTGAGGAAGCAAAGAAAATGGTTTCTGGGGCTACATGTGAGGCCTCATGGAGAACTGGAACGTGGTTCAGGATGAAGCAGCAGTTTCTCCAGCAGCCTGCCATTTCTGAAGCATCTCCTCCACTGAGTCCTTTCTCTACTTGCTGCTTCTTCTTAATCTTCTGCTAGCAGATGCCTTTCTATGCCTCCATTCATATCCTCTTCTACTGAAGTCATTACTTGCTTCATAGTGTCTGCTCACTGCCTTCTTTCCACGTCTCTCAGTTTCTGTGTCAACACTGGACTGCTGTCTATCAGTTGTCTGCTTTTCTCTAACTCTCTGTTCATCTCTGTCCCTAGTTCAAATCCCCCAAGAGTGGCTTTGACTGGTTCAGAAAGTCCCTATCCAGTGCCACCTTAGGCCACCTCCTAGGGGCTAAAAGCCTAAAGCAGTGTGTCTTTTGGTCAGTTGTTAATTCCTGGTTCAACCATTCGTCGCCAAAATGGTGGGGGAAGTGGATATCGAAGGCTAGAGAATTCCCTGTGGTCCCTTTTCCCCAAAAGGAGGCAGTGGGCCTGGAAGCTACTTTGTCTTAATGATGTTTCAAGTAGTATCCCCCAGTGAGCTAATGGTTTAAAACTTCCTTTTCTGAGTACAGATTCCTTCTAGAAGGGTTTTTATCTTTAATATTAGCTCAATTTAGAGCAACAACTACTTGTGGTACTAACCCTGAAAGCAGCACATGCTGGTTGCTTACTGACGAAAAATCAAAGGTAAAGACAGAAAATACCGGCTTAACAAGGCTTTGATAAACTGAAAAAGCCTAAAATTATTTCCGTGAACTCTGCTAACAGTAGCCAGTTAGTTCCTGCTCTTCATTCGTATTCATTCATTCATCACCACCTAGTTAGTAGGTATTCTTCTAGTGTGAAGAAGAAGCTGCTTAAGACAGAAATCCTACCCTCAAGGAGCTGACTCCCCAAGACAGGAGAAAGCAGGTACATCTTTCTTCTCATCTCTCTCTTCCCCAGTTCAACTCTCTCTTTCCTCCCTTCCCCTTTACTTCATGAATTTTTTTTGTAAATATGCCCATTCATAGTCAGTTCCTTCCTTGCCTGTGTTTCCTTTATTTATTTTTTTTATGTTTTAGAAACAGAGTCTCACTCTGTCACCCAGGCTGGAGATTCATCATAGCTTAATGCAGCCTTGAACTCCTGGGCTCAAGTGATTCTCCTTCCTCAGCCCCTGGAGTCGTTAGGACTATAGGCACATGCCACCATGCCCAGCTAATTAAAAAAACTTTTTTTTGTAAAGATATGGGTCTCACTATGTTGCCCAGGCTGTTCGAGTTGTCTCAAACTCCTGACCTCAAGCAATCAGTCCTGCCTTGGCCTCCCAAAGGGCTGAGACGAGAGGCATAAGCAACCCCACCCAGCTGCCTGTCCTTCCTTACTGTGTTGTCAAGGATTCATAGGAGCCCTCACAGACTCTGCCTTACCAAACATGTAAAAAGTAAACGTGGCTGGAAGAACACACACCAAAAGATCAACAGCGATTACTCCGGGGAGGTAAGCAGGATGGGGCAGGAAGTGGATGGTTTTTAATTTACATACCTTTATAGTGTTGGAATTTTTTTTTCTTTTCTTTTTGAGACAGAGTTTTGCTCTTGTTGCCCAGGCTGGAGTGCAATGGCTTGATCTTGGCTCACCACAGCCTCCGCCTCCCAGATTCAAGTGATTCTCCTGCCTCAGCCTCCCGAGTAGCTGGGATTACAGGCATGCACCAACACGGATGGCTAATTTTTTGTATTTTTAGTAAAGACGGGGTTTCACCATGTTGGCCAGGCTGGTCTCGAATGTCCGACCTCAAGTGAACCGCCCGCCTCAGCCTCCCAAAGTGCTGGGATTACAGGCGTGAGCCACTGCGCCCGGCCAGTGTTTGAATTTTTATAAGCTTTTGTTTAGAGATTACTTATTATACTAGAAAAGTAAGTTAGAAGTAAACATTTTCTATTAAAAAAATGAAAAGAAATGAGAAGGAATGAACAACTGTGAACAAATGAAGTGGGTAAAATTTTCCACGGCCCTACCTCAAGGTTACTTTGGTTTCTTTTTTGTTTTTTGACAATCACTAAGGAAGCTCTGTGGAGTGAAGGAGGAACATCATCATCTGCAAGTGACTCAGAAAAAATCTCTTTTGTCCTTTAGATTTGTTTAATTCATGTAGATTGCTTTCTTATTCTTGAAATTCAAGTGACCGTATTCTTACTTTACTATAGAAAAGCAATTGACATGATAAAAATAAGCAAGCCATTTGGGACGTTGAGATTTTCGAGGTAGGTAATGGAAAATTTGGCGGTGAGGGGTCAACAAGGGATGATTTTTCCTAGACGTGTGAGCTTCCTGTAATGTGGAATGTGTACGTGTGAAATCACCAGTCTCTATATTTGCAATAACTTAATAACATGACGGTTCCTCCACCCGTCCTCTTTCCCCACACTGAGTTCCAGTTTCACACTGGGATACTCATTGTGAAGCTTTACAAAGAAAGGAGGAAGTAAACCTACCAACAAGGCAGCAATGTGTTTCAAATGCCACATTCTTAACAGATGAAGGTTTTTTTCATCACACTGATTAGCAATGCCACATGAGTCAAAGTGGATGGTCCAAATCTTGTATTTAATTTTCTTCTCGTGTCCTGGGCCTTTCAAATTTATTAATTATTGTTTACAAGGCCTTGCCTTGCTGGCGTACATTTAGCAGACACTACAATCTTAGCAAGGGTCAGCTTTATCTTGCTGCAGGGTTGCACCTGCTCCCTCAACTGAACTAAAAAGGAAGTAAAAATGTGGTATTTAAGTGGCCACAGCCTTTTGTCTGATGCAGGAAAGCAACGAGAGCTTCTGTTTCTTCACCGTTGTTCATGCTAAAGGGTCTCCAAGTGTATAACACTTAGAGGAATTAGTTTCCTGCTCCCTAAAAGCAAAGAGGTCCGCAGAGAAGAGACAGCAGCTGGCCAGTGAGTCCCAGTAATTCCCAGCAGCACACCAGGGTCTAACAGAGGAGACTACTGTGTTTGAGGAAACTGACGGGATCTAGAGAGAAACCAATGCTTAATGTTTGTCTATCATTCCTCCTAAAAATTAGGTAAGAGCAAAAATAGGCAAATTGCTGCTTGAGGAATAACTAATTTAGTAATAGTTCAGAATAATGCATTGCATTGCCCTTAGATTCAAAGTGGTGTTTTAAGTGACATTCTATTAGCAGAGCCTGCCAGCTGACAAAACTTAGGTAGTATTTGGCTCCCTAAGAGAAGGCAAACCATGAGCATGTGGATTTTGTTTTGTTTGGTTTTGTTTTTTTGAAGACGGAATCTCGCTGTGTTGCCCAGGCTGGAGTTCAGTGGCGCCGTCTTGGCTCACTGCAACCTCCGCCTCCTGGGTTCAAGTGATTCTCCTGCCTCAGCCTCCCAAGTAGCTGAGATTACAGGCTCGTACAACCATGTCCAGCTAATTTTTTTTTGTATTTTTAGTAGAGACAGGGTTTCACCATGTTGGCTAGACTGGTCTCCAACTCCTGACCTCGGGTGATTCACCTGCCTCAGCCTCCCAAAGTGCTGGGATTACAGGCGTGAGCCACCACGCCCTGCTGCATGTGGATATTTTAATTAAAGTTGAATACAGAACTCATTGTGCTTGATATTGAACTTCCTGGGACTACCGTGGCCCACTACTTGAATCTTAGTCCTGACATTGTTAAATGCAAGCAGCTCGGGAGAATGTGGTGGCTTGCTTCAGAGAAAGAAAAAAAGCACTTCTGACAAAATCCCAGAAGCTAAGGTTATTCACGGTTATAAAAGCAGTAACAAAAGTTTTGAATGTTGGTTCTACTGTTTACAATTTTAGAAAAATGTTGTTCGCCTGTCCTTTGATTTTATGAGGCAATTTTGAAAAACATCAATCAAAGAACTGCTCTGAATCTCCAGGTGTGAAAACAGGGGATGACAGGAAATCCAGATGGTCAAATTATGGGCAGAGGTTTTATATTTGTGATTGGTAGAGAGAAGGAGGCCTGTGTCTGAGGCACAACAGATGGGAAACAACCAACTTCATCACTTAAAGAATTATCCTCACTCTCACCCCACAATCTGGAAACAAGTGACAGTGTTGCTCTGCGTAAAGATAGCAGACCTCTTCCAGATTAGGGGGACTTAACAGAGCCGTTTAATTACTTTTTGGGTTAAGAAGTTGCCATCATTATCTCCATTAGTTAATAAGAGACTTACTGCCAGTGACTAAAAAGAAGTAATTACTATTATAATTTTTTAAAATTACACATACATTTCACAATTCTTTTTTTTTTTTTTTTTTTTTTTTTGAGATGGAGTCTCACTCTGTCACCCAGGCTGAAGTGCAGTAGCACAATTTTGGCTCACTGCAAGCTCTGCCTCCCAGGTTCATGACATTCTCCTGGAGAAGAGGAATATGGTATCAAACATCAAAATTTACTAAAGCGGCCAGTCTAGCAGATCATTCAGTCTTTGGAATTCCTTTTATTTATCTTTGAGTTCAAAATTCTGACCTATGTTTGTCTCAATTTAGATTACTGCTAAAATGGAGAAAAAATATGGCACCCATGAAGCCGCTGAATTAAAAGAAAGCATAAACTAACCTTTAAAAATAGTTTGAATTAAGCTTCTTTGGAAAGGGAGATTATAAGATTGGCTAATGCTCAAAAATGGTAATTTTCCTTTGTTTAACTTAAAGTAATAATTTATCTCAAAATAACATCACAGTTACTTGTAAAGATGATGGTATCTGGCTTTTCATTTGGAAGTGTTTTCCAGAAAGCAACTCAGGAATGTACAAAGTTAAACCTATATACACACCAGGTGTATGCGGTCAGGGGTACGCTTTGTTTACCTGTAACTGATTTTAACTTCTTTTAAAGTTAAAATTGAATTGCTCTTCTTTTAAAGAAAAATGTGCATCACTTTCATTTCAGTGGAGTTTTTTGTTTAACTCAAATAAAAAAGATAACAAAGAACTAATAGCCATATTCAATTGTTTAAAATCTTACAAATTAATGAAAAGATAAACAAGAAAAAAATTATGTCAAAGGACATAAATAATTTTGAAATGGCCAATAATCATTTGAAACAACATTAAACTTCATTAAGAATCTAAGGAGTACAAATTATAACAAGTATAAGATGTCATTTTTCACTAGAGCAATTGGAAAGAAAAATTTTAAATACTTAATGTTGGGGAATGTATATAAAAATAAGTGCAAGGATATACACTGCTAGTATAAATGTAGTGTGAGTGCGTGTGTGTATATATACATCTACATATATACCTTCTAAAAGGTATTGATTCAAATTTATTATATATACACATATATTATATAAGTATTATTTATATGAACATATACAAATATATGTATATGTATTTATCTAGATACATAATAAATATTATAAATATATTTATATTTATTTATATTTAGTGGACAATAATCATTTGAAACAATGTTTAGCTTCATTAAGAATCTACGGAAGAATGTTCCTGAAGGTTCTTCATGGAATGAAGAAATGGAATGGACCATGAAGAAATGGTCTTCATGGAATTCCCAGCATACCTCATACCAGAGAGAGAGAATATAACATCCGTTGTTCCCCATTACTATTCTCATTACATTAAGGATGAACAACAACCAGGAAGCGCAAAACTCTGGCAGCCATAAGCATATCTGAATATGTGATTTCTAATATTTATTTCCTATGTGATACACACACACTCACACACACACAGACACAGAGTCATGTGTGTTTTAAAGCCTTAGATGGGTGCATATTCTTTGATTCAATGACTAGATATCTAGAAATTTATTCAGAAATAATCACAGATATGCTCAAAGATATAGCTACAAGGATGCTCATTAGACAGCTATCAAAAACATTATCAAAAACTTGGAGACAGCCTAGATATCCAAAAATAGAGGGTTGCTTAAGTATGTTATAAAACATTTATACAGCAGAACACTACGCGGAGGCAGAGGAATATTTAATGTTTATAATACATTAAATGAAAAGGGAGCCAGGCATAGTGGCATGCACCTGTAATCTCAGCACTTTGGGAGGCTGAGGTGGGAGGGTAGCATAAGCCCAGGAGTTCAAGGTTGCAGTGAGCCACAATTGTGCCACTGCACTCTAGCCTGGGTGACAGAGTGAGATCATGTCTCAAAAAAAGAAAGAAAGAGAGAGAGAGAGAAAGAAAGAAAGAAAGAAAGAAGAAAGAGAAAGAAAGAAAGAAAGAAAGAAAGAAAGAAAGAAAGAAAGAAAGAAAGAAAGAAAGAAAGGAAGAAAGAAAAGGAAAGGGAGATTTCAACACTATTGCATCACTTCAGTTTTGCATTTACACAGTGAAAATTATAGTAAAACAAATCATGCTATTGGTGGTTTATCTCTGGGAACTGGGATTATTGGTGATTTTGATTTTATTCCCATTGTTTACCTGTCTTTTCTATAATTTCATAAAAAAACAGCTTTGTTGAGATGGCATTCACATATCATACAACTATTAATTTTCTTTTTTTTTTTTTTTGACATGGAGTCTTGCTCTATCGCCCAGGCTGGAGTGCAGTGGCGCAATCTCAGCTCACTGCAACCTCCACCTCCCAGGTTCTAGCAGTTCTCCTGCCTCAGCCTCCCAAGTAGCTGAGATTACAGGCGTGCACCACCATGCCTGGCTAATTGTTTTGTATTTTTAGTAGAGATCGGCTTTCACCATGTTGGCCAGGCTGGTTTCAAACTCTTGAACTCAAGTGATCTGCCTACCTCGGCCTCCCAAAGTGCTGGGATTACAGGTGTGAGACACCACACCCGGCTATTACTTTTATAATTAAGAAAAAAAGCAATAAAATTATTCTTACTGATTGAGGTAAACCTCTTTTGGGCAAATAATTAATCAACATGTCATCTCAATTATTTTAATATTGGGTTCATAGCTAGCATTTATCCAGCACTTTAAATTTTGCAATGCACCTTTACTTTTACACAAGGTTCTTCTAGCCAAGTAGACCTCATTGCACATAAACAACTAATGACCTACACCTGTTAAGTTGCAAGCAATTAAGTCTTGTTGGGGGTCTTTGCTCCCTTTTAATGGAAATTATACTGTGAATAAGACGAGAGAAATATATGTCATGTCTGTCTTTCTGACACACTGTGGGTTTTCAAGGGATTCTCAGCATGACTCCTACCAGAGAGAGAGAGAGAAAGAGAATATAACATCCGTTGTTCTCCGTTACTATTCTCATTACATTAAAGATGAACAACCACGCAGGAAATGCAAAACTCTGGCAGCCACAAGCATATCTGAATATGTGATTTCTAATATTCATTTCATTTTCCATTAACACACAAAACTACCTTATTAAACGTGAATAAAACCTGCATCCAGAGACACTTAAAATGTTGGCCAATTCCTCACTGAAAGGACCTTAATGATGGTGGGAAGCTTGAAGAGGGGCTTGGAGAGAGGTTTGCAGGCTTCGGGTTGCCAGGGACACTTACCTTCTTGGCTTCAGCACATCACACAGTCTCAGACGGCAGAAAGAGCCAACGCGTTGGAAAACAAGGGTCAGTACAAGGGTTAAATGAAAGTGAAATCATGCTGACCCAGAAATGCAAATCGGTGTGCCTTAGTTCTCTGTAGAACTTGTGTTGCCTGAACACTCTATTCTTTCTTCAGATTATCTAGTGTCCCAAGAGAGGCTTCAGCGATTTCGAGAACAGTGATGCAATGTGGAGAGACGCGGCAGGCAGCGGCAGAATCTAATTGCATTTGAGAAGCATCTCCACAATTTGTAGTGGCCTTCTCACAGGGAAAAGCGGGGGGCCGGTTTTGAAGTTGATTTCCTTTTCTTTATATTGCTTTTACTATCCTTCTCAGCTCAGATTCAAAGCTCAAAATGGGAGGTGATTTTTAAACTGTCTTTTAACCCATCATAAAAGGAAGAACATGCGCACTTAGAGATTTATAATTCTCATCTGCATTGTGTTCTCTAAAGTTGCAACGTGTACAGGAAGCTCCTGGTTGCTGATAGAAAGCTGCTTGAAATATAAATTTCAGGTACACAATGTGGTTCTCATCACGAACGGAATTAGAAGGGAGAGAAGAAGGGAAAATGGAGGGAGAGAATAGGGGCGAGGGGACAGAAGAGAGGTGATAAATCAGAGATGAGTGCCGATTTTAAAGAAAAAACAGAAGCTGAGAACTTATTAGAGGGACTCAGGATAGAAAATTGAACAAGGTAAGCTAAGAATAGATGGCAAAGGGATTATGAATGTGGATCTAGAGCCAAATGGCTTGAATCTGAACCATCACTTAATTTCTAGACAACTTTAAGCAACCTACTTACCCTATTTGCCTGTGCAAACCAGGCTGGGCGTGGTGTGAGCCACCGTGCCCAGCCTGGTTTGCCTTCGTTTTAAAAAATAATTATGAGAAGTCAAGTTCTGAGACTTGCATACATGGTACTTGCTGTTTTTCACTCCTTGCACAGGGAAATCTACATTTGATGGTCCAGTTTACAAACTTTTAGGATAAGAATGCAATACAGATTTTGCAAATAATTCTTAAAGACCTCCTTTACGTAATGAGCTATGGAATACAAAGATAAGTGAGACATTGTCCTTGTTCTTAAGGAGTTCGAGGTCTAGAAGGAATGACAGATCTGTATTAAAGTCCCAGGAGGCGGTATATAATAGCTGGTCAGGAGGAAAACTTTCAAGTCTGGAAAGAGCAGTTCCTAAGTTTCAAATTGGAAACTGAAACATGAGTACTGCTTTTAAACGCAAGGCCAGCCCCATGTTTTGCAGGTAAAGGATCCTACTTAAGTTTGGGGCTGGAAAACCAGCTGAATAGATACTGTCTCAACTCCATGACAGAAGATAAATGTACTATCAGGGTCCAGATATAATAAACATAGGCAGACAAAAATCATTATTAAATTGAACTGGGTTTTTTTTTTTTTTTTCCCAGGGGGAGGGGTGTGCCTGAAGTGTTAAGCCTAAAAAACAGTATTTCCCAAGGAAAAAAGATGTCCTATTATTAGCATCAAATTAGAGAACTATTTGTACAGCCAGGAAAGTCATGGATATTGTGTCACATGGTTGACATCCATGGGTTTGTCTCATAAAAGTAACGTGAAAAAAATCCACAGAATCCCACCTGGCACTAGGAAGGCTATGAGCTTTCAGCATCAGCTCTCCAAGGAACTGCAAACTCAAGGAGCCAGCTTACCTCACGTGTTCCTGCACTTTGTAAAATTTCTTCAGAAATTTAAATTAAAACCGGTTCTTTAGTAATAATCCTTGTTTTCATCTTTGTTGCTTTCATCTTTGCAACAATTTAAACATGTTGTTCATTTTCTGAGTGTCTGCCATGAGACTGGGAAATTAGCTATATTGAACATAAAGCAAAGCTAATTCTAGGAATTTCCAAAGACAAAGACAATTCCTAGAACGTCTTTCTATCAGGGAAACTTGAGGGTAAGTTCCAGAGAGTTCACTTTCCAGATGGCACTGTCCTCCAATAACTGAAATGATTAAGGCCTGAATATTTGCTGAATTGCTTGAAATAAGAGCCTAGCCTTTAGCTAATAGGTTCTGTCCGTCAGTCTCCTGAGTTAACGAGTTATTGGCTTCTACTTCTCTTTCTAGCAGGTTAGTGCTACTAAGTAGAAAAAGTAATTATATTAATGGAAAAATCAGTGTCCAACACATTCTCTAAGACCTGACTCAAATGTCACCTCCATTACTGCTTCCCTGGTCTCTATACACGGCTCTTTTGGAGTCTTTGTCACATTGAATGGAAACTGTTTCCAGGGTCCATGTGCTCTTCTATATCATTGGCTCCTCAAGGGCAAGTATGGGAACATATGCATTTTGGGGACATAATGCCTGATACATAGTAGGCATTCAATCTGAATTAAATGAATAAAAGTCAAACAGGGAGAAAACAACATACTAACAAAATCAGCGAGACAAGAGGCCCAGAGAAGCAACAAAATCCCACCCACCCTTCACAAGGGCATACACAAAGAGAAGAGCAATGAGAGCTACTTGAGATTGTGGTGACACATCCAGTAGGCTGCTGAAGAAGTTGAATGTCACCCATGAACAGGTGTGAAAGCCAGTCCTTTCTCCCTGCAGCCTGCCACTTCTCTTTGCAGGTGACCTTGCCTTGCTATTTCCCCTTGGCTCTGGCCCTACTGGTCAAGGCGACGAACAACTCTAGAGGCTGGATGTGTTATCTGGGGCGAGTCTCAGGCTCATGCCCAGGGAATACATATATGGCTGGGGTATGTACCTATTATCCCATACATAATTAGATATGTATTGGAGGTCCTTGTTGTTTTTTGCTGAGTTTTAATGGAGAAGGGAGAGGAATGGGTTTTACAGGCAAAATTCTCCATGAATGAACAATGTCGCCTCTGAATGGGCCACACGCTTGAATTAATATATCTAGCTGCACAGCCTCCCAAAGATACACTATGAAGTTTCATCACCTCATTATACAAGCCTTTATCAAGCAAGAAGGAGGGGTTGTAAACTCTATACCAAACCAGAGTTTCAAGAAAATCTTACATCTTTTTACTCCGATGCTTTTCAAAGAAAATTTGTGTCTTTGTAAACACTCCTGGTGGTTGTGTCTGTAAACATAATTTTTAAAGCAATCTTTTAGATTAGACATGGATAAACAGTGCCAGAAATGGTATATAATGTTTTAAGTTCTAACGTTAGCATTCATTTTAGTATTTCCACTTCTAGGAACAGACATTCTTGAAAAGTTTTCTTCATTTTTTAAATTGGGAATCAAAAATTTTAGAGCTAGCAAGGGTCTCGTCAGTTATCTAGTCCAACGTACACAGCCTAGACTTTCTCCTGCGGCACAGAAGTAGAAAGAAACAAGTTCACCAACCTTTGTACTGTCATGAATCTAATAAACAGGATTTGGCCAGGCGCAGTGGCTCACGCCTGTAATTCCAGCACTTTGGGAGGCCGAGGCAGGTAGATCACCTGAGGTCAGGAGTTTGAGACCAGCTTGGTCAACATGGTGAAGCCCCGTCTCTACTAAAAACAGAAAAAATTAGCCAGGCGTGGTGGCGGGCACCTGTAATCCCAGCTATTCAGGAGGCTGAGGCAGGGGAATCACTTGAACCTGGGAGGCAGAGGTTGCAATGAGCAGAGATCATGCCGCTGCACGCCAGCCTGGGCAACAAGACCAAAACTCCATCTCAAAAAATAATAATAATAATAAACAGGATTTGATTACAGATTAATGAAAGGTAGTATTTTCCAAAATGCATTTCATATAAAACTAGAAATTTCTGAGATAATATTTTTAAAGATTATGTAATCAAGTAAGTTTTACAACTACAAGGCTAAACAAAATTTTTAAAGCTCTTTTGATTTATTTAAAACTGTCAGACTTCTCAGAACCTTTAAGACATTAATGTGTACACCATGAATATCCATGAAAAAGGTAAAGCATGCAATGGAAAGGGCCCCCAAACTCCCTTTTTTAATAGATCAAAGTTCAGGAAAACTGGCTACAAGGTGTTCAGCTCTAATATGTAATTGCAATTTGTGGTAGCTATTAGCTTCTAACCATAGACATAGAATGTAAATTTGTCCTTGAGCTTCCTAGTAGCCAACGCAAAGATGTGATACATTAATAGATTAAAAGTTCATGGTGTTCATCCAATGAAAACAAACCGGTTATGTATATAACTATGATTTGGTAATCAAAATAATATTAATAATACTTTTCTAAAATAACAGAAAAAATTTAAAGAAAAAAACAGTTGTTCCAGAAACAATAACTATTTTCAATACTGCTCCTCAAGGGTGTTCATAAAGAGGATCAGGATGGCAACCTTAGCAACACCCCTCTTCAGTGCATAAAATAATCAGTTTGCAGACAGTCTGATTCTTTTCTGGCATATTGCCACAGGGCAATTCAGTGGAAACAGGTGTACAAGAAGTCACTCCAGCTGCCACATGTTCATAGCTCTTAGTTGTCTAACTTAACCCAAGATTCTAGGCCCACTCTGCCACTAACCAGTCATGCCTGTCTCTAAGGATGAATCATTTGCCTACTGTGGAGTTGAACTAGATGTTCCCTGAAATTCTGTTGCACAGTTCTAGAAGTCTAGAGGATCTATTTCTTTTTTTTTTCCAGAAAAAAAAATTCAAGCTTCCAGTGTCCTTTAAAAGTATAAATCGAACCCTGTATGTATATGTGACTTAAGTAGTCACACTCATAGGGGATATGTTTAACACATCACTACATTTTTTTTTTCTTTTTTTTTTTTAGAGAGATGGAGTCTCACTATATTGTCCAGGCTGGCCTCAAACTCCTGGGCTCAAGCCACCCTCCCGCCTCAGCCTCCCAAAGTGCTAGGATTACAGGCATGAGCCACTGTGCCCAAACGCATCATTATAACCTTGAGTACATTGTCAAAAATTTGGAAAAACTAAAAGAAAAAGAGAGAAACTAAGAACAGAAGTAGGAGAGCCCCCAAAATAATTCTATCCTCTTCAGCATTTTGCTTTAAATCAACCTTAGTTTCTTTAGGAGGCTTTATTAATAATAATAACAGAAATAATTATCATAATTTGCTTTAAATCAGCCTATAGTTTCTTAGAGGATAGCAATAATGGTGACAGAAGCAGCAGCAAGCACCTATCTGGGGCTTCTTATGTATCACATCCTATTGTAAGCATTATATATAATTACACCTTTAATTCTCACAATAACACAGAAAGGTAGATACTATTCCTACCCTATTTCACAGATGAGGAAGTTGTGATTCTGAGGAGGTGAATAACTTGTCTAAAGTCATGTAACTGGGAGCAGCAGATCAGGAATTCAAGCCGGATCCAGAGTCTGAGGTTTAACTAGCACACGCTGCTGCCTCCCGGTGAGTTCCTGCGGTAGGTGACTGCTTGCTGCTGGTGTAAGAGGTGCCCGCTCTCCAGCTAGACCTTAGATATTAGAGAAAGCACCTCCTCTCAGAATAAGACTTTGTTGAAAAATAAAGGCGGACTTTCTAAGAAGAGCAGTTCCATAAATGCAGAGAATAATAAATATTTTAATGGTTGATGATTATTATTCCAATAATATTAATAATACAAGAGAAAACAATTCCGCAGTTCTGTTGAAAAATTAAAGGTAGCTTCCACCACAACAATACAGTAGTTATTAACTCTTTGGCAAAGCTTGAACCAACAGACCGCACCGAAAGTCAACAGACTTCCGATTGCAAGGTGAAGGGAACAAACTTCACAGGGAGCAAACTGTTGGGGAACAAAGGAAACCTTTGTTTCACTCTCAGATGTGCAACTGATGTGCAACTTGTGCACAGACACCGGGGTGCCCACGCTGTCTTTCCTCCAGGTTAACACAAGACACTAGTCTTTTCTCCAACACCTCCCCTTTCCTTCCAGCCCTTCTCCCTTCTCTTCTCCTCCCCTCTCCTTCCCGGTCAGCATGTTCTTTCCTATTCAGGGACATAGGAGAGGGGTCTATTTGATAGTCTAGCACCATTCTAACATAGAATCACATGTTGTAACCACACATTCAGGACACATGTTTCATACTTCTAAAACCCTTCATTAGAGGATCTCAAAGCACTCTTCAAACAGTAATTAATCATCTCCTCCTATGAATGTTTTCCTCCTAAAAGCTAGAAGTAGAAACACAACAATTATATGACTTACTCCTCAAACTACTACCAGCATATTCATTGAAATAATTCCTAAGCCACCTCCCCAACACACACACCCACACTCACATGTACACCCACATGCAGAGAGTAGAGGAAGGGGGAGAGAGAAACAAAGAAAATTTTTTAAATGGTGGCAAGGCCGTGAAATTCTTCACTCCTATCTTCACAGCAGAGGTGGGGCCCAGGTCATCTGTACACCGTAAGTGTCAATAAGGACCTAAAGTTTTCTGGCACACCATTAATAGGATGAGTGGGAATCTACTTCCATTTGTGAAGTTGCCTGTCTTCTCATATTAACCCCTCTTCTCTAAGCCATCCACACCCTGACTAGTAGAGACTTCTTAGACAAACCAGGCTTTTCTCATCTCCTACTCCATTGTGTAGTCCTGAAGTGCTGAGCATCTCCCATAAAGAACTATGCATTTCAGAACTGGGTAAATTGGTTCTTCAAAGTGGGTTATTTTCAAAATTAATGAAACATGTTTGGCCCATTAGAGTGAGCTACAAAATCTAGGAAATTTTCTTTTTCTTTTTCTTTTTCTTTTTGAGATGGAGTTTCACTCTTATCACCCAGGCTGGAATGCAATGGCGCAATCTCAGCTCAACCTCCACCTCCTGGGTTCAAGTGATTTTCCTGCCTCAGCCTCCCTAGTAGCTGGGATTACAGGTGCCCGCCACCATACCCAGCTAATGTTTGTATTTTTAGTAGAGACGGGGTTTCATCATGTTGGCCAGGCTTGTCTCGAACTCCTAACCTCAGGTAATCCACCTGCCTTAGCCTCCCAAAGTGCTAGGTTACAGGCATGAGCCACCATGCTCAGCCAGCAAATTTTCTTAATGAGTATGGACAATCTACATCTTCAGCTAACTTTTGCTTACCTTGTGCTACCTCCCTTTGGTTTCTCTCCTACCTGGAGTGCTGAATCAAAACAAGACCATGGAGAAACCTGGGAGCTGCTGTTCCCTGAATATTCTTCCCTGTGGCCTCCTCCTCAGGGTCCTTTCTCCAGTTCCAACATCTAGCCCTAATGGCCCAGCCTGGCCACAGGGGCAATCTCAGGCCATTTCAAGTTGGTCCCTAAGGGAAGAAGCTGTGTTTCATTCCAAGGCAGACTGTAAGGGTCATGAACCCCTTGAGGCCCATGACTTCACATCACCCATCATCCAGGCACTTCACATCTCAAGAACCATCACCTATACAGGCATACCTTAGAGATACTGTTCAATTCCAGCCATTGCAATAAAGTGACTATCACAATAAAGTAAGTCACACAAATATTTTGGTTTCCCAATATATATATAATTTATGTTTATACTATACTGTAGTCTATTAAGAATGCAATAGTGTCTGGCCAACATGGTGAAACCCCGTCTCTACTAAAAATACAAAAATTAGCTGGGCATGGTGGCATGGTGCTGGGCACCTGTGATCCCACCTACTTAGGAGGCTGAGGCGGAAGAAGCACTTGAACTCAGGAGACGTAGGTTGCAGTGAGCAGAGATCATTCCACTGCACTCCAGCCTGGGCAACAGAACAAGACTCCATCTCAAAAAAAAAAAAAGAATGCAATAGCATTATGCCTAAAAAAAAAATGTATATACTTTAACTAAAAAACACTTTATTGCTAAAAAATGTTAACAATCATCTGAGCCTTCAGCAAGCCATAATCTTTTTGCTGGTGGAGGGTCTTGCCTCGATGTTGATAGGTGCTGACCAATCAGGCTGGTGGTTGCCAAAGGTTGGGGTGATTGTGGCAATTTCTTAAAATAAGACAACAATGAAGTTGCAACAACAATGGACTCTTCCTTTCATGAGAGATTTTTCTATAGCATGCAATGCTGTTTGATAACATTTTACCGACAGCAGAATTTCTTTCAAAATTAGAGTTAATCCTCTCAAACCCTGCTGCTGCTTTATCAGCTAAGCTTACGGAATACTCTAAAACCTTTGTGGTCATTTTAACAATGTTTCTAGCACCTTAATAAGGAGCACATGCCATATCAAGAAATCACTTTCAGTTGGGCATGGTGGCTCCCACCTGTAATCCCAGCACTTTGGGAGGCCAAGGTGGGTGGGTTGCTTGAGCCCAGTTCAAGACCAGCCTGGGCAATGTGGTGAAACTCTGTCTCCACAAAAAATACAAAAATTAGCCGGGTGTGGTGGCACATGCCTGTAGTCCCTGCTACTTGAGAGGTTGAGATGGGAGGATCACCTGAGCCTGAGCTGGGGAAGTGGAGGTTGCAGTGGGGTAAGATCAAGCCACTGCACTCCGGCCTGGGTGAAAAAGCAAGACCCTGTCTTGAAAAAAAAGAAAGAAAAGAAAAAAGAAAAGAAAAGAAAAGGAGGGGAAGGGGGAGGGGAGGGGGAGGAGGAAGGGGAAGGGAGGGGGAGGAGAGGAGGAAGAGGAGGGGGAGGAGAGAGGAGGAGGGGGAGGAGAGGGGAGGAGGAGGGGGAGGAGAGGGGAGGAGGAGGGAGAGGGGAGGGGAAGGGGGAAGAAGGGGAGGGGGAGGGAAGGGGGAAGGGGAAGAGGGGATGGGGAGGGGAGGGAGAGGGGGAGGGAGGAAGAAGGGGAGGGGGAGGGAAGGGGGAGGGGAAGGGGAGGGGAGGGGGAAGAAGGGGAGGGGGGAAGAAAGGGAGGAGAGGAGGAAGAAGGGAGGGGGGAAGAAGGGGAGGGGGAGGGGGAAGAAGGGAGGGGGAAGAAGGGGAGGGGGAAGAAGGGGAGGGGGAGGGAAGGGGAGGGGAGCGGAAGGGAGGAGAGGGGAGGGGAGGGAAGGGAGAAATAGGACCTTGCTCTCAATTAGGCTTTAGCTTAAGGGAATGTTGTGACTGGTTTGTTCTTTCATCCAGACCATTCAAACTTTCTCCATATCAGCAACAAGTCTGTTTTACTTTCTTATAATTTATGTGTTCACTGGAGTAGTACTTTTAATTTCTTTCCAGAATTTTTCTTTTGCAATCACAAGTTAACTAACTGTTTGGTGCAAGAGACCTAGCTTTCAGCCTATCTTAGCTTTTGACATGCCTCCCTCACTAAGCACTGTCATCTCTAACTTTTAATTTAAAGTGAGAGACACGTGACTCTTCCCTTCACTTGTACACTTAGAGGCGATTGTAGGGTTATTCATTGGCTCAGTTTTAAGAAGCCAAAAGAAGGCTTTTGGCCTTCTGGGTGTATCTCCACTCATTTGGACATGCATTATGTCTCACTGTTTTTCTTTCATTCATCCATCTTAGTAACCATTATTGAGCACCTAGTGTGTACAGGCTCACGCGGGAGACACAGTAATGAACAAAATAAACATGGCTCCTGTCCTCTGGGAGTTATACTCTTGAGGGCAGACAAATGATAAACAATCAGACAAATAGCTGCATCATTACAGAGTCATGATACATGCTTTCTGAGAGTACAGGACAGCATGAAGGAACATAACAGGCCGATCTAATGAAGGACACTTGTGCAACAGCATTTGTCGGGCCATCTGTCCTGAATGCTTGGCCCGGTGGGTGCTACAGCCACAACATGCTTCTCATAGTTGCCTTCCAGGTCTGGTGAGGATTCCTTAAAAGAAAAGCAGCTGTCATTCAGGGTTTGCCTCAGAAAGAAATCAGGATTGGCATCCTCCTTCGTTTGCTTTGATTTGTAGAGTTTGAAGAGACTTCAAGAAGCCAGATCACCTGCCTCACAACTCTGGGGCATCATTCACATCACAGTCTATGAATGGAGCTTCCAGAATTGCACACACAGCCAGTTAATGACAAACCCTGAAATTTTAAGTTAAAGTTTTAATTTGATGGAAGGATAATTGAGCGACTGTGACCCTACAGAACATTTGTTACCACTCCTCTCCCATTCTGCCTTTAAAATGACATTGGCAGAGATTTCAACTATCCTCAATAACTCTCTTCGGGAAGCGTGAAAATCACTCTAATGAATTCCATACTTCCATGCTTTGCTTTGTAGTGGTGGGCACTGGCCTGAATGGAAACCTTTCGTCTGGTGGCTTAACCATTCCACTATAAAGGAAGGAAGGCAAGAGGAGAAAACAAGGAGGCAAGGAAGGAAAGAAAAGAAAGAAAAGGAGATGGAGAAAAAGAAAGAGAATGAGAAGGAGGAGGAGAGGCTGAGGTGGGAAGATCACTTGAGGCCAAAGTTCAAGACCAGCCTGGGCAACATAGCAAGACCTCATCTCTACAAAAAATAAAAAATTAGCCAGGCATGATGGTATGCACCTATAGTCCTAGCTACTCAGGAGGCTGAGGCAGGAGAATCGCTTGAGCCCAGTAATTAGAATGCAACAAGGTAGAATTGTGCCACTATGCTCCAGCCTGGGCAACAGGGTAGGACCCTGTTTAAAAAAAAAAAAAAAAATAGAGGAAGGGACAAAAAAGAGGAGAAATAAAAATAAAACAAATATTTAATGCATTATTTTACATTAATGTAAACAAATCCATGATGAACAAACTATCAAAATGTTCAATGAAGACAGGCTCAATATCACTGATTTTTCCTTTTGTCTGAGGTTCCAGTATGGCTCAGCATGACACGGACACCCACATTCATTTATGGGAGCGTGCTGGCTTTGTTTGTTCTTACTAAGATTTGAGAATCCGTGGGCCCAGGTGAATATCTGGAGCTGGTGTGTAGTAGCTAGCGAGAGCCTATTCAATGCAACTCTTTCCAACTCCATGTTAAGAACATGATATTGATATCAAACATGGTGAGAGTGTTTAATCAGGGAAATTGGCTAAGGCTACAAATTAGGGGCTTCCTCCCCAACCCCCCACCCCCCAACATCGCCACCCCCAGATTGCTGGTTTACCAACATCTGCCTACTGGAAGGCTTACTTACTCTCTGTTTAGGAACAAACACCAGTGAGGGCAGGTTTTAGTTAAAGCTGTCTCTACTATGGGTACAATCGACATTTGGGCCTGGCTAATTCTTTGTTATGGAGGCTGCCCTGTGCCTTGTAGGATGTTTAGCAGCTCCCCTGGCTTCTACCTTCTAGATGCTGATAACACACTCTTGTTACCCCAATGGTGACAACCGAAAGTCCGCAAACACTGCCAAATGTTCCAGGGGGTGAGGAGGGGCTGGGAAGGGGATGGCAATTTGTTTGGTTCGAGAAGGGACAGCCCCAAACTGAAGAAGCCAGAATGCTGTGCAAAGACAGCAGTTACTTTCTGCGCTTTCCAGCACAAGGAGGCAGCGGTTGTAGCCTGCTGACCTTGGAATGATCCCACTGGGAGGTGGGGTTGGGGAGGTGGGGGAAGTACTTTCCCAGTTCCTTGGTGGAGGTTTGTCAAGCTTCTCTTTGCCTGAGGATTGGCCTCCTTAGACAAACAAACATTTGGTTAGTTTGACGGGTAATCCAAATTATGATTAGAAACAGATTACCTAGCTCGAGACTTGTTTGGCGGGGAACAAAACCACCCACACAGATCCCTAATCACTTTCCAGGAAGAGGCCTCTCTTTAACTGGGATTGGGGACAAAAGCCTTTTCTTGAACTTTTAATCTTTTCATATATTCTTAGATCCTTGTGCCTCTCCTTGAAAAAAGGAGGCAGCCTCTAGCCAAGTTGAGTCTCTGAGCATACTCCACTGCCAGTGCAGGGTCAGGCTATAGTGAGTGTACAAAGGGTGGTCACCTGCAATCAGAACTTGCATGCTAGATTTCCGATTTTCTAATCACCAAGATTTTGAATGAAATATAAAATGAAATAATCTTTGAGACAGCATTCAAACTTTTTTTTTTTTTTTTTGAGACAGCGTCTCGCTCTGTCGCCCAGGCTGGAGTGCAGTGGCGCAATCTCTGCTCACTGCAATCTCCGCCTCCCAGGTTCAACTGCTTCTCCTGCCTCCGCTTCCCGAGTAGCTGGGATTACAGGCATGCACCACCACACCCACCTAATTTGTGTATTTTTAGTAGAGACAGGGTTTCACCATGTTGGCCAGGATGGTCTCAATCTCCTGTCCTTGTGATCTGCCCACCTCAGCCTCACAAAGTGCTGGGATTACAGGCGTGAGCCACTGTGCCCGGCCAGCATTCAACTATTTTTAAAGAATATTTAATTTACCATGTTTAAAAACAGTTTGCAATAAATTTTCAGCCACTCCGTCCTATGTCATACTCACATATGCACACACACACACCCACACACCCACACACACACACACACACACTCATTTTGGCAGCAGCTATAGCCAGATGGTATCTTCATCCTGGATGCCTTTTGATTCCCAACACACAGCTGTTGAGTCAGCCCTCATGTTTTCCAGCTGTTGTTTGCAGAATTAGAAGCTGGACAACTGAGGGAGAAGAGACAAAGCTGGGCTAAGTGAAAGAGGACAGAACCAATGTGTCCCTTTTTTGGAATCTCAAAGATCCAAGGACTGTGTTGGCAGAATCAGGACTGGTCATTTAGGCACCAGAAAACACTCATCCACCTGCTGTCACCCATGCAACCAGAAACCAAGCCTTTCTTTAGGTGGTTAAGGAAACTAAACAACTTGCCATTTCATCTAGTATCCATGGGATGACCACTCCCAAATCTCTATCTTTAGCCTTACCACATACTTGAGCTCCAGATCTGAATTTCCAGTGCCTATTGGTCAGGTGCAGATGTACATCCTGCCAGCCCCTCAAATGCAATGTGATCTACATAGGGATCACCATTCCCAGCCTAGCAGCCCCTCTTCTGGGGCTCCCCCTCTCCGTGGTATCCCTCCCTGTCCACACAGGGGCTTGAAGCCTTGTGTCACCTTCAAAGCCACCTTCTCCACTCCGATACCCACTCTCTCATATCTGCCTCTTATTTTCATTTCTACGGAAACAATTCTCTCTCCCGCCTAAATGACTGCACCATTCTGGCACCAGTCACTCTGTCTCACCCAGACACTGTTTCCTAAATAGCTCAAACATTGCCTCCTGCTTGTCAAACATCAGTGGCTCTTCTTGACCTATAATGCTCCTAAACAAGTCTTTCAAGGGCAGCTATGGTTTACCTGCAACCCCATTTTGCTATTATCATCTGTCCTTGGGTCCTTCCCTGTCTTCCAGCCCTTACAAATTACTTGTCTAAGGTATAAAATGGCAAACACACCCTACCCTTGCTAAAGCTACTTCCTCATCCCTTTTTCTGACTATTAACATTAGTCCTAGATCAAATGCTGCCTCCTTACCCTGGAAAACCTGTTTCCTCTTCGTTCCCGTGATACTTTGTAATACATAATACATATTTTAATAGGCTTTATTCTTTAGAGCTATTTACATCTCACATATACATTTTATGCTCTAGCCAGTCCTCCCCCTGGACTGAGGGAGGAGGCACAATACCTACATCTACTAGTTAATTGCTTGGGAAATAGTTGTTGAATGAAAACCAATTCCTAGAAAAAGACAGCCCAATGAGACAGGTGAGATCAGGATAAGATTAACTTCAGGGGCAAGTGTATCCAAAGCATAATATATAATAACAGGGGTGTGTGGGGAGGTGGGAAGGACAGGGGCAGAACCACACCCCCTTTTTGGCATTGAGAAAAGGGAGGAGGCCCACCCCACATTAAATCTGCAATTCCCTCAGGGATCCACCACCTTCATCTATGGGAAGGATGGCAACCAAGCAATGTCCCAATGACTGTGCCAGCACAGAGGACAACCTGAACACTCCCCCAGAGCTGAGGGTTCAGAAACCAACCCCCCGGAAGTTGGCTGTGCCAAGCACACACTACTAAGCTTTGCTCCAAAGAGTCCCTTAAATGTGGCAACTTGATACTAAATCTTCCCTTAGTGCTGATCACCTATTTAAACTGTGGTTCTTCTACTTGAAATGATCTTTTTTCAAAAAGCCTCAGAGGACTACTGATTAATTACAAGGAAAACACACTTCCTAACCCAAAAGTTACTTTAAAAGGTGTCGACCCTGTTGAAATGACTAGAAAAACTGAAAAGGTGGAGAGGCCAATGCATTATTATTTTTTTAAACTCATATTCAAATCTTACTTGTTGAGCACCTACCCTATTCACAGAAGTTACTGGATCTGTCACATGTCACACGAGGTAAGTGGTGTTATCTCCTTTTCAGAAACGAGAAAACTGAGATTCAGGAGCATGTATGTGAGTTTACTTTGTCTCTTAATTAGCTCATAAGTTTTTTGAAGTGAGCCCATGTGTACTCAAACCTATAGTGTCTTCCACAGTGTCAAAGAATGCTACATGTTCGACAGATACTTACTGAGCCTCAAAAGTAAGATGTCCTACCTTTTTACGGAAGACATGTCTTTGGTAATTTTTCTCCTTCTATACACCAGAAGCCACCTCCTCTCGCCTCTCAGAACCCCCACGTGGCAGCCAGGAGAATGAGCCCCCAGCCTTCCATCCACAAGGAGTGCGTAATTAACAGAGCGCCTCAGGTGCTGAGCTCCGGAAGCCCAGGGCCAGGTCCCACCTCCTATGGGCTCCCAACCTTCAGTTGACTTTGTCTGGCCTAAAGTCCTCCACGGCCTTGCCAAACTTTCCTCAGACTGCAGAGGAAGGTATAAAGCACTCCACCCAGGCTGGGTGCGGTGGCTCATGCCTGTAATCCCAGCACTTTGGGAGGCTGAGGCGGGCAGATCAACTGAGCTCAGGAGTTCGAGACCAGCCTAGCCAACATGGCAAAACCCCATCTCTACTAAAAATACAAAAATTAGCCAGGTATGGTGGTGTGTGGCTGTAGTCCCAGCTACTCAGGAGGCTGAGGCAGGAGAATCATTTGCACCTGGAAGGCAGAGGTTGCAATGAACTGAGATCACTCCACTCAACTGCAGCCTGGGCAATGAGTGAGACTTCGTCTCAAGGAAAAAAAAAAAAAACACAACACTCCACTCAGCCTTCCTTTCTTCACTCTAGGATCAGACTTACAGTGTGACGACTGTTTTACCTTCCTTTAGCTCCCTTGCCACTTTCTCGTAGACTTTCACACTACTAAAATCCTGCCATGTTTGATCTTGTCTTGATGTCTGCTTCTTGGGGGACTGGGGACTAACATGCCCCAGTTTTTGCTTGAATAAATAATCTGTAATCTTCATTCCCTTAAGAATATTTAGCAAACACCTATTATGTGCTGGGAATACAGGGGTGAACAACAAAAGCATCTGTGCCCTCATCAGTAACAGATTAATCAAATAATTGCAAAAATTAAAAGTAGAGGGACCTGTGATGAGATGAGAGGGGAGAACCTGACCTATTCTATGGGAGTGGGAGAGAATCCCCTGAAGGATGAGGAGTTAACCAGGCAGAGGTGTGAAGTATTTCAGGCTGATGAACAGAAGGTGCAAGGCCCTGGGCTAGTAGGGAGCTCCCCAAACAAAAGGACTTGGAGGAGGCTTCAGACAAAGGAGGGGAATGCAGAGCAATGTGACTGAAGAGGACGGCCCTTAAGAGACTGAAGAGGATGGCCTTGTGGGCCATCTTGGGAATTTGGAAAGACAATTTCTCTTTCTAGAGTGCCAGCTCTTTGAAAGCAATTACCTTGTAGCAGCCCTCTTTGCTAGTTCTGCCTTGCACAATGCAAATGCTCACTAAATATTTGTTGAATCAAACTAATAGAAATCAGTAAGGAAATAACTCAATTTTTTTGTGTGTGTTATTCTCCCTATCACCAACGGCACAGCAAATTAGCCAAATGCGTCCACCACATAGAAGCTTCTGGCCCCTGCTGGCTGATAAAAATCATCACAATGAGGATGATAATTCCCAGGCATTGGTTTAATTGTTGGAGAGACACAAGCAGAGAGATGCTGCAGAACATGCTCTGGATCAAACTGTCCAAGTACTGGTCCATCCGGGTGCGGTGGCTCATGCCTGTAATCCCAGAACTTTGGGAGGCCAAGTCAGGCAGATCACCTGAGGCCAGGAGTTCGAGACCAGCCTGACCAACATAGTGAACCCCGTCTCTAATAAAAATACAAAAATCAGCTAGGCATGGTGGCCCACGCCTGTAATCCCAGCTATTCCTACTGAGGCAGGAGAATCGCTTAAATCTGGAAGGTGGAGGTTGCAGTGAGCCCAGAGCACCCCCCACTGCACTCCAGCCTGGGAGACACAGTGAGATTCTGTCTCAAAAAATATATATATATTGACCTTACCACTTCCTACTTGGGTGACCTTAAGTTACCTAATGTCACTGCATCTCAGTGTCCTCATCTGTAAAGCAGAATTGATCCACTACCTCCATTGAAGCACTGGGGATGGGAGATGGGTACAGGAAATTGTTATAGAAAGTACCTTCAGCATACTGTCTGGTGCAGAGCAAGCGTCCAATAAATGGTACCAATTGTTAATATTCACACGTGGTCCTCTCGGCTGAGATAAGAGAACATGCACAGGGAGACTTCCCAAACCAGAGGGAGTTGTCACAAACTGTCATCAGAAGTGCATGGGATCACTTCTGATGCAAGAGGCCAGCTTTAAGGACCCACTGGGTAGGCCGCAAACCTTGATGCCTGGCCAAGCCCAGGCTTGCACTTTACACACTTGGACTCTGAATCCCACAGTAGTATTTAAATATAGATCTGAACACCAGACTAGACAGTGCACCACTAATGTGCGGGTATATGCAACATGCTCAAAAGGCAAACAGCGGCTAGGGAAAGGACACACTGCTTCTAGCTTTTCTGTCCTGGAGGACAGAGGCTGCGCCTTTTTTTGGCTCCATTTCAGAGCAGTAAAAGGCAGCATCATGAGCAGACACGGCCTAGTTCCTGCCTCTCAGGTTTGTTTTCCCATGTGGGACATTGCAGTTAGATCCTGAGCTTAGAAGAAAATGCCTACGGAATCAAAAAGGATAAAAGGAGGAAAAATACCTGGCTTCTGCCCCAAACGCTGTGCCCTAGCTGGCTCCAGCTGCCTTGGAATGGGGCAGGGTGGTTGGGTTGTAATTGCCCGGGCAGAGATATGAGGTATGCAGGCCTACGTGCACTGCCTCACACATCACTTGGCTGGGAGGGGCTCTGTTTAGTCAGTGTCCAGCTGATAACGACCTGAATCCTTAGGATGCCAGCTGCCTGCCAAGCTGGACATGTACAGACAGTGGCACCCAGAGGTCCAGGAGACAGAACAAAGGGCCTGTTACTGAGTCAGCCCTGTCTAAGTGTGTCATCCTTACTGAAAAAGGTTTTGGGCAGGCTGGCAGAGAGGCTATGTCCCAGGAAGCCCAGAATTCTGGAATGGAGACAGTCAAATTCTAAAGGGGTTCTCTGCTGGCAGATTCCTGTCATTGATTCAACCTGGGCTCTCTCACTAGGATCTGGCAGTTGGGCCATACCTTCCTAAGAGTATTCTTTTCCCTGCCTCCCACTGTTGCCAGGCCCAGCTGGTGCTGGCTCTCTTAGTGCCCTCTTGTTTAGGGGGACCGCATCCATCAGGGCCTTAAACCTTCCCTCTCCCCTTTTCACCAGGACATAATGATATTAATGATGGCTAACACATATTTAGGACTTACATCAGCCACTTACTGCTCTAAGCACTTCACATATATGTTGACTAATTTACTCATCACAACCACACTATGAGATGTGTACCATTATTTTCCCATTTAACAGATGAGTAAACTAAGGCACAGAGAGTAAATACCTTACCCAAAGTCATGCAGATAGCAAGGTGACAGAGCCAGGAAGCAAGTCCAGGTGGTCTGAACCCAGAGTCCCTGCTCCTAACCATTATGCTATATTTCTTCTCGGTTCATGACCAAGTTCTTACTGATTAAAATTAGTTTAAAATCAACCGATTCCTAGGCCTGCTTTTCCAGAATGAACAGCACTCAAGCTCAGAGCTGGGATTTCATAACTTCCTATTTTGTGTATAGTAAAATTGAGAAATGTTTACAAATTAGGAGAGGCTAGGAAGGGAAGCCAAGCAGCTCAAAAATGTGATATCAGCTTTGTGATGAAAACTGGTCTTTTCAGCCAAGTGAGTACTTGGACAAAATATCCCTCTCAATGCAAGCTATGCCTTAGATTTTCTAGTTTAAGAGACACTTGTGATACTAAAATTAGTCGGGTGTGGTGGCGGGCACCTGTAATCCCAGCTACTTGGGAGGCTTGAGGCAGGAGAATCACTTGAACCTGGGAGGCAGATGTTGTAGTAAACCAAGATCACGCCATTGCACTCCAGCCTGGGTGACAGAGTGAGACTCTGTCTCCAAAAAAAAAAAGAGACACTTGTAATTCAGTTAGGGGAACTGGGTACATAGTTAGGAAAAGCAGCTCATGGTTTGTTTATACCACTCCCCACTCCCACCACCACCCAGGCACCTCACCCCAGGCAGAAATAGCAGCCTTACAAATTTGAATGTTGTGGCCAGATTCGTGAGCCAGTCCCAGAAAGAGGGAATTCTTTGTAGCCATGGAAGTAATGGATGATCTAACATTACTGACCACTTAATCGCTAGGTACTTTATGTCATTTAATGCTCGCAAAAAGCCTAGGACATTGTTACTATTTTCCCCATCTTGTAGATGAGAATGCTGATGTTCAGAGATCTTATATACCTGCTCAAAGTAAGTCCTGGTGAATCTAGGACTCAAACCCCATCTGAATCCAAACGAGGGAAGGACTCAGTGCCAATTCAAGTCCAACTTTCCCAGGAGCCTTCCCTGTCTCCTCTGACCCACGTCAGCCCCTGTATTTTGACACAACTCTATTACCTGTCATCTTGGCCACAATCTGCACTTATTACCATTGTTTCATGCTGGGCCAGTCTTATTAGCCAATAAGATTGTAAATTTTGGGGAGCAGTGACACTGGGTTGAATTTTGTTTCTGGCTATTTCAGGACAGACAAACTGGGAGAGCTAAACACCTAGAACCACAGCCTGGTCTCCCTAGTCGCGGTAGGTCCGTCACTTCATCCCTAGAAAGTGCCAGTTTGGCTTTACGAGTTTCTAAACCATTCATTGGGAATAGTTTACATGTTATGCTTGCCCTCCTTTGTCAATCTCTTTACTGCTACTGCAGTTGGGTCCAGATATTGCAAATCCTCCCCGAAAGTAACTAATTCTGACTGCATTGTCACAAACTTGGGTTTAGCACAAGAGGGAAAGGTAGCTGAGTTTCCAATTCTGCTTCTCTTTGACTGTAGCTCACCATGCTGCAGGCCCTTCCTCCCATGATGGTGCTAACCAACATAAGCCCTAAGCTCTAATCTCAACCCTCTCCCAAATCCCAACATGTCAGACTAAATAATAATAAGGCCACAGGGCAGGCACACTGAGGCATGTGTGCATCATTACCCAAGTCAAAACCAAGATATATTCCAGGGCAGTTTACGATGCAGAAGTCACCCTTTAATTTAACAAACAAGCAAGAGGGCTGGGTGTTTCCTTCATTTCCCGAAGTAAAGAGCAAAAGCTTTTCTCATAGTAAAAAGCCTGAACCCACTCAACCTGATCCTGTCCTCCCAGTCAACAAGCACATTGATGTCAGTAAGAGTGTCCAGACATATAATCATGTATGAAAGTCAACAAAAGGAAGGCATCATCTCTTTCTGCCACCTCTCCAGAAGATGTGATAGTGAAGGTGTTGTCAGCTAACTGCTTCAAAGGCAAGCAGGGCAGTAGGCTGTTCCATGTCCCCTGGGAACATGAACATTACTTCACACTACGATTTACTGAAACAAAAGCAAACAGGGACCAGCAGAGACAGCTGTGAAATGAGATGGTGACATCTTCCTGATGCCTTTCAGCTGCTTGGATCTCCCCATTTTAAGACAGATAATGAGGCCATCTTAGGCTCAGCCCTTTTCTGATCCCATCTCTTTTCACTACAATGTACCTGTGCAGTGTGCTGATCCCTCCATGTTTTTAAAGGGAAGTTCCTCTGATCAGTGACTCCGTCGGAATATGTCGATGTCTAGCCTCACACTACAGGGTGATGACAGGCAGCCTTTTTTTCCCTCCTCTTAGGTTATACGAGCGTCTTAAACATAGTGGAACTCACAATTCCAGCTTCATTCCAAACTAGTGAGATATTTCTCAGCTGCTTCCTCCACCTGCTCCTGAGGTCCAGAGTACAGGGCATTTGCCTAAGTCAGCATGCTAGGTGATAACCACAAAGCTTTTCCTGCCAACCTTGCCATTTCCAAGCCCTTCTCTAACTGCATTCTCCTCTATTCTAGTCTCAACTCTGCTTGCTATTGGTGGAGTGCTTCTCCAGGGATGCATGTGGAGGAAAAGGAAAAGGAACCAGAGATGAAGGGGACATCCTCCTCCCTGGCACTGTCTCCATCTCTCCACAGTTCACCCATCATCTCCATTGGAAGGAAGGTACTCATGATCTTCACTGGAAGGAAGGCACCCAGAACCGCCCTGCAGAGACCATGAAATTAGTTGAGTGCTTCTCAAGAAATCTGTGATAAAGGGCCCGCTGATTTTTTCTAAAATTTCCAATCTACTATGAATCCTCAATTTTGTAGAATAAACAAAAATGAATTATTAGAAAAGAGTTAAAAATAACAGGCATATAAAATACAAGCTCAACTTTTTTGTTATTATGTCATAAAACTATTCCATCATATTGCTATGAACGTTTCTAAACAATTGCTCTCCATTTCTTCCCTTGTCCACAAACCAGCACGGGTTTGAGTCTCCCTGCTCTAGCTCAAGGTCTTAGCTATTTACTTAACCACTCAGAGCCTTGACCTGTTGTTTCTGCAAGATGGAAGAACAGTCATTACCTCAGCTGGTCAATGATGTCCCACATCTATATAATTCCAGGGACTCATTCCTGATTCTCCCTTAAGTTCTGAAAATATTTCAAAGACAGTAAAATAATGCTGAACTTCTGAGGAGGGTATTTGTTTGCATTTCTTACTGCTGATCTGGAACTACCTAATATTAAAGCACCTTGGAGAGTAATGAAAGAAATACACAAGAGAAGAAGAGGCAAACACTGGTGGGTCACTCACTGTCTCAGGGCTTCCTTTGTGGAACCAATAGGTATTTTGAAAAGCATCCTGAAAACATGTCAAAGGTCTAAGGATTGTTATCATTGGGGCTGGTGAGTCATGGCCCAGACAGACAGTAATACAGGTGCCCAATCGGCTGCTGTCTATCCAAAACATGCCACTGGACTGTGAGGGAGGCAACCCTTAAAATGGTGTGAAATAGAAAAAGAGGACAAACTTGTCTGCAGCACTCAGGAGGCTCAGGGAATTAACCAGGAGGGAACAGTAGCCCGGTTAAAATAGTTTCTGTACTTCCAGAGGAAGCAATTAAATCTCAGCGTCTACCATGGCAAAAGACCGATTGTACTTGAGGAACAAAATCGGGGATGATCATCCTTTAGTGGCGGGAAGCTGGAAAATGAGGTAGGACATATAGGGTGATGGGCAGGACTCTGCTATGGACTGAATATTTGTGTCTCCCTCACCAAATTTATAAGTTGAAACCTAAATCCCCAATGTCATGGTATTTGGAGGTGGGGCCTCCAGAAGTTTTTATATCATTATGGTGGAGCCCTCTTGAATGGGATTAGAGCCCTTATAAGAAAAGACATGACAGAGATGCTCTCTCTCTGGTTTCTGCCATGTGGGGATACAAAGAGAAGATGGCTATTTCTAATCCAGGAAGAGGGCCCTCACTAGACACTGGATCTGCTGACTTCTGAGCCTCCAGAATTGTGAGAGATAAATTTCTGTTATTGAAGCTACCCAGTCCATAGTGGTTTGTTATAGCAGCCTAAACTAAGACTCTATTCCACCAGAAGCAATTTTTAAAATAGCTTTATTGGCATATAATTGGCATCCAATACACTTCATGTGTTTACAATATAAAATTTAATATGCGTTGACACAGGCACACACCTACAAAACCATCACAACAATCAACCATCACCGGCACATCCATCACCACCAAAAAGTTTCCCAGTGCCCCTTTATCATCCCTGCCTCCCTGCTCTTCCTTCCCTACCCACAAGATAAGCACTGACCTCCTTTCTTTCATTATATATTTGTTTGCATTTTCTATAATTTTATATAAATGGAAACATGCAGTATATATGCTTTTTGAGGATGGGGGGGGTCTGGCTTCTTTAATTCAACATAATTATTTTGAGAATCATTCATGTTGTGGTATGTATCAATTGTTCATTCTTTTATATTGCTGAGTAAGTAGTTTTTCACTTATAGCAATTTTACATCTCAAGCAAGGTTACCCTGGGACTAAAATTTTGAGGTGTTAAGGAAAGTTTATAAAAAATGTGGGCTTTCCCTTAGAGCAGAGCTTGCTGCTGCTATCTTGGGAAATAAACCTTTTCTTTGGTCTCAAAATTAAGGACAGTTAATTAAAGAAAAAATAGCCATTTAATATTCTTTAATGATAAAAAGAATTTTGTAATTCCCAGGGACTGTGGGCTGTGAGGAGAGAGAAAGAGGCTTGAGAAACCAGAAACCATCATTTGCATCCAAGGTAAATCTCAACCCATTCTGATTCTCAGTTTCCTATTGTTTGTTTCTGCACTTGTGGTAGTAAATGCACTGAAGAGAATGTTACTATTCCAGTCTTGATTTTGCTTTTGGAATCACTAGAAGGGAAGACTACTCTGCACTGCAATTATATCATTCATTCGTGCATTCATTCATTCAGTCACCATACATGTATCAGTGTCTTCTCTATGCTTGACATCACACTGGGGATAAAGAGACAGATCTAAGGCTTATGGGAAGACTCGGTTCCTGCTTTCACAGAGTTATGGGGTATGCAGGTATCAAGGCTGCAGAGTTTTACAACAGACTGACAGTAAATGAGAGATCAAAGAGATGACAGACAGGTCAAGATGGTGCTGAGGCTCTCAAGTTCCCATCATGGAGACTAGAAGACAGGATTGAATATGGATATGGTGACAGAGGAAGGATTCTGACTCATAGACTATTAGAAAACACAGGCCCCATTGGCAATAACAGAGAATGCAACCCCCAACTCCCCCAAAGGAGCGGTGGGGAAGACTGGAAGATGTAGAGGCATATGGAGCATGGCTCCTGTCTCCAAACACTAGCCTTGAATGTGCACATTGTTGTTTGCACTACCAAAAAGTAAAGAAACCTATTTTCCTTTTTTTTGTTTTTTTCTTTTTTTAAGACAAGGTCTCACTCTGTCGCCCAAGCTAGGGTGCAGTGGCGTGATCACAGCTCACTGCAGCTTTGACCTCCCAGATTCAAGTGATCCTCCCACCTCAGCCTCCTGAGTAGTTGGGACCACAGGTGTGTGCCACCACTCCTAGCTAATATTTTAAAATTTTTGTCTATAGAGATGGAGTCTCCCTATGTTGCCCAGGCTAGGCTTGAACTCCTGGCCTCAAGTGATCCTCCTGCCTTGGCCTCCTAAAGTGCTGGGATTACAGACACACCCAGCCTAGAACCTATTTTTATAAATAGGTGGCAGTAGTCTACAGAAGTTTCCTTTTAAAAAGTGTGTTTGTTCCCAATCCATCTGTCATAAAGTTACACTAAAAGAGCACAAAGGGAAAATAGCAGGACACAAAATTGAATGAGTAAGGTGAGGATTATAATAAAAAATACAAACAACCTATTGCTTAGGAGGAAGGGGATCTAGTGGAGAAATGCCCAAAGAAATACCAGAAAAGCTAAACATCACCTTTTTGTGTCTTCTTCAAAATTTCTTTAGTGAGCATTTTCCTATTCGAGTTTTCAAGAATTATTTTGAAACATATCCTTCATGGGAAGTCATGGATTCTCAGCAGAAGGAAACCAAAATCACCAATCTGAATTTGCCTGCAGTCTAGAGAGAAGCCTAGAACCAGGGAGGGGGCTTCAGGGAAGCCAGTGGCAAAGGAAGGGTAGGACTTTGCCAAGGGGTTTTTGCAGCCTGAGAACTATACCCTGAGGTGCAGAGTGAAGAAGTGCAGATAGGAGGGACTGGAGTTCAACGGGAGAGCAGCACACAGGCAGGTGTGAGTAGTAGCCTTAGAAGGGCCAGGACCAATAAGGCCAAGGACATGGCTGGGCAGCCATGAGAAAGCAATTTCTTTAGACCTCAGGATCCTTGTCTTCCAAATGGAAAAGGAGCACTGGGTGATCTTTAAGATCCCTTTTAACATACAGGAATTTGAATTGTATAATTCATGCCAATATATATCTATTGAAGACCTCAGCTGAGATTCTCCAACCTCAGCCTCCCAACTGGCTGGGACTATAGGCGTGTCCCACCACACCCAGCTAATGTTTTTTATTTTTTTGTATAGATGAGGTCTCACTATGTTGCCCAGGCTAGCCTCGAACTTCTTGGCTATGTCTGAAGCACAGTGGGTCAGCAACTACAAACCTCCTCTCCAGTTAGCTCACATCAATCCAAAAATATTGAATATCGGTTACTCAATATATAGTGATGTATATTTTCTAGAAAAAGAGTTGTGTTGTGCAAAAGTAATCCCACATTAAAGCAAGGGCTAAGAGGGCAAACCTGTGGGGGTTTTTTGTTTTGTTTTGTTTTGACGGAGGAGTCCCCAGGCTGGAGTGCAGTGGCGCTATCTCGGCTCACTGCAACCTTTACCTCCCGGGTTCAAGTGATTCTCCTGCCTCAGCCTCCCAAGTAGCTGGGACTATAGACACACGCCACCACACCACACAAAAATACAAATAAATTTTTGTATTTTTAGTAGAGATGGGGTTTCACCATGTTGGCCAGGATGGTCTTGATCTCCTGATCTCATGATCCTCCTGCCTCAGCCTCCCAAAGTGCTGGGATTATAGGCGTGAGCCACCGTGCCCAGCCAAACCTGTGTCTTTTATAATGTTCCAATCTACTCTGATTAAGGACGTTGGAAAAGGGATTCTCTAAGGGTCATGGAATGGAAACTAACACATGCCTCAAAGGGGAGATGCCAAGACATGGAGGAAAAACCTAGTACCCTCATGGACGTTACTGTCAGAAGGGGTGTCCTTGTCTTACTCCCAGAACTGTCTCCAGTCACCACTGTTGACTAAAGTTAGAGGTGAGCTGCTGTCTCTTGGTGAGGAATGTGAAAACTCATGCACAGATAGGTGGAGCAGGAAGTTGGGGGAAGGTCAGAAAGAAAACAAAAGGGTTTCCTGGGATGAGTCACTGCCTTTCTGGGAAACCATTTCAGAAGCCACCGTGAAGTCCCCAACACCTGTCCAAGCCCTATACTTTGTGCTCAAATGAAGTGTGGCAAACAAAGTTCTGAGCCACATCTGACAGCCCACAGGCCACATGGAGGGCAGAGGTGTGAGAAAGAGCTGTGTGAGGCCAGCACACGTGACAATCTGCACATCACCTACCAGAGTCTCCAGAGCTCACTTTTCAGTGGACTGAAGGCTCTTAGTTCAAATTATCCTCTTCTTTAAATGGAGCACACTTTATGCTATTGTTTCCTGCAATGGCCACAGCTTGGATTTTCAGATAAAGTTTTTAAGTGTAGAAGGCTTACTGAATCTAGAGGAAAAAAACAAATCTGACCATAATCCTGAGTCTACAAAGTAAAATGGGAATTGGTGGATCCCACATGAGATGAATTCCATTTGTTAATTTATGTTGATCTGGAAACAAAACCAACTTTTATCTCTTCATCCACTAAAAGGGATGTGTGCAACAAACTGGAGAAAGTCAACCAAGACATAGGAAGACACGGGTGCCAGAACACAGGGCATCCAACCCAGGAGAGCAGGAGAGAGGAATTCCAGAATGATGGCAAGGAGAACACGGTGGCCCTGGAGAACCACCTCTCCCAAATACGGGCAGGACAGGGGCCTTTAGGAGGGCTGTCTCAGTGAAAGAGGGAATAATGTTTGCGCATGGATCAGGACGTGATGCACAGTTCTGTCAGGGAGCTTTGCGTGCAAAACCAACCAACTAAGCCAATTAAAACAAAAATAAATCAATTATTCATTCCAGAGGTAAAGAGTTACATAAGAGAGAACAAGTAATCTTAGCACAGTACATGGCTCAGCGTGAATGATCGTCACATACTTCCAGAAATGTGACCACCGAAATATTGGTTTCATCCACATCATAAAACAGTGCTATAACCATATCTGGAGCAAGGGAGGAAGGGGAGAGTGACAGAAAGGGGGATGCAAACACAAGAAAACTAACTCCTCATCTGCCTCAGCAGAAAGTTAGTGCATAATATCCAAACCTGCAAAATCAAGAAATAGCAGCATAAGCATGTTGTTTAGAAGGTTTTCGGATTTGGAAGCAGTTGCCTCAGGGGTACAGAATCAGGTATGAAGCAGGGTAGCCACGGCAAATGTTTCTTGATGTAACATTTGTAGTGCTGTTTTGACTTTTTCTTTTTCTTTCTTTCAAGAGAACGTTTCTCTCTGTCGCTCAGGCTGGAGTGCAGTAGTGCAATCATGACCCACTTCAGCCTCCGCCTCCCAGGCCTTTAAGTGATTCTCCTGCCTCAGCCTCCCAAGTGGCTGGGACTATGGTGTGTACCACCATACTTAGCTAATATTTTGATTTTTTATAAAGACTGTGTCTCACTACATTGCCTGGGTTGGTTGCAAACTCCTGGGCTCAAGCAATCCTCTTGCCTCAGCCTCCCAAAGTGCTGTGATTGCAGGTGTGAGTTACTGCACTGGACTGTTTTGACTTTTTAAACTATGTACATATATTGTTATAACTGTTAAGGGTATAGTTGAGAAGATAGGTTTTTTTTTTCTCTTTGAACCAATGCAAAAAAAAAAAAAGAAGAAAAGAAAGCATGTTACCAAAATTATAAGTTGTATGAAACCACATTTTTACCTATTACATACATAGAAAAATATCTAAAATAACATATACCAAGGTGTTAACAATGACTACCTCTAAGTGATAGAATTATGATTTTTTTTTAATGTATATTTATTTTATTCCTTTTTTTTTTCCCCGAGATGGAGTCTTGGTCTGTCTCCCAGGCTGCAGTGCGGTGGCGGGATCTCAGCTCACTGCAACATCTGCCTCCTGGGTTCAAGCGATTCTCCTACCTCAGCCTCCCTAGTAGGTGGGATTACGGGCACCCACCATCACGCCCAGCTAATTTTTGTACTTTTAGTAGAGATGGGGTTTCACCATGTTGGCCAGGCTGGTTAGGGCTCGAACTCCTAACCTCAAGCAATCCACCCGCCTCGGCCTCCCAAAGAGCTGGAATTAGAGGCATGAGCCACTGCGCCCAGCCTATTCTATTTTTTAATACATATATTAACTCTGTGAAAAACAAGAAAATTAATAAAGCTTTTAAAATGAAAAGGAAGACTAAGAACAGCAGAAGAAAAAAATAAACAATAGTGGATCTGAGTCCAGAAATCAGGCCCTGCTACTTCCTAGTTTTTTTATACTTGGCTGATTCTTATCCTTTTTGGACTTTAGATTCCTCAATTTTAAAGTGGCAATACTGTTATCTATTCTCTTTCCTGTGAGGGGTTATTGCGATATTGCACAAACCTGCCCAGATATAAACATACTAGGCCAGACGCAGTGGCTCATGCCTGTAATCCCAGTACTTCGGGAAGCCGAGGCAGGTGGATTGCTTGAGCCTAGGAGTTCGAGCCCAGGAGTTGGAGACCAGCCTAGGCAACATGGCAAAACCCTGTCTCTACAAAATATTTTAAAAATTAGCTGGGCGTAGTGACACACACCTGTGTCCCAGCTACTGGGGAGGCTGAGGTGGGAGGATCGCTTGAGCCCAGGATGCAGAAGTTCCAGTGAGCTGTGATTGTGTCACTGCACTCCAACCTGGACAACAGAGTGGGACCCTGTCTCAAAAACAAAAACAAACAAACAAAACAGATATAAACATACTAGATAGGACAAGGGGCATGAGAAGAACACACAAAATGGGGGAGTCTCTGTACTTCGCATACCTTCAACGGCATCATGGCCCTTCTTCCCTAGGGGTGTTCACTCACTGGTCACACTCCTTCAGCCCACCTCAGGGAAATCCCTCCAAAGCTCCTTCACGCACGAGCTCGCTAGAGATTGAAATTCAAGGACTCTTCCCTTGTGCCTCTTCTTGTTTCTTGACTTTCAGGGGCAGCCTTGCTGAATCAGATCTTCTACACCCGCCTTATGCAGAAAGCTTGCTTTTACTGGGATATACTGACTTGCCCCTACCTCCTCCCAGGCCCATTCCTCTCAACTACAGTCACCTACCAAGCTAGCATTTTTGGGATTTTGCACAGGGCCTGGGGGAGAGAGAGAGAGAGAGCCTCTAAGGTGTGTCCCTCCAAAGACATCTCCAAGAATGAGAGACCTTAGTCCTGAGGACAGTTTCCTTAGAACTAGGTTGCTTTGAAAGGCTGAAGATTCACAACCAGAATACAGGAGAGACTTCAAAGTTTGCAGGGGGAGGTGAGTGTATTTAAAAATTAATCAACTTTCATCCAAAGCTTTGGAATGCAGCAGTGTCCCCTCAGCCAAATTGTAAAGCCTGAACCACCAACTGATGCTATGACTTCATTCTCACCATCAAAGCCACTTGCCCTGACAAAGAAGTGCTCCAAGAAGAATCCTGAACTGGGAGTTATTAGAGTACACAACCCACAGCCTTATCTCTAACTCTGCTAGCCATGCAATCTTGCGAAGTCATTTAACTTCTTTGTGTCTTTTCCTTATCTACAAAATAAGGCAGTCACTATGCTGGTGACTGCATATGCTTCTGGTGAGGCCTCAGGAAGCTTCCAATCATGGCGGAAGAGAAGACGTGTTATGTGATGAGAGGTAGCAAGAGAGAGAGGAGAAGGTGCCAGGCTGTTTTAAACAACCAGCTCTCCTGTGAACTCACAGACTGGGAACCCTCTCAATACCATGGGGAGGGCACCAAGCCATTCATGAGGGATCACACACCTCCCTCCAGGCCCTACCTCTAACACTGGGATCACATTTCAACATGAGATCTGGAGGGGACAAACATCAAAACCCTATCCAATCTCAAGGGCCCTTTTTTTGCCCAGTAAAGATTATTAAGAGCTACTTTAATTTTTAAAACTTAATCTTCAATCTATGTAAATTACTAATTTAAAATCTTAGGTTCTGCCTTAGGATTTTAAGTTTAATATAGAAATATTATTACTCTTTATAAATATAACAATTGTTGGGGGGAGGGATAGCATTGGGAGATATACCTAATGCTAGATGACGAGTTAGTGGGTGCAGCGCACCAGCATGGCACATGTATACATATGTAACTAACCTGCACAATGTGCACATGTACCCTAAAACTTAAAGTATAATATAAAAAAAGAAAAAGAAAAGTAGAAACAGGTGAGATTTATTATAATAAAACATTTTATTTAACCAGAAAAAAATATATATATATATAAATATGACAATTGTTAACAATCACTTTTTTTTTTTTTTTTTTTTTTGAGACAGAGTCTCCCTCTGTTGCCCAGGCTGGAGTACAGTGGCACGATCTCGACTCACTGCAATCTCCACTTCCCAGGTTCTAAGCAATTCTCCTGCCTCAGCCTCTGGAGTAGCTAGGATTACAGGTGCCCACAGCCATGCCTGGCTAATTTTGTATTTTTGGTAGAGATGGGGTTTCACCATGTTGGCCAGGCTGGTCTCAAACTCCTGACCTCAGGTGATCCACCCTCCTCGGCCTCCCAAAGTGTTGGGATTACAGGCGTGAGCCACAGTGCCCGGCCAACAATCACTTTTAAGAGGGCTTTTTAATTAAATGTTAGGTCCCATTTATAAATTTAGTTTATAAAACTCATTCAAATATTTTATATCGTTTATATATTTAATATATTTTATTTCTCTCATGTCAGTTGTCTAAAAACTTCTTATAGCTCTAACAAATTAAGCTTTAAAATGTGAAAAACCATATTCTCTCAAGAATCCCAATACTGATCGCAATTTTAGAATGTCTTTTAATTTAAAATTAGAAAACTAAATCAATTTCTTAATTACATATTTTGTTTGGCATCAAAAGGATGATTGTTATTCTAATGGGTCAGTTTCCCTTAAATATTACAAATACTTAAAAAACCAAATGTGTATAACAAAAATATTATGAATTTGATTCTCTTAAACATTTCTTCATTTTTTTCTAAATTTTTGCAGGATTAAAAATGCTTACCCCATAAGGAAACAATCACGTCATTTTAAACACTCTTGGGTTACCTTCCCAAGCAATTTTGTGGGTTCCATCTCAGCTATATTAGGTTTGCTACCAATCTCAGATCCCTGCCTCTATCCCGCTGTAGTGTTCAGGCCTGTTTCTGAGTTGCCTTGTCTCATAGCCTTCCTCCCATCCTGATGCTTTTCTCCCAAATCACCACTTGGTTGATTTCAACTAATGTATAATACTTGCTGCTCCATTCTGTTCTGATTTTTCTTTCTTTTTCTTTTTTTTTAAGACAGAGTTTCGCTCTTGTTGCCCAGACTGGAGTGCAGCGGCGCAATCTTGGCTAACTGCAACCTCCGCCTCCCAGCTTAAAACAATTTTCATGCCTCAGCCTCCTGAGTAGCTGGGATTACAAGTATGCGCCACCATGCCCAGCTAATTTTGGATTTTTAATAGAGATGGGGTTTCACCATGTGGGTCAGGCTGGTCTCGAACTCCTGACCTCAGGTGATCCACCTGCCTCAACCTTCCAAAGGGCTGGGATTCCAATTTATTTTTCTATTCATCCTATTGGCACCACAGTGCTTACAGACATTTCAATGCCATCCTAAGGAATTCCTCACTGAGATTTGTCTAACTCAGTTTTGTTTTCACAGTTCCAAGTTCATGCCGCTGTTGGGTAGAAGAAGGCAGGGAGAGAAGACAGAGTAGGTAAAGAGCATTTCCATTTCTGACTGGCTTTCCCCATGGCACCCTCCTGTCAATAAGGATCAGGGGACCAAGCACAGAATGTATCACTGCCCCTGCACTCTTTCTCCATCATGGGGTCATCACAGTCGCCTCTCATCTGCCTGACCTCAGGATTTTCCCTGCAGAGTCCTGAAGACTTTACCAGGGGCCAGGCAACCCAAGAAACAGTTTACCAAGCCAAAGGTCAGTGAGTGATTTTGCTCATGCTCTCACATTCTCTCCATCGTTCTCTCTCTCTCTCACACACACACACGCATACACACACACACACACACACACACACACACACTCCCCTAATCCTCTGTGGCTCCAAACACAGGCTCAAAATTATTCCTGTCAACCTTTGTGAGGTCAGGCACTTCCTAAGCAGATGCTGCTAATTCTATCATATCCTTCAGCTGTCGGCAATGACGTTGCCTAGCCTATTTCCTTTTTGGTCTGCTTTTATAGCACTCTTACTTGAATATCAAATAGCTTTTTGTACCAAGGCAGCCAAGTTGAACGTCTAGTTTAAAACAGACAATTTTGGGGGTGGGGGAATAATTTTGTATAAACATAATAGCCTTAGGCAAGTCTCCTTCTTCCAACCAGAGGCTGTTGTGGTGCAGTGAAAGAGCACTGGACACGGAGGGGGAGATGTGGGCCCCATTTCAATAGCTGCTACAAACTCTGCCTTTTGGGCCTAATTCTGTGAGCATCAGTTCCTTCACCTGTGATATCACTGACACGGACATGGGAGCAATTGCTAAAGTCATTGCCAAGAGTAGATTTAAAAGCACATGAAACACTAGAAGTCTTTTCTTCTGTGGCCTCCAGTATCTCACATGCTCCTAGTTTCCTTTAGTCTCACCGCCTGGTCCTCCTCAGTCTCTTTGCTGGTTCCTCTCCTCTCCCCAACCTCTGAATATTGGGCTCAACCCTTGGACTTCTGCTTTCCTTCTCTCCTTGCTCCACTGGTGATCTTATCCAGTAGCATGGGTTTTAATATCATCTGTAGGCTGATGACTCCCACATTCACATCTCCAGCCCAGGATTCTCTGAATTCCAAGCTCATACTTCTACCAGCCTATTCATCATCTCAACTTGGGTGCCAAATATGCACCTCAAACTATACATTCTAAACCTGCTCGCCTGCAGTCTTTCCTAGTTTAGCTCATGGCAATTTCATCCTTCTGGTTGATTGGATCCAAAATCATAGAGTCATTCATGACTCATCTCTTTCATACCTCCCATCCTTCCATTCCATCACCAACTTTGAGTTCTATCTTCAAAAGATAATGTAAATTAGACTGTTTTTGCATCACCAACTACTGCCCTGAGGCAAGACAACATGAAATCTCACCTAGATTCTTGCTGGAGTTTCCTAAGTGGTATCCTTGGTTCTGCCCTCACTCCCTTCCACTCTCCTCGGTCTGTTTTCAAACAGCAGATGCAGTGATCGTGTTAAACTACACATTAGATCATGTCACTCCTCTCCTCAAAACCCTCCAATTTCTACCCATCACATTCAAGGAAATTACTGTTATGTATCACTTACTATAAAATGAGGATCACGATAATACCTACTTCATAGAGTTGTTGTGAGGATTTAAAAAGTCAGTATATGTGGACGGGCGCGGTGGCTCACGCCTGTAATCCCAGCACTTTGGGAGGCCGAGGCGGGCGGATCACGAGGTCAGGAGATCAAGACCATCTTGGCTAACATGGTGAAACCCCGTCTCTACTAAAAAGACAAAAAAATTAGCCGGGTGTGGTGGTGGGCGCCTGTAGTCCCAGCTACTCGGGAGGCTGAGGCAGGAGAATGGCGTGAACCCAGAAGGCGGAGCTTGCAGTGATCCGAGATGGCGCCACTGCACTCCAGCCTGGGGCGACAGAGCGAGACTCCGTCTCAAAAAAAAAAAAAGACTTTGGAGGTATGCACTATTATACCCATTTTACAGTTGAGGAAACTGCATTACAGAGAGATTAAATAAATAAGCTCCCCAAAGTCACATAGCTAGGGAATGGTAGAACCAGGCTTCTGCTGCAGGCACTTGGCCTCCATGCCCTGTTCTTTCGCTACACTGCCTCATCAGTAAGCCTTCTTCCAGGACACGCTCTACATGCTGAATAGTACCCCCATCATATGGAGGGAAAATTAATTTACTTGACCAATTCCTCACAAAGTCCTCTGATCATTCCAAGGGCTCTAACTTAAGCTAACAAATTCATTTACTCAACAAATACTATTGAACGACAAGGTACTAGGCATTGAAGACACACCAATGAACAACCAAAAAATGGACACAAAGTTCTGTCTTCATGGAGTTTACATTCTGTTAAAAGTACTTTTTATAATGGAAGCATCACTAGAGACCTGACTTGCCTACTGAGTAATTGCTTTTCTCTGCCGAGGTGAACAGGCTCAGCTTCATTCATTTGGCGCATCTTGTGGCCAAAGCACTTGGCTAACATCTGTGGGAGGAACAGAAATGATTCAGACATGGACTTTGCTCAGGGAAGGTTGTATATTACGATGTGCCTGGGTATCTCAGCAGCAGTACTTGTTGAACATGTTCCTGGGTCTGTCCTGTGCTCTCTCATTTAACATCTAAGCTCCCTAAGGGGGAAGAACATTCTTGTGGTTTCCTTTTTCTCTGCCCACAGAGCCTAGAAGAGTGCTTTAAATACTTTGGCTTTGCAGTTTATGTTCTTTATTGAGTACCAACTTTTAGAAAGATTCCTCAAAAATCTATTTGGCCATAAATTTTGCTCCCCACTCTTCTGTCTTTGATACCACATTTATTCCATCAGCAGACAAAAGAGAACTAAGACTATAAGAGCTACCTCTTATAATTGTTAATATTTTCATTGTCCTTTCCCTAATTAATTTTAACTATTTTAACCATTTAGCCACTTGGATGGAGGAACCCTGGTAGTCTACGGAATAGTCACGTCAAAGACTGATTGCCCCCCACCACCCCCAGCCAACACACACACACTTTAAACCCTTCAGTGATTTCTCACTGTTCTTAGGAAAAACAGCCAAATCTTCAGCAAGGTCTCCAATGTACAAGGTTCTGAGTGGCCTGGCTGTGCCTGCCCCTCGGCCTTTCCCCGCAGCGTCATGAGTCATCTTGCTCTGGGCACTGCAACCACAGGGCCTGTTTGTGGATTCCAAACACTCCTGGTCCATCCTGCTGCAGGGCATTTGCATGTGCAGTTCCTGCTTCCTAGAAAGCCTTTTCTTCTTCATCCTTTAGACTCAACTCAATCATTACTTCCTTAGACAAGCCTTCACTGGCCCCGGGGCCCCGACTCCACCCAGCATCATATCTTCTCATAGCATCAGCACCTCTCCTTCAGGCCCCTCTTCAGCTGTTCCTTCATCCCAGGTGTAATTTTACTTGTGTAGGTGGAAATATGTTATTAATGTATTTCTCCTCCACTATGCTTCATGAGTACAAAGACCATTTCTGATTTTTCTCACCATTGTATATCCAGAGCTGGGCACAGTGCTTGAAACTAAAAAAAAAACAAAAAATTACTCACTCAACAACCATATAATGAGCACCTTCTGTGTGCCTGGCCCTGTTCTAAGCCCTGGGAATACAACAGTGAAAAGCCAAAGTCCCTGCCTTCCTGGAGCTTATATTCTAGTTTTGGATAAGAGACAATAAACAAATAAGCAAGATGACTGCAAGGAAGGGTAAGTGTTATGGAGAAAGTACTTCTGAAGGGAACAGGATGTGAGCACTGGGGACAGGGTAGGATAGTATCTCAGATAATGGTCAGGAAAGGCCTTTACAGGGATCTGGCATATGAGCCGAGTCCTGGGTACTCTGAAGGGGGGACTGAATTTTATTGCAAAAGTTAGGACAGTCCCAGGCAAATCAGGACAGTTGATCACCTTGTTGATCATAGTATGCTGCCTGCTTCAGCCACTCACCCAGAAAATGATTCTCTCACACCTTCTAAATTTCATTTCCAGAAACACTCCTTCATGAGAATTAACACAGCTTAGAACACAGTAAATGCTTTGTAATGATGAGGAGACTTCCCAGGAATCCACACCCACTAACTTTAGGAGCAGTCCTGCCTTTGGGATTCCCAGTCAAAACCAGGCCCTCTCCTGCAACCCTCCCACTCTCAGAGTCCCATACTTGGATTTCCATGTGGATGGAATCCACCCAGCAGGAAAAGCTCATTTCCTCCCTCCATCTGGCTCACTCTCCCAGCCTGGAATCTTCCCCCACAATATCCCTTGGCAGACTCCTCTTCTGCACTCCCTCCTGGCTGGCTCAACTTCCGGCCAGTTCCACCCAATAATAAACTACCTGTAATGAACCACAGAGCAGCAGATCCCTCCAGTGGTCCTCCTGCTCCTTGGGGCACACACTTGAGCAGGCCCTGCTTCAACAATTGGCAGCTGCCCGCTTGGCGCAAGCACTCACACAAATTCTTCCTTACTCTCATTAGTCTAAACTAGGTCTTTATTTAATGGATTTAGAAACAGTTCACTGGCTAACCTGATTTTTTGTTTCATCTCCAGTCAAATTCCCAAGCCACTGTTGAAAGCTTCCCTTTTTATCTTCGCCCCTTTCCCAGCCCCAACTCTCCCCTCACCAACTGTATGAGCAACATTAGCACCTACGTCATTGAGATATTAGAAGGATTTAACCGAATTAATATACACAAAGCACCTAGAACAGTCACCAGCACACAGTAGCCCTTCACGTGAATGTATTCAATGAATGAAATGCTAGCCCTTATTATTGTCCCTGAGATCTGAGAGTCATTTGTGCCTTGATAGTAAGTAGCTGCCTGCTATGATTTTATTTGAAGAGACAAATTATCCTGTTGCCCAAATGCTCCCCCAGCAAACTTAAAAGTCCTGCAACCAGCATCTGTATTTAAAAAGAGCACGTGAGGTCAGGCACGGTGGCTCAAGCCTGATTTCCTAGCACTTTGGGAGGCTGAGGCTGGTGGATTACTTGAGGCCAAGAGTTCAAGACCAGTCTGGGCAACATGGTGAAACCCCATCTCTACTAAAAATACATAAATTAGCCAGGCTTGGTGGTGCATGCCTGTAATCCCAGCTACTTGGGAGGCTGAGGCACAAGAATTACTCGAACTGAGATTGTGCCACTGCACTCCAGTCTGGGTGACAGAGCAAGATTCTGTCTCAAAAAAAAAAAAAAAAAAAAGAAAGAAAGAAAGAAAAAGAAAAGAAAAGAAAAAAAAAAAAGCACATGAGAAGGATGGGAAACATTACAACAATTTCCCATTTTTCTCCCCAGAAGAGTTTATTAGATTAAATAGAAGTAGAATACTAAGGACTATAGCTGGATGGGGAGGACAGAGTTTGAGGCTTGTTTAGAAAAGAAGGTCAGAAGCTCTCACTGTAAGGAGGGGAGGCATCATGAGAGCATTGGACTCTTGACGGGGTGAAGGGAGTAAAGCTGAGGGCATGGAGAAGTGGAAGGGGTGTGGAGAGGAGCGATTACAAAGACAAAATTCAGCTAAGTTAATGGAGCCAGGTCCTTTCCTAAAGCCACATCTTCCCTCCCCAACTCTGCCCCAATCAAGACTAGACTACATACTGCAGGCATCCTACTCAAGAGAAAAGAGCCTGGATTTTCAAGCCACCATAAACTCAGAGCAACTCCCAGTCCTACCATTTACCAGTTGACTAAGTTCATTGACCCTTCTGAACCATGGATTCCTCTTCTATAAAAACAAAACAGAAACAAAAACTCTCAAAACAAAGTTGTGAGGATTCAGTAAGATAAGGCAGGTGATAGGCCAGCTAAGTGCCCAGCTTCTAGGAGGTGCTCAGATCGCTTAGTTTTTCAGCCAGCTTTCTGACCTCACACTAAGTCCACAGCCTCTTGCGCTTTTTCCTATCTAGTTTTTACATGTAATTTATTACATTCAATTCAATTCAACAGAGATTTTATAGAATGCCAAGCACTAAACTCTGGGGATACCAGAGGATCAGGTCCCCTTGCTCCCCATGGCCCCCCAAAACTTGTAGCCTATATAGGAGACTAAAGATTAAATATGCAGTTACAAATGAACAATGAACATTCCAATAAGGGAAATACAGGAGCTGTCAGAACACAGCTCTCACATTACACAATAGATGTAAAATGAGCTCTATGTCATTTATGCTAAATGTCAAGACACAGGAATTAAGCACTTCCACAATAAAAATCTAGGTGGATACCTCAGTAGAGCAGATTTTTATGTTGGTGGTAGTTTCCAAAGTTAGCACATAACTGAAAGCAGTCACTTGAAAAAAAATCCCTTAAATTATCCATAAAATAGTGTATACATGGTTTTCGTGTACAAGTATGCATTGCTGTGTGTATGTAAATACGTAATAATCTACACAACAGATAATTGACAAAGAATAAATATGCAAAATATAAGTTTACAGATTTTACTACACAGAAGAAACCAAAAGTGAAATTAGAAAAAGTTTGCAAAATCAATGTTCTAAAAACTTCCAGTGGAAATGCATGTTTTGTTTTGATAACAAATTCTAAAGGGCCAGGACACAGCTGCAAGGCCAAGCACATTCACACTCTTCAACCACCCTGGGCTTTTTAAAAGTGTGAATAAAGGCAGTAGCTTCAGAAAATCATTCTTTGGTTCTCTTAGTTGTTAGACTTCTGTAGGAGCCTGTCAATCTTACAGAGTATTAATAGAAAGAAAATTACCACCCCACCCCACCCCCCCCCCCCGCAAAAAAAACCTTATTGCCTTTTATTTTTGGACAGGTTATGGAATCACAAAATCTCAAGGTTGTAAGGGAACCGAAAGAGCACTGGTCCAACCTGTCATCATATGTTTCAATCCCTCCCAAGGGATCAAACAGTCTCTACTTAGATATTTCCAGTAGCTAGAAACTACCCCTTCCATCTTAGAACACCTCCAGCAGTAATTTAAATGCACAATTGCTTCAAAAATTTAATACATCAAAATTATGTGTTGCAGGAAGATCTTCCTGGCAGGGATTCACTTTAAAAGTATTATGAAGAATTTACTCTGCAATATTCTTAGTGTATAAAAGGGTCATACAGACTAATAAGAAAATCGCTAAGATCTCAATAGATAAGAAAAAATGTAAATCATCACATTTGTATTTAAAAGTTCAGTCAGCTGGGCGCAGTGGCTCACTCCTGTAATCTCAGCACTTTGGGAGGCCGAGGTGGGCGGATCACCTGAGGTCGCGAGTTTGAGACCAGCCTGACCAACATGGAGAAACCCCATCTCTACTGAAAATACAAAATTAGCTGAGTGTGGTGGTGTGTGCCTGTAATCCCAGCTATTTGGGAGGCTGAGGCAGGAGAATCACTTGAACCCAGGGGGCAGAGATTGTGGTGAGCCGAGATTGTACCATCGCACTCCAGCCTGGGCAACGAGAGTAGAACTCTGTCTCAAAAAAGAAAAGGTCAGTCTACCTAATTTAATAGGCAAAAAATTATCCCACATTTTAATCCATTAAATAACAAAGGTCAAGACACATTGCACCAAAAAAGCAGTGAGATATAAACTGATGGTAGAACTGTAGATTGCTACAACTTTTATGTATTTCATTTTGGCAATATTCATTTGTCAAAGAATAAGCCTAGAGGTTTGTTGTCGTTGTTGTTGTTTCATCACAGCTGAGTCTACTAATTTACCAGGCAAGGGAACACAAACCAAAACAGAAATTTGCAATGTATCCCTGTTAGGGAAATGTCAGGGGTTGCTTTTTAAGTGCTGGAGAGAAGTGCCTGATGATTATTCTAGTTAAGCATTGACAACTAGCATTCTAGACAGTCAGTCATTTAAACAAGTGTCACTGTCTGTGGTCAGGAAAGAGTTTTCAATCAGGTCCTGTGTGTGGGTGGGGCCCGGGGGGGTTCCTTAAAGTTAATGGTCAGCTTTAGCAGGTTAGAACCAGCTGGGATAAAACACAGTCTTTAGTTTTGATATTCCTAAGCAAGAAGGGAAATTTCTTCCTTGTTTTCTTCACTCATTCAACAATGCACATTAAGGCTGGGCACGGTGGTTCACACCTGTAATCCCAGCACTTTGGGAGGCCCAGGCGGGCAGATCACTTCAGATCAGGAGTTTGTGACCAGCCTGGCCAACATGGTGAAATCCCATCTCTACTAAAAATACAAAAAACATTGGCCAGGCATGGTTGTACGAGCCTGTAATCCCAGCTACTCGGGAGGCTGAGGCAGGAAAATCTCTTGAACGCAGGAAGCGGAGGTTGAAGTGAGCTGAGATCTCGCCACTGCACTCCAGCCTGGGCAACAGGGTGAGACTCCGTCTCAAAAAACAAACAAACAAACAAACAAAACATGCACACTAAGAACCATCTCCATGCTGGACACTGGTAATACAGCAGTAAAGCAGGCAGAGATAGTTCCTGTCTTCATGGAAATTGCCACCAAGTAATGTGATCTTGTCATGAAAATGTTTATATTATTAAACCTAAAAATTTCACTTTAGGAAGCTTATGTTAAGGAGATAATAAGCTGGTCAAATATTTATACACAAATATATTCATTGGAGTATTGCTTAAGCCAAAAAACAGAGACAACCTAAATTTCCAACAGTAAGGGAATTGCTTAAAAAATACATAATACATTCATAAATTGACTATAAAAGGTTTAATGACATGGGAAATGTGTACGATATAATATTAAGCAAGGCAAATAATATTTTCAAGACATAGAATGTGGCCTCAATTATATTAGACATTATATAAAATAAACTTTTAAAATACTTGGTTGCTGATCATGGTGGCTCACATCTGTAATCCCAGCTCTTTGGGAGGCCAAGGCAGGCAGATTGCTGGAGTCCAGGAGTTTGAGACTGGCTGGCTAACGTGGTGAAACCCTGTCTCTACAAAAAATACAAAAATGAGCTGGGCATGGTGATATGCACCTGTAGTCCCAGCTACAGGTCTGGCTAACATGGAGACACCCTGTCTCTACAAAAAATACAAAAGTTAGCTGAGCATGATGATATGCACCTGTAGTCCCAGCTACTCTGGAGGCTGAGGTGAGAGGATGACTTGAGCCCAGGAGGTCAAGGCTACAGTGAGCTGTAATCACACCACTGCATTCCAGCCTGGGCAACAAAGCAAGACCCTGTCTCAAAAATAAAATAAAATAAAACAAAATGAAATACTTCGAAAGAAATATACCTCAAATGCTAACATTTTATTGGTGTATGAATGTTGTATTACGGGATTTTTTTTTTCTTCTTTATATTTTAGTGTATTCACTTTTATGAGAGTTTGTATTAATTTTATAATCTAGAAAGAATTTGGCAAACATCCCCTCTGAAAAAAAAAATCAGAACAAAAACTACCCCCAAATAGGGAAAACTCTACAAATGGCTTAACTGTGTATACAGTCAAGATCCTATAACCTAGGTCTCTGTATCTAAAGGCAGAATTTACGTGTGAATTAATCTCATTTTTGTTTCTGCTGACTCCATAGAAACTGTGCTCTCCATGGCTTCCTCAAGATGAGCAAACAAGAGTGATACAGATTTTTCTGAGATGGACAGTGCCTCTCACTGACCCCGCCCCCAGTATCCTACGACCAAGGAAAAGAATCTCATGTGTCATTTCTGTGGGCCACGGTAGTTAAGGAAACTCCATGTATTTTCATCTGGAGCCTCACAGCAACCCTGACAAGTGGCTAAGTGGGGACAATGTGAAGCTCGGCTGCCCTTCCCCAAGGCCCTGGTCTTGACAGTCCTCAGGGGCTGGAGGCCCCCCTCATCCATGTCCCCACAAGATTTCTGTCCATGGCACCCAAGGACCCACTCAAATGGTCTTGAATGGACCTGAGGAAGACTGGCGAGTTATTGGTTTTATAAGCACAGTTGTGTCCGTTTACATCTACCAGAAGGTACAGGGATATGGCGAGAGTGAGAAGACGTGACACCTGTTAATACAAACTCTCCCCTTTAACTTGTCTTTCCAGAGAACACAGAATGGGAGACACCGCTAAAACAGGCCACGTTAGCACTAGAACTGATAAACTGAGAGCTAGGTTCTAGATAGAAAAGTTACGATGAAACATCCTCATCATTGTCAACAGATGAATATCTAAACCTCAGCTTTGATGTCCTCTGCCAAATGGATTGGATGATGCCTGCCCTTGCCACTCCACGGGGTCTTTGGGGATGAACTGAGCTACAATGGCGAGGGAGCGGGTGGGATACTAACTGGCCCTTCCCCTAGATAGGAGGCCATCAAGTGCAGAGCCAGAGACCGGCCCTGGGCCTCCGCAGGCTCCCCCGGAGCCAAAGAGAGGCCAAACCGAAGCGCCCTGCCCAAGGCCGCCCTAACGCGACTCTGGCCGCTCCTGCCTAGCAGATACCGGCTGGTGCCCTCGCTTCGGATGCAAGATCCCAGCTCTGCTGCAGCTTTCGAGCCGGAGGGACAATCGAAATGATCAAAAATGCCCGGCGGGCAGCCTTGGCGAGCGCGCGGCGGGGCGCGGGGTGAAGTCTCGCCAGGGCGCGCCGCGGCGGACACCGAGCCACACGCACTGTGCCTGCGCCCGCGGCCGCCCCGAAGGTAGTCGGTAACTGCGGCGGGCGGCGGCCGGGGCTGGACAGCCAGCCCCGCCCGGCAGGCTCGCAGCTCACGTAGCGCTAGCGTGAGTCAGCGCGTTCCAGCGCAGCCCCGGGCCGAGGGAGGGCTCCCGCGCGCAGCGCCAGCAGCCCGCACGTACCGGCCCCGGGAGGGGGCGCCTAGGTGGTTCCACTCGCGGGTGCCCTGTGCCCTGCAGTGTCCCCACGCCCCAGGTTGTCCCCCTCGAAAGCCACGTGGGCGTGGGGCTCGCCTTCCCTGGGCGGAGTCCCCATCGGTGCCTGCCCGCCCGGAAGTAGGGGCGCGAGGGTGACGGGCAAGACCGAGCCCGGCCCGTGATTCTTCCTCAGCCGGAGCTCGACCTTCTCCTTGTCCCTTGCGTTTCCTTTCTTTGAACCACACACTCGCTCGCTCACGTTTGTCCCGACTAAGTTGCCCCCGGCCCCCGCAGCTGTCATGAAGATAGATGGAGAGGTAGCTGCGAGAGCCCAGCCTCGGCGGGTGGTGCCCAGGGCGGACTGGGGAGACTAAAGACAGTAAAGGGCGGGTGGGACTCGAGTCCTCTATCCACCTAATCTCACATGCAGTGGGACTTATCATTCCAGTCGGTCTGCATTTCCTCAAATCTGCACCTGTTTAGTTACGACAACCAGCTTTATAAAAGGAAGCGGCCTACGTGCCTGACAGCTGAATGACGGAATTAGAAGTCATTCTCTACTAAATGTGTGAACATAGCAGGACCTCCGCTTAAGTTCTAGACCTACAGGGTTGCAAGTCTGGGCCTCCTGGGGGCAGGAAAAAATTCCAAGTCCTCCTTTGCCCCTCGGTAAAATGTTCTTTCACAAATTAGAGCCAACGGCACATCTGTGATGTGCCTATGTCACTTTTTCAAAGCCTTGCTCAGGGGTTGGAATGTCGTGGAGAGGGAGACGAGGTGGGTGCTTATGAAGGGAAAGAGATACATGGGGAAGGGGGAGAGGAAACGTTGATTAGGAAAGGAGCTTGCAGTCATGAGTAAAGTGACTGACAGAACGTTATTGAGCCTGTCATGGAGATCAGGCACTATTTGGGCACCAGTGACGCAAAATAAGTGGCTCCCCGTGGTCCCTGCTCTCAGGGTTACAGATGAGTGGGAGATATTAACTAAGTAGACAGTGAAACATGAGGAAGACTTAGTATGACGGTTCAGCACCCAGACTTGGGAACCAGGCTGTGCAGGTTCTGATGCTGGCTCTGCAATTTACAGACCGTGTGATCTTAGCCAAGTGAGTACCCCCATCTGTCCTCACCTTCTTGTTTTGGAAAATAAAAATGGTGAAAACGACTTACTTTTTAGGACATTTCAGAGGTCTAAATACATTAATACAAGCAGAGCACTGGAATTCAGTAGGCACCGAATAAATCTTGTTAATAGAATAAATGGAGGAGATACAGGCAGGGGCTGCCAAGCACAGCAGAGCAGGCTGTATGCTGTACAACTCCAGAAGACACGTTCGTAGAAGTGAATGGAGCTTTCTGGAACTGTGCAGTGTGGTGGTCCTGAGTATGAGTGATGTCTATTTTAGCATAGTTCATAATAGGAAAAAATGGAAAATTCAAATGCACTTATCTATAAATGTGGTATGTTCATACAGTGGAGTACTATTAGAGCTATTAAAAGGGATCAGCTGCATCTATGTGTATCAAAATCTCAAAAGTATATTGAATGAAAAACAGCAAGTTGCAAAATGATACATGCAGCATGATGCCATTTATAGAAAGAAAATGTACATACACACAAAAAATCCCATATATATATATATATATATATATATATATATATATATATATATATGCTGGAAAAATACACACCAAACTTAAAGCTGTCTTTGAATGGAAGGGGAGGAATTCAGATTTGAAATGGTAGTCATAGGAATTTAGCTTATTCTCATATTGTAATAATTGTTTCAAAGAACAATGTGCTTATATATCATGCAGTTTTTTATTTTAAGGAATAGATATAAAATAAAACTAGAAGCAAATATGTCAACACTGGCTAACTGTGGGTTGCTGGAATATGAGTAATCATTATTTTTTCATTTGTACTTTTCTGAATATTCAAATTAAAAATAATTACAACCTTGCAGGTCAAGTGCTATGCTAAAGGTGTAAAAGGGATGGGCCTGGAGAGCATGTCTCGGGTGAGGCTACGCTTGTACACCCACAATCTTCGGTCACAACAGAGAATGGAGCAAGCTCCCCAAGACCCCTCTGCTCTAACCCCACCCTGGGGCGGGCTGGGTGCCTCTGGAATGCCATGGCTGGCCAGGGTTTCCAGACCAGGGCTGTCCTGAGCATGATGCTGCTGGCGACCATGCTTTGCAGGTTCTTCTTTCAATCCTTACCCTCCCTAAAATATGGCGTTCTGGTTGGTGCCTGAGGGGGAAACACCAGATGATAGTAGAACCCTTGAGGACAGGGAACCATCCATGCTCTACAAGTGGGTCACCTACAATTCTGAAAATTAACTGAGTCATTGAATTCAACGCAGCAAGTAAATGGTAAAGGTGGAAATGGAAACCATATCCACCTTATATCTATGAATGTCTACTATTCTCTGCCTCTGTGCAGGACCCTTTCACAGGTGTTGTCCTCTTTTGGAGCAGCTCAATGAATTGGTCAAGATTCCAGGCTTTGTAGTTGCTCAGACCTAGGCTCGAGTAGCCAATGACTACAATTTAGGGCAAATCACTCAGTTTCTCTGACTCTGTTTCCTCTTCTGTGAAATGGGGATAACAGTGGTGCTGGGGGAACGGAATAGATAATATATGCAAAGCACTTAGTACAGTGGCCTCCCCAGGGATCCCCCAGTAAATGGTGGTTAGGTGTCCATCAGGAAGTGGGATCTTTTGATAACAGATGGATCCTGTTTTAAAAAGGAGATTTTTTTTTTCTTATCCTATAACTATCCTTTACCCTAGTAAAGGGTTAAATCGCTGTGTAGGAAAAGAATGAAAGCCTGTGTCTCTCAGTGAGGTGGGACTGAGCTTGAAATTGACATTCTACAAGAGTTTGACTAGGAACTGTTGTTTGGAGAAGCCCACCCTGCCCCACTTAAAAAAAACCAGTGGTGTTTTTGTTTCTTAATAGCTAAATCTACCCACTGAAAGCCCCAAACAGGATTCTCTTACATTTAAAAAATTAGCCTGACACACCAGTGCCTTCTGAAAGAAGCCGTCCGAGCTTTTAAGTCAAACACACTAAGAATTCCTTCTTTCTCTCTTGTTTGCTTTCTCTCCCTGGCACCCATAGACAAAAGATGTCTCAGGGATTTTTAACTCAGTTATGCTGAAAATCCAAGATTTAAACCTGATTCCCAGCTGCTCCTTTAGAACGTGTTGCACGAGAGATGTTGTTTAGTCCAACTAGCTGTGGGGAGGGGTAAACACACACTGCTGGATGGTGGGACGTGCAGAACGTCAGGGGAACATAACCAAACAGAGTTAAGCATGTGCTGTGACTAATAGAGGACAGCCTGGGGTGTGTCTGTCGTGAGAGAAATCACCTCCCCACTGGGCCCCAGTACCTGAGAGAGGCCAGGAAAATAGCATCTGATTCCCAGGCAGTGTTTATCCTGCCAGGCTGCATGTGGCTTCAGTTATCACAGCCATGCTCTTCTGAGTTGCCTCCTGTATTGGTTCTGGAAGGGGTGCTGCCACAGAGGGTCTATGCAATCTCTCCGGGTGAGCCCCATATCAAGGAAGCCAGGAGCCTACCGCAGAGCAGGACAGAACACTCCCACATCCCTGGCCCTGGCCTGAGCAGAGATGTCCAGACACTTCCCCAGGCACCTGCAACCCAACACTCCTCCCTGTCCTTTCAACACGGTTTGGCTGGGAGTATAGGGAGGCTCCCAGCAAAGTCACCATGACTGGCACGAGTAACCTTACCTGCATGTTCCAGGACAGCACTAACCCCTTCAACAAATGCAGTTTGTTGTATTTTTCAAAGGAGAACAAATTTTACTGGTGGTGGAGATTGCATTTTTCATGTGCGTTTTTGCTGGTATAGAAATAATACATATAGGTTGCAAAAAGAAACTTGGATGAAATAGAAATATACGAAGAAGGAAGTATCATCACTCCTGTACAGCGTTGAATAGTGCTCCCCCATGATTTATGTCCATCCAGAACCTGTGAAAGTAACCTGTGAATGGAAATAGGATTATTGCAGATGTATCAAATTAACATGAACCCTGAATCCAGTATTACTGGCGTTCTTACGAGAAGAGGAAAATTTGGACACAGGCACACAGGCAGAATGCCAGGTGATGACAGAGGCAAAGAATGGAATACTGCAGCTACAAACCAAGGAGCACCAGGGATTGCCGCAAACCACCAAAAGCTAGGAAGAAGCAAGGAAGGATCCTCCCCTGGAGGCTTCAGAGGGAATATGACCCTGCCAACACCTTGATTTCAGACTTCTAGCCTGCAGAATTGTGAGATAAATTTCTGTAATTCCAAGTTACCCAGTTTGTGGTAATTTATTAACCAGCCCTAGAAAACTGATACAGCCCCTAAATCCACCAATCAAAGTTACACACTGTTTACATTTTAATATATGTCCTTCAATTCTTTCTATAATGCATCTTATAAAGTCGGTGTCGTTTCGAGGTGGGCAAGTCTATGCAAACCTACCCCAAAGTCGGAGGAAGCTGAGAGGCTAAAGAAACAGGCTGACAAATCCAGTTTCTTAGGAAAAAATATTTAATAAGGACTTTTTTTTTCTTTTGAGACAGAGTCTCACTCTATTGCCCAGGCTGGAGTGCAATGACACCATCTTGGCTCACTGCAACCTCTGCCTCCTGGGTTCAAGCAATTCTCCTGCCTCAGCCTCCCGAGTAGCTGGGATTACAGGCCTGCGCCACCATGCCTAACTAATTTTTGTATTTTTAGTACAGATAGGGTTTCACCATGTTGGTCAGGCTGACCTCAGGTGATCCACCCACTTTGGCCTCCCAAAGGGCTGGGATTACAGGTGTGAGCCACCGCACCCAGCCTTAATAAGGACTTATGAACAGAAGCCACGTCTCCAGCCATGGTGGATCCCAGCACCATCCCCCAGAGCCAGGGATTACATACAGTAGGGGAGGGGCACAAGTGCTGCAGAGGACATGCCTAGAAATTTGCCCTAAGGGCAGGATTTATGACAAGTGGGTGTTCTTAAACAAGGTACAAGAGATAAGCTGGAAATCTCAGAAGGTTTCCCAGAACTGGGGTTATTCAGAAGCCAACATGGTGGATTAGCATCCGAGGAATTGCTTTGGCCTCCACAGGTGTCCAGTTGCCTTCGTCTGGGAAAATTTCAGCTACAGTTCTAATTGACTTCAGGCAGCATCTACTGCTTTTCCAAATAACTAAGTAGCTGGGAGAATACTGAGGAATGCGCCCTGAGTCCTCCCACCATACCCCCAAACTCAGAGCCGGAGGTCTTAGACATCTAAGGTGATGATGTCCCTGCCATCACCTCCAGGTGACTGTGCAAATTATTCTGGGAGGAACTCTTTCAGGTGGCCTTACTGGCTGATGCATCCAGCAGGGAATATGTGCCAATCACACTTCTCTACCCTCATGTTCTAGGGCAGTGACAACCTCAGCCATGGAACCTCCTTGTCCTGAACTTTCCCCAGCTCCAAAAGGAGAAGGTCAACCGCAGGCTAGATTTCTCTACTGGGACAGATCACTGACACTCAGCTGGATTTGTCCTATACTAGCCAGGTGCCCGGTCACCTACCTTTGAAACCTCAGCAATAGTTTTCACTCTTCTCTCTCCTTTTCCTTTTACTCCAACCCTTCTCCCCAAATCTAAGTAAATGTCAAGTTCTGAAATCCCTGTGTAACATTTCACAAATTCATCCTCCTTCCATGGCTACCCTAGCCTGGGCTCCAGATCAAGGTCAACGTCAACAGTGATAATTCATGTGAATAGTATGTACTCTTGATATGATGTGATGAAAATAGCAGCTACCATTTGTGGTCTGCCTGTCTAAAACCATAACCCAAATCTAATGAGGAAAACACTGGACAGATCCAAGTTGAGGAATATTCTACAAAAGATCCCACCATTACTCCTCAAAACAGTCAAGATCATCAAAAATAAGAAAAGTTTCAAAAACTCACAGCCAAAAGGAGCCTAAGGAGACGTAATGACTAAATTTAATGTGGTATCCTGGGTGGATCTTGGAACAGAAAAAAGGACATCAGATAAACACCAAGAAAACCTGAATAAAGTGTGGACTTTAGTTACTTACATCATTATTTGGTTTATTAAGTGTGGCAACTGTACCATACTAATGTCAGACACTAATACTAGGAGAAACTGGGTGCAAGGTGTATGGGAACTCTGTACTATCTTTGCAATTTATCTATACATCTAAAACTGTGCTTAGAAATTACGTTTATTTTTTAAAACTGTGTGTGCACAGGGCAAGGAGCTGGTTGTGGATGAGGGTGAGGATGGGGATAACGAGGAGTGTCCTTAGGGTGGTACTTCTCTCCTGACTGAAAAATCAAAACACCATTATCTCTACCCACTCCTTTCTCCCAGCCACCAGCAAGGGTATCCAGAATCCAAATAACTAATGGCTTTTCCAATAAAACAGGAGGGCCGATTACATTTTCTCCCTTGTCTTGCTTGTGTTTCACAGAAGTAAAAATAAATCAACAACACATAGGGCAATCACCATAGGAAAATTTTTAACATATTGCCCTGCCATAATAATACGGTCCTGAATTTCCCTTACCACTTTATCAACCACTAACTATCCTGCACAAGTCCCGTGTTTTAGTCAAATTGGTCCAGAACAGTGGGTCTCAAGCTCAGCTGTGCATCAGAATCACCTGGCAGGCTTGTTAAATAAAGATTGCTGAGCCTCATCCCAGAGTTTCTTATTCACTAAGGCTGGAGTAGGGCCCAAGAATTTACATTTCTTGCTAGTTCCCAGGTGATGTTGATGCTGCTGGTCCAGGGACTATAGTTTGAGAATCACTGATCTAGAATTCTCTTCTTTATCTGCGTATTTATTTTCCTTTCTATCTCCATGCTTCTGCATATTTAGAGTCCTATCTGGAATGCAATCAGAATGTATTGGTTAATACTATGTACCAGACATACCAGTAGGTTCTTAGGCTGTAGCAGTGAGCAAAAGAAATAAGGTTCCTGTTTTCATTTAACTTACATTCTAGCAGTCAGATAATAAATGAATAAATAAATAAGAGAATTACAGATTATGACAAGTGCTCTGAAGGAAATAAACAGGGTAATATAATATTGAGTAATTAAGGATAGGAGGTATGAACATTTCTTGGGTGCCTGATCACCATACATTCTCCCCATTCTTACACTACCATGAGTTTCTTGGTAACATTGGTTGGGTGGGATTGACCCTACATGGCTTCGTTCAGGTGGCTGTAACAAAATATCTTAGACTGGGTAATTGTTAAACAACAGAAATTCATTGCTCACAGTTCTGGAGGCTGGGAAGTCCAAGATCAAGGCGTTGGCAGATTTATTGTCTGGTGAGGACTTAACAGATGGCTCCTTGTTGCTGCATCATCACACGGAGGAAAGGGCAAGGGAGCTCTCTCAGGCCTCTTTTACAAAGGTACTAATACCATTCATGAGAGTGGAGCCCTCATGACTTAACCACTTCACAAAAGTTCCACCTCTTAATACTGTCACATTGGGTATTAGGTTCCTATACCTAATACCTGAATGTTGGGGAAACACCAACATTCAGACCATAGCACAATCCGTAGCTCCAAAGGTGGGCCTTGACTAGCTTAAACCAATTGGCACAACAATCTTTCCGGCCCAGCAGTGGGGTGGATACTGTGTGCCCTTTAAAAAAGCTTAGATGCCCTTTACTGGGCACAGTACACACCCCCCAGCTGCTATGAGTATTGACAGCAAATGCTTCCAGCTGCTCATTTTTTCCCTGGCTGACACGAGCTGCCTCACCTGAAGGTAGCCCACAGCAGGTAACTAATATGTGGGTTCAAAAGGCCATGTTGCCTCCAAGGGAGCCAACTCTGTGTTGTGACTTAGGCTCCCTCTGTAGATCAGGCCAAGGCTAGAGTTGACCTGAGATCCTGTTATTGCTCCGTGTCTTAGTCCATTCAGGCTGTGACAACAAAATTCCATAGACTGACTGGCTTCTTAAACAACAGAAATTTATTTCTCAGAGTTTTAGAGGGAAGGAAGGCCAAGATCATGACACCAGCAGATTTGGTATCTGGCAAGGGCCCACTTTCTTATTCATAAACAACTGTCTTTTTGCTTTGGCATGAAGTATCTCTCTGGAAGGTATCTCTGAAGAAGTCACATTTAAGACACAAGAGCCAACGAGGTAGAGGCAGAAGGGAAGAAGAGAGGATAACTAGTGAGAAGGCCATGAAGTGGGAAAGAGGTTAGCAAGCCGGAGCAACAGAGGCCAGTGTAAGCACAAGGGAAAAGAAAGGGATAAGATTAGGAAGCTGCTCAGAGACATTGGAGGTGTGGCTTATGCAAGAAAGGTGAGTAGGACTCTGTCAGCAAACCCTTACTCAAAGAGCCTGGTCCTAGCATTGAAAGATTAATGAATAATTCTACATTTAGGTAGTTTAGGTCAAAATATTACATTTAAAATGTATCCATTTTTATGATTCTCAATTTTAACAAAATTTTCAATTAAACAACTACCCGTTGCAGTTTTCAACAGATAAGAGGCCTCTGATTCTATCCCATCATATGGATGTACTATAATCTACTTACTGCTTAAGGATGAGCTTGCTGAATAGTGAAAAAAAGAGAATAAAATCAAATAAACTTATTGTTGCCAGTCCTTCACGTAACGAATAGTGCTGCAATGAATAACTTTGTGCATCTTTGTACAGTTATTTAAGCCTGTAATTTTATAAATATAGAATTTCTGAGAGAGAATCCGTATTTTTCATTTTAAACAAATATTGCCAAGTTGTTCCTGAAAGTATATACCAATTTATACTCCACTTATAGCAAATCTTACTGGGCACTTTATCAATCAAATAGGCAAAAAATATCTCACTAAAATCTCATTTCTGATCAAACTGGCGAAAAAGTGCTTTATTTTACATTTTTTAAATTATGGAAGAATATTTTTATTTGCCTGTTGGCGATTTGTGTTTCTTCTATTATGAATTCCTAATTCATGACTCCTTTTTTATCCTTCTGTTGACTTCTTTGTCTTCTGTTAACTTGTGAGCCCTCTTTGGTTATCATGAATATTAGCCATTCATCTGTCACATGTGATCGAAATATTTTCCCCATTGTTGGTCTTTGACTTTGCTTATGTTATGTTTTAGATTTCTAGGTATTAAAATTACTTTTCTAGGAAAGCCTCTACGTTTTATTTCATGCTTGGAAAAGCCTGTACACTGAAGATTAGAAAGCCTCTTACCTGTGTTTTCTCTAAAATATTTATGGTTTAATTTTTTACATTTGAATTCACTTGGAATTAATTTGGTATGAGAAGGTAAGAATTCAGCTGATTTTCCAAAAGTCTAGCCAGTTGTCCCAAAATGATTTGTTGAATAATCTGTATTTTCCCTACCAATATGAAATAAAATTTTATCAAATATTAATGACTTTTATATACATGGTTCTATTTTTAGGCTCACAATTACATTTCATGGACATATCTATTACTACACCAGGACCACATTGTTTTAATTACTGCATGAAAATGCTTTCTTTATACCTGCCTTTCCTGGGCTGTTCTCATTGCCAAGTTTTAATGGTTATTTATTTGTTTTATCTCCCAAGTGGGCCTAAGTTCCTTTAGAGCAGGAACTGTTGGTTAAGCATTTTTATAGCCTCGACAACTTGGCTGAATATTTATTTTTCTTAGTAGCTTTCCATCCTGCTTTTCCACCCCATGGTGATTTGCACAGAGTAATCACTCATTTATTAAATTTTAAGTGTTAAAGAAGAAACAGCAAGATATTCAAAGAGATAGAAAATAAAAAGGTTGAATTCATGAGAGGCTGAAACAGACAGCACTACTGGTAGTAATGGAAGGCAACTTGAGTGATAAGTAGCCCAAACTGAGATGTCAGTCTGTCCAGAATAGCACCTGTGTTATTTGTGTCATTGAATCAGCCCTGGTACTTGGTCAAGTGCTCTAGTCAGCAGATCTTGGAGACTGAAGGAATGACTGCCTTGATCATCTAACTCTGTAACACCAGCGTTGAGAGCCGACCACCATTGCCTCACTCCTTTCTCAAATAATGGCTGTCACTCTAAAATACTGTGAAAGATTTGGCATACACAAGCCTAATCATTCTGAGGAGCTCTCTCCATTTCAAAGGAGCCATGAGAGTGTTGATGAATTGCCTCTGTTAGGAAACTATACATTTATTCCAATGATTCCACCATCGACCAAAAAGTTTTACTGGCATTGCCTTCAGAGCCTGGGGATAATCCACATGTAAGAGGATTTGGGGTTAAAGCTGCCAGCTGAGAGTTAAACTCCCAAAACTAACACAGAATCATTTTCCAAAATTTGCATTCATGTTAAATTGTTAAAATTGTGCATTTCCAGTCATGTAGAGATTGATTCTGGAGGTTGGAATAGATTTGAATATGTATGTCTAACAAGCACCCCACGTGATTATCAGTTTGGGAAATACTAACATAACAGATTGGATTAATCTAGGTAGAAATGGGTTATCTCAAAGACTTACGAAACACAGGAGTCCAATTAAGTTAATTCAGGTGTATCCTTAAAACTAGAATATAACTAAAGAAAAACAACTTATTTATACTGAAATGTATTTTTTAAAACAAAACAAAACAAAAAACCCTGGGCTAATAGAAGAGTACGGTGCTTGACTCAAGTCTAAAAGAACAACAACAACAAAAAAAAACAGAAAAATGGATCAGTACTGCTACAACGAATGAAGGACTATACAGACCAGCCAAAACAAGTTTTCAGCTTCCCTTTGATAAGAGAATTTCAGAAAACTTCTGGCAGTGGCAGTTTCTAGAATTAAGTGTAACTTAATATAATTAAGTATATTAATGTATTCTTAAGTATATAAGAAGAATGACAACTTCAAAGTATAAAACTCATAGGAATGTAGATGTTTCAACATGGATTACTTTTGAAAGGGCTTATTAGTTTTAAGCCTTTAAGCATTAATATTTAAGAATTAGCTTTAAGGCTTATGTAGCTCTGAATATAATTTGGTTTGTGACTTTGGGCAAGTCACTTACCTCTCTGGGCCTCTAATTCCTGCCTGTAAACTGAGGAGGTTAGATTGTTTCTGAGCGCAGATGATCTGTAGGCTCTCCTGTAAGTCTCATATTTGGTTGTATGACTTCACCATCTCTACCTAATGCACACACAGGGACCCCAGCTGCTGATATTGGCCTGGAATCTCTTGGCCTCACATCTTCCAGTCCTTCCCTAAGACAAGCCCTGCCTGTGACTCAGCCTGAGGATATAAGCAGAGGAGGCAAACTGCTACAGAAAACACAGGCTCCTCTCCAGATCGCCGCGTGGTCTCTGACAGGTTTTCTGGTCTGTGTTCTAGTTACATGGGTTTCAAATTATTCCTTCCTTTCCAATGGGTATTATCCCTTACCCATCTGCTGGACAAGCAATGTGTGGCTTAGAAAAGTCCCCAAGGTAGAAGATGAAATGTAATTTTCTATTCTCTCTCTCTTCTTTCTTTTGTAGAGGCAGGGTCTCTCTATGTTGCCCAAGCTGGTCTTGAACTCCTGCGCTCAAACAATTCTCCTGCCTCGGCCTCCTAAACTGCTGGGATTTACAGGTGTGAGTCACCACACCCAGCCTCTATCATCTCTCAAGGGTCTCTATTCACCAGTAATTATCCAGGCAAAGTCACTTGTCATTAAATGTCTCTAAAACAATGTTGTTATAAAAATGTGTTAAAAAAAAGTAAAAGAGAGAATTGTGTCCTTTAAAAAAGAAGATAGCAATAAAGACGGAGATGAAGACAATAATAGAGAGATATCTCTATGTATTAGGGATGTTAACCAAATACACCCAATATACATAGAACTCTAAAAAATGGCATAAATGACTAAAAATTTGATAGTAAAATATTAACAGATAACTTACAGAAAAAATTTTAAAATCATGAACATGTAAAAAAAGGTGTTCCAAGACAAAATCAGTGAAATATAAATTAAAATAATACTGAAACAGATTTTTTTCTATCAAAGTTTATCAAGAATTAAAAAACTTAACAAAACATTTTGTGGGCAAGGCTGTGCGGAAACAGTCACCTCATATATCCCTGCGGGAAACACAAAAATGGTACAATACTTATAGCAGGGAATTTGGCAATACCCAACTAAACTATCCTTTTGACTGGCAGTTCCACTTTCATGACTTCACCCAGTTACAACTGTATAATAAGAGAAGACATAGCAGTTAATCATAATAGCAATATTTGTGATTACAAACTTTTGGCAGCAACCTAAATTTTCATACATAAGAGAGTAATTAAACAATGGCACGTCCATTCAATGGAGTACAGTACAGCTATAAAAAAGAAGAGGAAGATCTCTATGAGATGATATGGAGTGATTTACAGAAGATCACCCCAAGCTAAAATTAAAAAGTGGAGTATATTCTTTAATTTTTAAGCTAAAGTGAAGTGCAAAGAGTAAAGATGGTATGCTACCTTTTGTGTAAGAAAATAAAAATTAAATAAGAAAATATGCATGTATCTGCTTATTTTTGCAAAAGGGAACACAGAAAGAATAAATGAGGAACTAACTTTGGTTACCCATACGGTGTGAGTAAAAACAGGGTAAAAGGGATAGAGGAGGAAGTGAGAGATCTTGAAATATACTTTTCTGGTACCATTTTGGCTATGAAAGCATGTTACTATTTTATTTACTCAGTTTTACTTACTCAAAACCATAAAGTTAAACCAACAAAAATGGAGGTAGGTGAGAAACCCAAAGTACAATACAAATGAGCCTTACATTCCCAAATGAATAAGTATACTGGAGAAAAATACCTAAATAACTTCAAAAAAAAGAGAGAGAGATAGAGACCTGCTCTGTCACCCAGGCTGGACTGCAGTGGCACCATCATAGCTCACTGCAGCCTGGAACTCCCGAGATCAAGCCTCCTGAGTAGTGGGACTATAGGTCCACACCCTAAATAACAGTCGAACTTAATATTTTGCTTATATAACCTTGATCTAAAGACAAAAAGAACTACAAACAAATGGTGAACTATACTTTAGCATGTCCATTTTTCACAGTGGTATAGATGAATAATTCTGAAATTATTTTCTAGGCATGAAGAATTGGGCAAATAAATATTTTCAGGATGTTGTGAACCAGGTCTCTCACTATTAGAGAAGGGAGATACAAATAAGGAGGGAGTAGGCTGTGAAAAATCTTGTACTGCTAGATTGAAACTGGATATAGTATAAATTTATTATATATATATACACACACACACCCACACACACACACATATATATGGGGGTGTATGGGGGTGTGGGTGAGTGTGTGTGTTTCTTAATTCTGTGTGTTGAAAGGGCCTAGAAGTTTTGATATATCAGTAGCAGCAAGGACACCCAGCACCCTAATCTTGGTTTCTAAATACCATTCCCCACTACAAGGAACTAGGGTTTCCTGGAGAAATGACTGATTCCAGAGCATGGCCAGAAAAAGTCCAAGAAGATATGGACTATCTTGTGTCAGAAAGGAAGCAAGTGCTCAACAAATGATGGAGACATGTCAAATGAATGCAAGAACCAACTTAAAGGTGCTTCCATTGGTCAAATCTGAGACAATTGGAGCATCAAGATTAATAATTGTAGTAATGGACAATAACCAACTAAAAAAATAAGAATCCACGAGTCCATACTGATAATTAATGATGCAGGTAACTGCTCCCTTACAACAGAATGTCAACTAATAAATGTAGAAAAAATGATGGTGTTAGAAAAATCAACACGTTGTAACCATCATGGCAATAATTGATTTAGATAAGAATCATCAATAAATGATAGAACTAATGGCTAAAAATCTGATGAGGAATAGTTTATCTACATTGTGTCAAAATATCTCATCACAAATTATTTATTAATTACAAAGGGAAAAGTAGTAACTTTGCAGTGAAGAAATCTGGCAGATATTACCTTAACCAAGTAACCAAAGTCAGCATCAATAATGGGTCAAACTGATATCTAGTGTTTCCTGATGGGATGCGCTGGGAAGGAAATGATATCACTGGTTTAAGATTCCTGTCAAAAATGAGTACATCATGAGGAAACATCAGAGAAACCCAAACTGAGGGCTAGTCTGGAAAATAAATGGTCTGTACTCTTAAAAAAAAAAAAAAAAAAAAAGTCAATGACATGAAAGGCACGTAAAGCTCAGGAATCATTACAGATTATGCAAATTAAAAATCCATATAAATAAAGGTAATGCTTAATTCTGTATTGGATTTTGGACCAGAAAAGCAAAATTGCTAAAAAGAACATAATTGGTGAAAATTGAATAAAGTCTGTAGACGAGAAAATAGTGTTATGTCCACTTCAAAATTTCCTGATTTAATAACTGTGCTGTGGTTGTGTAAGTGAATATCCTTGTTCTTAGGAAATTTACAGTGAAGTATTTAGGAGTAAAGAGGCACAATGTGTGCAACACACTCTCAAATAGTTCAGAGAATAATAAAGCAAACAGGGCAGAATATTAACAATTAGCAATTCTCGGTGACGTGTATATGGAGATTTTTTTTTGAACTGTTCCAATTTTTCTCTAAGTTTGAAATTATATCAAAATAAAAGTTTTGTTTTTAAAAGAGAAATAAAAGCCATCACCTGGGCATCCCCCCAAGCCAACAGTGGAACCTGCTGGGTATTTTTCTTTGCTTTTTTTTTTTTTTTTTTTTTTTTTTTTTTTTGAGGAACTTGAGAATTACTGAGCTACAGGAAATCCCTATGATGAAAAGGCCACCTCCAGCAAGAGCCTGTCATGAAGAATTGCACCCTCCTGCCCCCAAGCCCTCAGGCCTCTGTCTCTGAGGTCACCAGTTGGCCCACTAATGTGTGATACCTCACAGAAGGGAAGAGAACATGTCAGATGTCCAACTCATCGCCATGACCCCAAACTGCTCATGACTTTGCTTTGCTGCAAAAAGATAGAGGGAAAAGTAGGGAACAATAATTTTTTAAAAAGACAGTCTCAAGAGTTGTCTGCACACGTGGCCAGGCTTGTTTTCCAGCTAGAAACCCCAGGGGTAGGACATGATGGTCCCCAGAGAGTACAGCTTGTGGGTTACAGAGTCATAACTAGGTTTAGTATCCTGGCTCTGCAACTTAATAGCTACTTAACTTTCTGAACCTGTTTCCTCATCTACCCAATGGACATAATTATGCCCACTTCATACAACTATGAAAAAAATAACATATGTATACAAACTCACGTATGATGACATTTATACAACCCAAATTGTGCTCAAAATTTTTTTTCCTTTTTCATTCCCACAAGTGACAAAAATGTGCCTGATCACGTAAGTATCTTTAGGATTGTGGACAATAGTCACACATGAAAAGTAAGTGAAAAAAAAATCCAAATCAATCAGTGGTAAATAGATACATTAACTCCAATCAAGAGGTAAACTAGCCAGAGCTGCAGGTTCAAATCAGAAGAAAGGATTGGATAATGGTCTAATTTGAAACAAGAAGGTCAGCTGTGAAGATAGCCCCATTAGTAGAGCATGAACAAGGAGTCCCTTGTTATCACTGTGACTATTAAAAAAGTGCTCAGCGTCTTTTTCAGTGAACTGACCATGGAAAGCATTCAGACCTCACAATTGTATCCCAGCCAAAACCCCTCACCAAAAGCAACCCCACCCTGCTTGAGATGGTGAAAGCTATCTGTCAGCTTTAGAATATTTCTAAGTAAAAAGGAAGATGATGAAAGAAACCAAATCATGTTATTAATAGATTTTCATATGTTTAGGAATGATCTGTGTATATTTTATACTTTAAGTTTTTGGAGAGTTTAAGAGATTTCAGGGAATGTTATCGATTTAGCCTTTGATTCAAATTTAAAATATTTACCGGAGTGATTTTAGACTTGGATTTTAAGTTGAAAGAGAAAGAATGACACAAAGTGGAATGCATTGGAGATGGAGCACATTCATTAATTGATCTATTAGATGGGGAAGGTTTTGGTAGATAGGTTAGGCAGTAAAAGTGCTTTAAAAAAATCAAAATATACTTAATTTTAAAATACAGTCTAAAATGTTCAAAAGAATTTTTATAAATTAAGATGTAAATAGGACAAATTGCTTAAGGAAATTTAGCCTGTTCACCTAGTCAATCAAACCATAATCATACTCCCTGAATTTAAACTTGAAAGGTTAAGGAAAATTAGAGTTTTACTTTTTAACTTTTCAGTTGTCTTTTTTTTTTTTTCTTTTGTGAGATGGAGTTTCGCTGTTGTTGCCCAGGCTGAAGTGCAACGGCGCAATCTCGGCTCTCGGCAACTTCTGCCTCCCGGGTTCAAGCGGTTCTCCTGCCTCAGCCTCCTAAGTAGCTGGGATTACAGACATGCACCACCACACCAGCTAATTTTGTATTTTTAGCAGATATGGGGTTTCTTCATGTTGGTCAGGCTGGTCTCAAACTTCCGACCTCAGGTGATCCGCCCTCCTTGGCCTCCCAAAGTGCTGGGATACAGGCGTCAGCCACCGCTCCTGGACTACTTTTTAACTTTTCTAAATTGAATATTAATTTTTAAATCTTGAGGTTTAAATTATATTTTGTGTTCACAAAAACATATTACACAGACACTAAACAACTCACCTTGACAGTGCCGATATTTAGGTGGATGATTACTTAGATTTCTACTGTATTTTGTTTCCGAGGAGTGCTAGGTATAGAAAATGGAATTTACTCAATTTTTAATTAAATATTTTAAAACAATTTTAACTCTCAGGAGATGGGAGAAACAAAAAAAAAATCCATGGAAGGATAATATGATGAAGATAATTAAAAATTATTTTGTGCTTAGTATGTACCCCACATGGCTCTAATGTTTTGTTGTTGTTGTGGTTTTGTTTGTTGGAGACACAGTCTTGCTCTTGTCACCCAGGCTGGAGTGCAATGGCGCGATCTAGACTCACTGCAACCTCCACCTCCCGGGTTCAAGTGATTCTCCTGCCTCAGCCTCAGAGCAGCTGGGACTACAGGCACCCGCCACCACACCCGGCTAATTTTTTGTATTTTTAGTAGAGACGGGATTTCACCGTGTTGGTCAGTCTGGTCTTTAGTAGAGATGGGGTTTCACCATGCTGGTCAGGCTGACCTCAGGTGATCCACCAGCTTTGGCCTCCCAAAGTGCTGGGATTACAGGCATGAGCCACCGCACGTGGCAGGCTCTAATGTTTTACATATATTATTTATTTAAATCTCCTGAAAACCTCATGAAATTTTAGAAGTAGAAGAACAACAAAGAAGAGAAGGTGTTGTGTGGGCTACCACAATCTAGTATAAGTTCTTATCTCAGCACTTCAGTGTTTTCTAAAGTAGTCCAATTACAATACAGTGCCCTGTGACATACCTATTCATTTATTCATTTACTTTTGCAACTAATATTAAGTTTTACCATGTGTCAAGCTACAGGGTGGCAAAGAGCCTGGTTGTAGGAGGCCAGTAAGGAGGCTAAAGTACCAATCCAAGTGGAAATGATCCTGCCTGGATTAGAGTGGTAGCAATGCAGACACTGAGAAAAAGAGAGATAGATAATTCTAATTCCAGAAATTAGAATTGAAGTGACTTGGTAGCAGTTCACTGGAAGTAAGGAATAAGGGAAAAGATAGTATCTTCTCCCAGTTCCTCTAAAAAGCGAAGCCTGAAGTCAGCTGCTAAGTTAAGCTGCTAAGAATGCATTTGGTAGGTACAAGCCCAAAGCAGTGAGCATGAGGAAAAAAGGGAAGTGGGCAAGGAAAGCTGTGGGGAAACGCAATGTGCTGCATCATCACTCTGGCTCCTGCTTCACAGCAGGATGCAAAAGAGAGATAGCGGGTCACTCAGCAGGTATGTTTGTTCAGCACATAAGACTCCTCAGAAGGCCTGCAAAGAACAAATATACCCTGAAGTAATCCACAAGAGACAGAAATGAGGGGTAACTGCCAAGTTACCGTCTATCTGCAAAGACAGTGATATGGTTTGGCTCTGTGTCCTCACCCAAATCTCATCTTGAATTGTACTCCCATAATTCCCATGTGTTGTGGGAGGGAACCAGTGGGAGATAATTTGAATCATGGGGGCGGTTTCCCCCACACTGTTCTCGTGGTGGTGAATAAGTCTCATGAGATCTAATGGTTTTATCAGGGGTTTCTGCTTTTGCATCTTCATTTTTTCTCTTGCCGCCCCCGCCATGTAAGAAGGGCCTTTCCCTCCCAAAGTGCCGAGATTGCAGCCTCTGCCCGGCCGCCACCCCGTCTGGGAAGTGAGGAGCATCTCTGCCTGGCCGCCCATCGTCTGGGACGTGAGGAGCCCCTCTGCCTGGCTACCCAGTCTGGAAAGTGAGGAGCGTCTCTGCCCGGCCGCCCATCGCCTGAGATGTGGGGAGCGCCTCTGCCCCGACGCCCCGTCTGGGATGTGAGGAGCGCCTCTGCCCGGCCGCGACCCCGTCTGGGAGGTGAGGAGCGTCTCTGCCCGGCCGCCCAGTCTGAGAAGTGAGGAGACCCTCCGCCTGGCAACCGCCCCATATGAGAAGTGAGGAGCCCCTCTGCCCGGCAGCCACCCCGTCTGGGAAGTGAGGAAGTGAGGAGCGTCTCTGCCCGGCAGCCACCCCGTCAGGGAGGGAGGTGGGGGGGGTCAGCCCCCGGCACGGCCAGCCGCCCCGTCCGGGAGGGAGGTGGTGGGGTCAGCCCCCGGCACGGCCAGCCGCCCCGTCCGGGAGGTGAGGGGCGCCTCTGCCCGGCGGCCCCTACTGGGAAGTGAGGAGCCCCTCTGCCCAGCCACCACCCCGTCTGGGAGGTGTACCCAACAGCTCATTGAGAACGGGCCATGATGACAATGGCGGTTTTGTGGAATAGAAAGGGGGGAAAGGCGGGGAAAGGATTGAGAAATCGGATGGTTGCCATGTCTGTGTAGAAAGAGGTAGACACGGGAGACTTTTCATTTTGTTCTGTACTAAGAAAAATTCTTCTGCCTTGGGATCCTGTTGATCGGTGACCCTACCCCCAACCCTGTGCTCTCTGAAACATGTGCTGTGTCCACTCAGGGTTGAATGGATTAAGGGTGGTGCAAGATGTGCTTTGTTAAACAGATGCTTGAAGGCAGCATGCTCGTTAAGAGTCATCACCAATCCCTAATCTCAAGTACCCAGGGACACAAACACTGCGGAAGGCCGCAGGGTCCTCTGCCTAGGAAAACCAGAGACCTTTGTTCACTTGTTTATCTGCTGACCCTCCCTCCACTATTGTCCTATGACCCTGCCAAATCCCCCTCTGTGAGAAACACCCAAGAATGATCAATAAAAAAAAAAAAAATAAATAAATAAATAAATAAATAAATAAAAATAAATAAATAAAAATAAAATAAAATAAAATAAAAATAAAAATAAAAATTAAAAAAAAAAAGAAAAAAGAAGGGCCTTTCGCCTCCTGCCATGATTCTGAGGCCCCCTCAGCCATGTGGAACTGTAAATCCAATTAAACCTCTTTTTCTTCCCAGTCTCAGGTATGTCTTTATCAGCAGCGTGAACACAGACTAATACAGAGAACCCTAAAGAGGGAGTAGAGCTGTAGAAGGTGGTGATGAGCATTAAATTTTGTATATGTTTTATTGTATCTCACATGTTGCCAAAAGGGAAATCTGCAGTAGGCAGTTGAATGTCGATGGAGTCTGGAGCTCAGGAGAGACAAAGCCAGGTGACAGAAAGATGGTTGTCATTATAGAGCATGTGCTAGGCTGTGCCACCCAGAACCCCCTTTTAGGGTTGAAGCACTCATTCCCCAGCTGCCAGGACTTTAGCCCGCTGATGGCTCACAGCTGAATTCCTCTGCAAGAATGACTTTTTATCAAAGGAAACTGACTTACCCGAGTTGATGTGCCTGCCCTGTGCATCCAATGGCTGGTTGATGAGGGGTTACAAAGGCCTGTCCCCTTTGCTTCAATTCAGGTCATCTCTAAAGGCCATCCCAGCCCTAGAGTTCCCTAGAATTGGATGATGCCACTGTTGTATCCACAGTAGGTCCTCACTTAAAGTGAATAGGTTCTTGGAAACTACTACTTTAAATGAAATGATGTACAATAAAACATTTTTTCCCTCACCAATGTTATAAAGAAAGAACATTGCACCAAACAACTTTATTGGAGGGCCTGCTGTACATCTTTTAAAGTCACAGTTTCCAAGAGACTCCTTCATGCCAGCCCTGGTGCAGCTTCTGAGAGCTTTCCCCAGTTCACCACCTGCATTCGAAGCTCTGTGTCGGTCTCCCAGGGAACTCGAGGGAATGAAAATTCTAGGTAGACAATTCTTTCAGGTAGCTTGCCTTTGACAATGGAGGAGGATTCCTGAAGAGGGGTATGGTTGAAGGAGGATTTTTTTTTTTTTTAATTTGGAATGATGAAGCTAGTTGAGAGGGAAGAATTAAAGATTCTAGGTAGAAAACGACCTCCAGGAGGGAATGGGATCCAAATCACAGATAGAAGGATTGCCTGTTTTAAGAGGAAAGACATTCCCTGAGATGAGAATATGGGAGAGGGAGTGGATCAGTGTGAATGTAGATAAATTTATTTTCACTGTAGGGAAGGTCTGATCAGCCACTGAGAGTAAGCAGAATGGAGGCTGGGAAGACAGAAGCTTGAAGACAGCAGGGAGTGCTAGAAATTGGCTTCGTGGACAATGGGGGGAAGAGTCGCTCCGAATAATGTATCAGAATCGCCGAGCAGTGCTGAAAGCAGGGTTGAGAATGAGGTCAACAGGAATTTATAGTGGCAATCATCATAGCACTAACCATGGTATAATTACTCACAGGCCTGCTCAGCACTGTGCCTGACAAGCAGAGGATACGCTAAATGTTGAATGACGGAATAGACCCAGTTTCAGTGAGCCCTCCAGTTAAAGGGCCACATGTTCTCTGCCATCATAGTTTCATCAACAAAAAGCCACATCACATCTGCCTTGGGTCTATTTCTCTCTGATATTTTTAGTCTAGAGAAACATTGAGGTGGTTTCCCTGCTTTTGTACAAGTTTGTCATATGTTCTCTCTGCATGCTTTGTAATGCCTGTATGCATTAAGTTGTTTTCCTAAGATCACTGGACTGGGCAGATCAGAGCTCAAGCTCGCAGGTCACCTAACTCCCATTCCACACACTGTGCTATGAGATATGCTATGTAAAACTGCCAAGTCGTTCCAGATGATTCAGCAGGCCTTCAATATTACCTGCCTGCCTGTCTTCCCTCCTTCCTCGCTGCCTCCCTCCACCTTTCCTCCCTCAGACCTCTTGGAATCTTTTCTGACCTCTCTACTAAGCTGTCCCCAGCTTCATTATGTTCAGCCCTCATTTGCACATGCTCTTGACACCTGGTGTTTGGTGGCAGAAATGGCTGATAAAATTCCACGCTGATTAATTTCATGTTTAATCTAACTGATACTTCTGTAGCCTTTGCAAATAACCTTTTTGAACAAAAACGGCAATGGCTCATTCCAAACCCGATCAAAGAGGTATGCATGACTCACAGCCACTAAATAAACATTGATGCCTGATGGCAGTAATATGGCTATTTATATTCAGAGCCTGATTTAACCAGTGGCATTCCTGTAATAAGATAATAAGCATGAGCTGTTTACTAGAAAAAAAGGAGAGTCTGTGGTGCTGGTGTTCAATAAAATCTCTTAACAGGCAAATGAGTCTCTGAAATTGGTTGGCAAATACATCCAGAATGAGATGTGCTAATTAGCTGCTGTTACTGATTTTCTAAAATAAAGAGTTTAAACTTAGATTAGTCCTGAAATTTAGTACAATAAAAAATACTGGATAAATGATATTATGTTGAGTCTTACAGATTATGTTTAAGATAAGTCCAACAATACAATTAAGAAAAAAGAACTCTGCACCTAAATCATTAGATTTTTTAAAGACTAAGAGGTTGTAAATGTGGAGAATTATAAGCATAGATATGTGAATCTCAGGTTCAATTTTTTTCTGTTCAGAGAGCATCTGTAGGTGATTCTCTTGGCCACAATGGCAGGGACATCTATTACTATCAGAACTTTTGTTTTTAAATAGGAAGAGCAAAGGAATGCAAGAATTAGCTTAATAGTATTTGGGTAGCCATTAAAAATAGATTAACCTATTCAGAACCAAGATCACAGAGGTTCTAGGTAAGCGTGTGGGAGACAATTATTCTGAACTCAGAAATAAATGATCAAGGCCATCAAGCTTGTAAGGCCTCTCCCAGCATCTTCCCCCAAATAAGAGCAGCAGGAACTTTCACCTGCTTCCTTTCTCCTGCTATCGCCCTATGCAGCAACTTCCAGCTGCTAAGCATTCATCTCAAACCTCCATTTTAGCTGCTTTCTTCACCAAACGGGAATGAACTATCTATTGGGACTTCCTACTTCAAGCAGTGAGAAAATCTTAGGAGATTTCCAAGTATTTTGTTTTTATTCATATATTACTTCTAAAGAGAAATGGATGGGTAATAAGAGGATTCAAGTTGTGTCTCGATCATAATTTTTTTTCAAAACAAGTTTGAATTCAAGGACCTGTTGTTTGAGTTTAGGTAGTTGAGATGATGTTTGTGTTCCCAGAGCAAATGGTTCTTTTAAAGGCAGCTAGATGGGCAGATGTCAGTGCTGCAGCCCCAAGGTGACTAACGCTCCTAATGTTAGCAATGAGTGAATTCATTCATTTGGTTTCTATTTATCTACAGTTAAACGATACAAGTTGATTATTTGCTTTAACTAAGATGTTCAATTCTTATCAGAGTCTTTAGTAATCAGAGTTAATTGACTATATTTGTCTTTGTTTCTATTTAACAGTAGGGGATGAGGGGATGCCCAGTTTAGGTAGCAACTTTTCCAGCTACTACTGGGACCCAGAATTGTGGGTAACACCCTCACATAGGCTAGCAAATAATTGAAATTATTAACAGAATCCTAAGTCATGAACATGTGGTCTTCCTTATATTTTTCAATGGTATTAAGGTTCTTTTGAAACCAACTCTACCTGGCTTAAGACAAAAAGGAATTTACTTGTGAAAGGATATTAGTAATCTCACAAAATGTACAGGAAGAGTTGAACAGCCACACCTCAAAAGTGTAAGAACGACAGTTCCAAAGACATGGAAACAAGGGTTTTTGGGGCTTATTCTGCTTTTGTAGTTTCACTACTTACTTCTCCTGGCTCCTTTGTTTCTCTTTTTGAGATTCCATATTCTTAGATAAGAAAATCTAATTGGTCCAGTTTGGCTCAAACAAATGACTTGAACCAATCAGCTGTGACTAGCAGAAGAGTAGGTCAGCATCACATGGCATAGATATGGCTTCTGTGGAAGTCCCCAGTGAATGGAGGCTATTGTCACTGGGCAGCAAACCCAAGGGTCCACTGTGTACCCAGTGCTGCTCCAAGTGCCAATCCACAAGACCATTTGACACTGGATCAGGAGGAGATAAGCAGCTTGCACCAGTATCTAAATCAGCTCACTGCTTACATCATTGAGAAAGTCTTACTATTAAAAAAAAATGCTGAACTAAAGAGCATGCTTAGTGGCATAGTTGATTTTGCACTCTGGCACAGCACTTCCTATCTTCTTATGGATTAGTAGCAAATAGTTTGCTGACAGGCAGCTGCCTGTGGCCCACTCTATGAGCAACAATCTCTTCTGTTCAGTGCTCATCAAGAACATGTGCTTTGAAGCCACCAGGGTTTTAATTCCTGCTATACTTAATAGCAAAATGACGTTGACCAAATACCCCTTGCTTCATTTTCCTCATCTAAGTTGGAGATAACAGTACTCCCATATTAGTCAGGACTCATTCAATTATAGGCAGCAGAAATGTAAACTACTAGGTTAAACCAGATGAAATTCTGACATTCAACCTGCAAATATGGCATTTTCATATGGTTCAATCTAATAGCTTAAGCAAAAAGGAAATTTATTGGTTTTTGAAACTTCAAAGTACATTAGTGGGGGTAGGTACCATATACATCTGAATCCAAGGCTTAAATGAATAAAGGGAAGGAGAAGCCCTCTATTTCCAGCAACCAGCATTGGATCATATGGCATACGAGGACTCTAACTGGTCCTACTTTGGTCATTCTCCCAGCCCCTGGTCTAATCACTGGCCAAAGGAACATGACATTTCATGATTGGTCAGGCTTGTGCTTGGGAGTAAGTAGGGCACTATGATGAATAGATTGACAGTCCTGTCAGATAAACCCTATCTGTCTTGGTCAGTTATATCTCTGGTCCCTAGCACATAATACTTACCAAAAAGATTAGGTAAATAAATGATTGGGAAAAGGGTATTGCACAGTTTCCTCAGTCAAAGAAGCAGCAGACAGAAACATTAGAATTCAATGATAAATGCCTACATCATATGGTTAAGATTACATAAGAAAGTGATACACATGAGACAGAGACTGGCACATAGTAGCACATTTACCTGCAAAATAGATCAGGCAAGCATTGGAGCCCATATTTTCCATGTAGAGACTGGCACGTAGCAGGTGCCCAGTTCTCTTGATGGACTGAGTCAGTTAAAAAGTGAACTCAGCCAGGTGCGGTGGCTCGTGCCTGTAATCCCAGCACTTTGGGAGGGCGAGGCAGGTGAATCACTTGAGATCAGAAATTTGACACCAGGCTGGCCAACATGGTGAAACCCTGTCTCCAATAAAAATACAAAAATTAGCCAGGCATGACGGCACACTCCTGTAATCCCAGCCAGTCAGGTGGCTGAGCCAGGAGAGTCGCTTGAACCCAGGAGGCGGAGGTTGCAGTGAGCCAAGATCATGCCACTGCACTCCAGCCTGGGAGACAGAGTGAGAGTCAGTCTCCAAAAAAAAAAAAAAAGTGAACTCATAAATAGACAGTGAGCAATCTGGATCCCATTCCTTTGGGAAATGTTCTTCATCCTATTGCAATTGTGATTTTGTCTCAAGTTTTCCTATGAACATCCAGACAGCCATATAATCAACAGGGCAAGAGAAAATGGGCATTAAATCCAACTGGAGGCATTTTAGTTAGAGACCTACATTAGGAAAATCTCTAGGATCTATAAAACAAATCCATAAAACTTAAGCAAACAGGCTAATTTTTATTATAATTCTTCCTGGTGGAAGAAAGTGAGCAGATGACTTTTAAGAGTCCTTATCCAGTGACTGGCAGCATTTGTACCTCACATTCCAGCCCACGTGAGGACAAAGGACAGGGGATGGGAGCAGGAGACACAATATCAGAATATTTGATTTGGAAGTGTCCACAGAGCTCATCTAGTCTAATCCTCTCATTTTACTAAAGAGGAAATGAGGCCTGGAGAACTGAGGTGGCTTGTCAAAGGGTCACAAAGGCAGAGTTGAATCCAGGTCTTTTCAATCCATGTCCATTCTTTGTCTTCCACACTATACCACAGGCAGTGGCAGCCCACTCTGAACCAATAGTGCCCCCATCACCCTTGTGAGGTGGGCAGGAAAGCAGGTGGGGAACAGGAATGCCTTAGTGAGGAGCTAATAAAGACCCTCATGTGGTAAAGGGTCAAGGGCAGGCATCTATGCACCCTGAAGTGTAATCCAACTTCCACGTTCAGTCACAAACCACATATTGCTGATCTACACCTTCCCACCTGCCACTTGCCCTCATAGAGCAGGATTATGGTCTGAAGACAATCCAAAACATATGCGATATTTTGAAAAAAAAAATCCTTTGTCAAGCAATTTTAACAAATAACAAGTTAGGTTGTTTTATGAACACCTTATTTTCTAAAATAAAATACAGGACATTAATCTGACAAAGGAGTTTTGAGCCTCTTCTGAATAAGAAAAAAATGAGAAAAAAACATTTAGGTGCTGAAATATTGACTTGGTGGGTTTATGAGGAGAAGAGGCAGCTTATTTGCAATTGGGATAAATCCAGGACATGTGCTCACTTAGAGGCATACTTTTTACACATATTTTGTGCCAAACTGTTAGTTATCCACCAATGTCAGCTCTCCCCTTCCTCACTGGCAGAGCTCCTATATTGCTGGGGGAAAGGGTGTGTATTAGTTCATTTTCGCACTACTATAAAGAACCACCTGAGACTGAGTAATTTATAAAGAAAAGAGGTTTGACTCACAGTTCCACATGGCTGGGGAGGCCTCAGGAAACACAATCATGGAGGAAGGTGAAGGGGAAGCAAAGCATATCTTACAAGGTGGCAGGAGACGGAGGAGGGAGACTGCCACCCACTTTAAACCATGAGATCTCATGAGAACCCCCATGATCTAATCACCTTCCACCAGGTCCCTCCTTCAACACACGGTGATTACAATTCGAGATGAGATTTGGGTGGGGACACACAGCAAAACCATATCAGGTATGTCAGTATGCCAGCTTAATTTTTTAAGTTACTCATTTCAGATGTAAGCAAAAGTCATTAAGCCTTTCTAGAAAACCCCTTCTATTCCTATTCCCCCTCTTTCTACATCTTCTATGTGCTGATCAGATGGCTGGAGCTCTAGAAATCATATCATAAACATGGGATGAGGATCCATCCTAGAGATCATGGAATGTTGGGCCGCAAAGAGCCTAGGTCCCCAAAGACCTCATAAGCCCCACCACATCGGCCCTATACTGCCCTACAGTGTCCTCTTAGGTGACAGAAAAGTAAAGCCCTGCCTTGTTTAAACCAGTTTTCAGATCAGACAAGCACAGTTCCTGACTGATGCAAACTCGTGGCATTGACTTGGAAAAGTTATAGCCCCTTCATGTCTCAGTCTCTTCCCTTTAAAATTAGGTAAGAACATTAACCAGCATTAAAGAACACATAATACAGTAGTTTTAAAATTTTGTTTATTGAAATGATTGTGGCAGAGTTCAGAGGAGGAAAGGAATCCTTTACATGGATCTCTGAATTCTGCCAAACTTGAATCAGAACAGCTCCTCTTCTTTTTGATGAGTTTCCTAGTAAGATTTCAGTTGGAGGGAAAAAAAAAACTTAAAGGCTAAAAGAATTTGAAAATCACTGGCATAGAAAAACATTTAGGACACATGGGGCATACCATTGCTCATGAGATTGTATTTTTCCAACGTTGCCAATGCATCTGGTGATGCCAGTTGGTTCCTCGGCAGGACCAATATTTCCCACCTGTAGACTAGCCTCAGGGAGCAGGATAGGGCCACTAAGCAGTGCAAAATGCCCTAATCATTGCAGGAATAAAACCAATCAACCCTGCTTCCTTCATGCTGTGCTCTAACCACCTAAAGAATAACTAATGAACCTGAGAGTGGTGTGGTGTGGCAGCTGCTCTGTGAGGTGTTAGAGACCAGAGGCATCTGAGGAGTCATGTGCATTCAGAAGGTGTGTTGTCATTCAGTGGCTCTGAGCTCATCTTGGACCTTTGTTCACTCTGCGTGCTATCTCCATTCCCAGCTGCCAAACTCCAGACTCTGCCGGGGATGGTCAAGCTTTCCTTGACTTCCTTTCTCATGCTCTCAAACATCTCTAGACAAACACAGATTGTTAAAACAGATCATTCAGCTGAAATATATTCTATTTGCATCACATCTTACCTCTTTCTTTTCCCACTCTACTCTACCACCCCAACAACATGCCTGCAAATACACCCTTCTGAATGGGTTTTGGAATGATGATGGGAGAAATAAAAGAGGAAAGATGACATTAAAAATTAAGAGAAAGTATTTACAGCATAATTAGTAAGGAGAAGATGGAAGGTCTTTGCTTCCTGTTGGATTCATTGAGGTGGAAGGGAGTGCTAGATATATCATCTCTTGGACCTCAGTACCTCTTGCCACCTTTTTTTTTTCTTTTGACACAGGATCTGGCTCTATCACCCAGGCTGGAGTGCAGTGGCACCATCTTGGCTCACTGCAACCTCTGCCTCCTGGGTTCAAGCCATCCTCCCACCTCAGCCTCCCAAGTAGCTGGGACTACAGGCACACACCACCACGCCCAGCTCATTTTTGTATTTTTTGTAGAGACAGGGTTTCACTGTGTTGCCCAGGCTGGTCTCAAACTCCTGAGCTCAAGCAATCTGTCTGCCTCAGCCTCCCGAAGTGCTGGAATTACAGGCATGAGCCACCGTGCCCGGCCAGAAGTCTTATTTGATCCAGTCAGGTGAACCAAGGCAAATGCCCTTGTTGGAAGAGCTCGTTTCTCACCCCTTATCCCCTTCCTCCAAATTAGGGTCATATAACTGAGACACTATTTCTTCTATATGATCTTTAAAATTAGGTAACGTTGGAATGATCCCTGTTCATAGGATGCAAGGCTGGTTCAATGTTCAAGAATCAATCAATGTAATCCACCATATTAATAAATTAAAAGGAAAAAAATCACATGATCATATCAGTAGACACAGAAGACACTTGACAAAATTTGACACCTATTAATGATAAAAAAAAAAAACTCTCAGAAAACTAGGAATAGTGAGGAACCTTCTCAATCTGATAAAGAACATCTACAAAAAAACCACAACTAACATTATAATTATAGAAGACTGCTTTTCCCCTAAGATCACTTATAAGGCAAGCATGTCTGCAAGAATGTCTGCTCTCACCACTGCTGTCCAACTGTGATCTAGCCGGCTCAATAAGGCAAGAAAAGGAAATAAAAGGCATACAGATAAGAAAGGAAGGACTAAAATTATCTCTGTTTGCAGACGCAGTGATAGTTTGCATAGAAAATCTCAAGGAATCTACAAAAACCTTCCTTAAACTGAGTTCAGCAAGGTCACTGACATAAGATCAACATATGAAAATCAGTTGTGACAATTAAAAAGTGATTTGTATTTCTGTATTCTAAAAGTGAATATGTGGAAACATTATAAATACAATACCATTTATAATCACTAAAAAAAAAAAATACATGAATGTAAAACGAGATAGCAATGGACTGCCTGCTATTCACAGGTCTCTCAGTTGCTAGAAGGCCCCGTTCTGAGATAAGCCACCTCTCCACCCTGACACTAGTAAAGAGGTCAGAAAACCTTGAGTAAGGTTGGAGGTATTAATTTCGGGCAATTAATTACATTCTTTCAGCATCCATCTCCCAGAAGTTTTCACTGGGAAAATCCTTTAGGAGGACATCCCCCATTAGCTATTCATTTTTCTTTTGCACTGACTGGAGAACGAAGCGACTGTCAGCTGTGTCACACAACTCGTCGAAATTCACCCCTGGGTGAAGTGATCCTCAAATAATTACCAAATGTAGTTCAGGTAACTGAATTAGTGAATTACATTGGCTCCTTTGAGATGAAAGACTCTTTAGGAATGTGAAATACTTTGGCTCTTTGTTATTAATAACCTGAACAATGAAAGAGCCCAAAGTAGTATTCAATATGCTCCAGGAATGGAATGACTAAAATTAAAGAATGCAATTGATTTTCATTTTCCATACTTTTCATTTTCTATCCTTTTCATTTCAGTAGTCAGGACTGAATATGACAAGTCATCAAATCCCCTCTGATGTTAATAAGGCATCAACTACAGAGCTCCAAGAAGAGAAAAATCCAGTCGAAGTGTGGCAAGTTGTTGGTTCTCCTGCTCTCTATGATTTATTATCTTTTCTTCTTACCATCTCATTATGATACCTACAGGTAAAAACCTCCTACCTTGATCTGCTTCATTTTCTTCAACCTTAGTCTAATAATTCGACATTAAACATCTCAACTACCTTTGCATCCTTCAGACAAACAATCACGCCCATGAGTTGTGCTTAGCAGAGCAATGTAGGATGCCCTCGGCTTGGTGCTCCGCTGCAGGTCATCAATGCAGGGTGTGAGGATGACAGAGCCCAAAGGCAAATCCCAGGCAGACAGACCTGACCTTAAAGCAGGAGGAACGGGAAGTGGCAGGGAGGGGTTAAGGTTGACAAATCAAATCCTAGTCTACCTGAGGTTGGTAGAAAGGCTGAAGATGTTTGTGGGGATGTTAGGCCCTAATCATATTAGATATGGGGGCTGCATTTGTTGAATCAGATTTGCAGTTCCTCACCTTTAGTTTTCATTTGTAAAGTGTTGAGGGTTTTCTATTTCTCTTTCTTGGTTTCAAAATACCTTTTAAAAGGTAATGTATTCATTTTGGAACTGGAATAGGTAATACATTCACATAGTTCATAATTCAAAAGGTATACAATTATATAGAGTGAAACCTCCCTCCTACCCACAGGCACCAGCCACCCTGTTTCCCCTCTGAGGGCATCAGTGTCACTGACTGACTACTTTTTCTTGCAGAAATATCCAAGTGAATTTGTATAAGACACCACCCATGATCTTCTGTTTACACAAATAGTAACTCACTATTCTCTTCTGTACCTTGCTTTTTTTACTTAATGTATTTTGGAGATGATGCCACATCATTTCACTATAAAAAGAACTCTTCAATCTTTTCCCTCAATCTTTTTTTTTATGACTAGTAATTCATTACATTAGACAAATGGGATCATTTGTCTAACTACTCTTCCATTGATGATCATTTACATTACTTCCAATTTTTTGGTACTACAAACAATGCTGCAATGATTAACCTTATTCATAAATGATTTCCATGCATAAGAGTGTGTCTGTAATTTAATATAATTGCTATTAAGCATTATGAATATTTAAGTATTATAAGTAATCTCTAGAAATAAAATTGTTGAATCAATGAGTATGTATATTTGTAATTTCAATAAATATTGCCAAATTGCCCACCTATATCACCTGATATAATGTCCTTTGCTCATTTTTCTATTGGTTTCTTCATCTTTTCCTTACTAACTAGGATTCATTGTGTACCAGTGAGTTGCAAATATGTTTCTCAACTTGTCCATTGACTTTTGACTTGCTATTGTCATTTTTGCATGCAGATATTTTTTAAAGCACAGCTGAATTTTTCAGTCTTTATTTTATGACTCCTGTAATTTGTGTCATGTTTTAAAAGGTTTTTTAAGCTATAAATTACAACAAAAAATCTTTTATGATTTCTTTCATATTTTATGGTTTCACATGTTTGTAAAATCTCTGACCCACCCATCTGAGATTTATTTGGCAAGGTGTGAGGTATAGCTCTAACTTTTAACATTTATTTACTGTTATAGCTGACTACCCTGTTGTCCAGACGCCATTAATAAAAACTCCAGTTTTCCCCCACTGATTTGAAATGAGGTGTTTTTTTTTTTATCATATGCTAAATCCCTGTATGTATTTGGGTCTACTTCTTGATTTCCTATTCCATTTCATTGCTCTATTCATGTGCCAGCGGAACCCAGATTTAATTTTTTAAAACTTAACTACAATTAATTGCACTTTAATTTTTAAAACTTTATGTATCTCCCCAAAGTGACTTTTTCTTGGGGTCAGAGATTGAATGGAAATGAAGTTTTCTGTCTGTGTCTCGTGACTTTGTTTACTTCCCCTTGCATAGCTCACCGCCAAATTTTTCTTAATCTTCCAGGAAAATAAGTGTAGCCTGTACTATCGGAGTGGTAGGGTCAAATAAACAAAATAAGTGTGGGCTTATAAGGAGATGACCATAAGAATACTGTATTTCCCTTTTCCAGATCCCATTGCATGACAGACTCACAAGGGACATGCTTATTCATTTCTAAGACCACAACTTTAAAATCAAGTTATGTTTAATAAACATTAATAAATGTTTACTTAAAAGGTTTAATAAACATTTACTACATGGCAAATTATTTTAGCTAGAATGCTTTTGGCTTCAAGTCATAGAAACCAGATTCAAATACCCTTAAACAATTTTTAAAAATTCATTGATGGGGATAACTGTAATCCCCAAGGGGAAGAGGGTTGGGTAGACAGGTTCAGTGGCCAGCCCAGTTATTACAGATTCAGACTCTTACCATCTTTCTGCTCTGCCACCCTCAGTCATTGGCTCCATTCTCAGGCTGCGCATGGCAAGATGGCTTTGGACATAACAACACCCTGAGGAAGAAGAGAAAGTGTCAGGTCTGTTTTGTATTACTATAAAGGAATGCCTGAGGCTGGGTAATTTATAAATAAAAAAGGTTTTTTTGGCTCCTGATTATGAGGGCCTAAGGCTGCTTCCACTCATGGCAAAAGCCAAAGGGGACCTGGCTTGTGCAGAGATCACACAGCAAGAGAGGAAGCAAGTGAGGGGGCAGGAGGTGCCAGGCTCTGTTTTTTTTTTTTTTTTTTTTTTTTTTGAGACAGAGTTTTGCTCTGTCGCCCAGGCTAGAGTGCAGTGGCGCGATCTCGGCTCACTGCAAGCTCCGCCTCCTGGGTTCACACCATTCTCCTGCCTCAGCCTCCCGAGTAGCTGGGGCTACAGGTGCCTGCCACCGCGCCCGGCTAATTTCTTGTATTCTTAGTAGAGATGGGGTTTCACTGTGTTAGCCAGGATGGTCTCGATCTCCTGACCTCGTGATCCACCCGCCTCAGCCTCCCAAAGTGCTGGGATTACAGGCGTGAGCCACCGCGCCTGGCCAGTGCCAGGCTCTTTTTAACCATGAGCAACCCTGGGATCTAATCGAGTGAGAACTCACCCCACCCCCGACCTACCGCTACCCCAGGAGGGCATTAATCTATTTATGAGGTATCTGCTCCCATGACCCACACACCTCCCATTAGGCCCCTCACCTTCCGACACTGTCACTCTGGGGATTACATTTCAGCATGAGATTTGGTGGGGACAAGTATCCAAACTATAGTAAAAAGCATTTTTTCATTTCTTAGGAGCAAGAAAACATTTCTCAGAAGTCTCCCATGTCTTGTGGGCCAGAATTGGGTGACATGCCCATTCTTGAATCAATCACTGGCAAGGAAATATGATTGCTCTTAGATCAATCAGATCCACCCTTGGGCTGGGGAAGGGTAAGTTTCCCCTAAGCACATGGCTGCTTGGAAGCGAGTGGATATTGCTGAAAACCTGGATTCCAGTAGTAATGGAGGGGGCTGATGGATGCTGATAATGAGTCTGCCCAGTTTCCCTCTCTCATTCCTCCTCCTGGCTGGTTTCTTTTGTTAGACATCCAAGTGTGCCCCTTAATATGTATTGAGTATCTGAATGTATTCACTGCAAATTCACTTATTTAATAAATGTTTATTGAACTCCTACCATCTGCCCAATACTGTGCAAGGAGCTGAGGACTAGAAGAAGGAAAAATGGGGATCCTGATTTCAATGAGGTAATAGGAGAAGCAGAAAATTAAGGAATTCCATAGTACAGTGATGAGTGTTACATACTTATAAGAGTGCTATGGGGATCTAAAGAACGAGCAACTTCCTGAAGGAGGGTAGAACAAATGGGGAATATTCTAGGTGAGCTTTGACAGATGAGTAGGTAAACAAGGGGGAAGGACATCCCAGGCAGGGGAAATAGCTTGTACAAGGGACCAAGAGGGCATTGGCATGGCATGCTCAGGTTACTGTAAGTTTCTCGTATGTCAAGCTATAGGATTAACATGGGGTAAGGTGCTGTTTTACTCAGGGCATGATGGTACCAGGGTCAGGGGCTTCCAGCCTGGCTAAGAACCTCAGTTTGTACTGGTTAAGAGACATCATCAGTGGATGCCATCCCTGAGAGGTTCTGACAGCAGTTAGAGTTAATTGTAGCATTTAGTCACAAACACCAGATTTGTCACAAACACCAGTCAATTTTCTGTGGTCACAGACCACATTTCAGAGACCCTGAAATCTTCCTTTCATCTCACAATTGAGCTTCTTGCGAAAGTAATCTACACTTAAAATCTTCTTCGTCTCCATTTAATCCTCTACCACTTATGTTGATAACATAGTGGTTGTTCCTGCTACGGTCACCTGTGGCCTCAATAATTGCAAGACACAAAACAAAACAAACCACCACCAACAGGGAAAATGACTCTTCTACTCTTCTACATTCTACCTTCTGATGACACTCAACTATTTAAAATTCACTAAGGATATTAACAGCTTTGGAGACCCCAGATACAGAGAACAGTATGGTGTTACTCTTCCACTTCAGTAAAATTAAAACAATCCTAAATCATAAGTTTTCCTATAAGAACTTCAATTTTATTTTAATATCAAATTCTTTTAAAAAAAATACCTCTCTCTCCCCACTTCCTCCATGAGTGCCTCTGCTTTGTTGCTTGTTTAAGTCATGTATGATCCACCAACTGAGTAACCCAGCAATGAACACATTGGTGCCTTGTTTATTGTGGGTTGAATGGTATCTCCCTAAAAGATATGTCTTCCCAGAACCTCAGAATGTGACCTTATTTGGAACAAGGGTCTTTATAGATGTAATTAAGGTAAGGATTTCTAGATGAGCTCATCCTGGATTAGGATGGGCCCTAACTGCAATGATAAGCGTTCCTCATAAGAAACAGAAAAGGGCTGGGCACAGCGGCTCACGCCTGTAATCCTGGCACTTTGTGGGGCCGAGGCGGGTGGATCACGAGGTCAGGAGATGGAGACCATCCTGGCTAACACAGTGAAACCCTGTCTCTACTAAAAATACAAAAAATTAGCCGGGCGCGGTGGCGGGCGCCTGTAGCCTGTAGTCCCAGCTACTCGGGAGGCTGAGGCAGGAGAATGGCGCGAACCTGGGAGGCGGAGCTTGCACCCGGGAGGCGGAGCTTGCAGTGAGCTGAGATCAGGCCACTGCACTCCAGCCTGGGCGACAGAGTGAGACTCCATCTCAAAAAAAAAAAAAAGAAAAAAAGAAACAGAAAAGGAAAATACAGAGACATGTGAAGAAAGGCTATGTGAAGAGGGAACGAGAGATTGAAGAATGTGTCTATAAGGCAAGGAACATTAGGATTGCTGAGAGCCACCAGAAAGCTAGGAGACAGGCATAGAACAGTTTCTCTTCACAACCTCAGAGAGAATCAACCCTCCTGACACCTTAAGTTTGGATTCTTGTCTCCAGAACTGTGAGAGAACATATTTCTATCGTCTTAAGCCACCACATTTATGGTAACTTATTACAGCAGTCCTGGGAAACTAATACAGTCAACCCTCAGTATCTGTGGGAGCTTACTTCCAGGACCCCCACAAATACCAAAATCTATGGATGCTCAAGTCCCTGATATAAAATGCCATAGTATTTGCATATAATCTATGCACATCCTCCTGTACACTTTAAATCATCTCCAGATTGCATACAATACCTGGTACAATGTAAATGCAATGTAAATAGTTGTTATTCTGTATTGTTTAGGGAATAATGACAAGAAAAAAGTCTGCACATGTTCACTACAGACACAACCATTACAGGCCTAACTACAGTTTCAATCCTAGGCTGGCTAAATCTGTGGATGCAGAACCTGTAGATAGAAAGGCTGACTGCACATTGTTCTCTAACATTTTGAATTAAAAACAGAACTTTTGCTTGTAAGAAAAACAAATTCAGTCTACTTGTCGCAGGAAGAGAGGGATTTATTTTAAAGAATGGTAATCTCACAGGACACAAAGATAAGGAGCAAGGGGAGTTGTTGCCATCAAGGGGAGCTGACTCTCCAAGTCTGCCCCCTTCCCCTCTCTCATCCTCTCTTCTGGTTGCTTCTTTTGCTTTTACACACTCTCTGGGAATACGTGGCTCATCAAGTGGCTTCAGTCCCAAGTCTCCATAAACTTGAAGCTCACTCACCACCTGTAACTAACTTCATCTGTCAGCATGTCAATTACAAATTTTAAGGCAAGAAACTGGATTGGCTTGAATTACCAAGGGCTGAACCTCTGATCAGCCACTGCAGGCCCATCCCTGGCCAGTTATAGCATAGGAGAGGTGGAGTCCTTCAGTTCAGAGAAATGCCCCTTCCATGGGCCACAGGAGGATCCCCCAGCCAAGGCCACAGGAGGGCAGGCAAAGCTTGGTCTCTCGGATGTCATCTGGTCATTTGTCTGCCTCCCTCTCTAGATTGTAAACCACCTGAGGGCAAGAAATTCATGTTGTGTTGTCCATCATAGTCTCCAACGAGTACAGGTCTTGGTGCCTGAGACATAGGAGATACTCAAGATAAGTTTGTTTAATAACAAGTAGTTGAGTCTTATAGAATTTTATCTACTAAACAGACCAAAAAAAAAAAAAACGGTAAATGTTTATAGTGCTTGCTCTATTCTTTCTTGACAAAATGGTAATTTTAAAGCTGGCTTCTTCCCATTAGTTCGCTCTTATAAACAGCAAAGAGGTTATCTCTATGTATTTGATAAAATGGCACTCACAGATCCACACAACTCCCCTTGGTCCATGCTGAGTGTGTCTAAGGTAAGCTCCTCCCTGACCCACACTCTCTCTGTTGATGTCTAAACTCCATAATCTTATGGCTTCCACTAAGATTCTCCTTGACAGAGAGCTCAGGCAAAGATGTCATTGGGCCATCTTTTGCCTCTAGGTATGGGTTTTCTTTCCTTCCCTTTAAAAAAAAAAATGGATTTTTTCCCCAGAGAAGATCTTATGACAAAAGCAATCTGATGGGAAAATCCAGTGGAAGCTTCTTCGGGAGCCTGCTTAGCTTTTCCAGAACATTTTCCTTTGCTTTAGCTATAGCTGGTTTATTGAAGCTCTTTCCTAGTAGTCTCTCACTTGTGTCTAACCTTGCCCAGTACACAGGACTGTGCCAAGACCTGTTGGAGATCAGAAATTTAAAAGGACTAGGTGGATACATAATCTATGCCATCAAACAGCTCACAGAGTGTGGGGAATCCTGCTGGGCCACTACTCAGAGTGGGCCCAGCGATCATCAGCACCTCACCAGTGTGAGATTTGCAAACTAAAAGGGTTATAGCTCAAGAAACTACACTTCTCAGTCTGATGGGGAAAAGATGCTCATTATAGTATCAGAAGGACAGACTTAGCCATGGGCAGGGGAGGAGAGAAACAAGAAGATTCCTAAACCCATTCTCTTTCTTCCAAGTCAGACATGCCCCTTGGTTCATCTGAAGGCTGTAATCCCCCCAAAGATGTCATTAAAGCAGCCCCAAGGGAGAAAAATTAGGAAGGGAGCAAGTATAGAGGCTACATTATACTCTGCAAAGCATGGACATAATAATTTCTCCAATGGTGAATTAGAATGATAATGTCTGTCTCCAAACTACAGCTATTTCCAAATTTAAATATTAATCACCTCTTCTCTCCCTTGTAGGCACAGCAAGGGAGGCTGGGTGCTGCCAAAGGGTTGTGAAATGGTAGACCCTCAGGCAAAGGTGAAACATTATTGCAACCCACACTCACACCTGCATAGTCTCACACACACAGAGCACATACACACTTATTGCTTGCACTTGTCCAGAGAGACAAATGGCCCAATTGCCAGCAACCGGTGCCTCAGTCCAGCTCCCTGCTGGCTGCATTTCCAGACAGCCAAAGCCCCTGCCCAGTATTAGCCATGTGCTCACTTCCTCCGGCATTCCCATCCCCAGCTCACGAAGGTGGCTAAGACAGTCTGGGGTCGCCTGCGTAGGGATGAGGGATGAAGGCCACGGTTCCCATTAGGTACTCAATAGCTGTCAATTAGTAGACAAATACGTGAATGAATGGGACCATTGGGCGGTTTGACTATCATTAGGGCAGAGTCCACACACTCTGTCTTAGGGCCTTCGTTGCCCACAGAAAAGGCCTCAGACAGGCAACCCAGATGAAACACAGAATCTCTCCTCACTGGGAAATTACCCTCCCACACCCACCTACCCCTTTCCCTGTCATCCCTCAACCTGGTGAAAGCTCCAGCCAGCCCAGACAGTGTCACACCCACTCCAGCTCCCTTCCTAGTCATTTATTCACTCATTCAACAAACATTTACAGGCAGCTACTGTGTGTCAGCCACTGTGCCAGCCCTGGAAATACAGGAATGCCACACAGCCTGCTTGTCGGGCCCTGCTGGGGAGAGGGTAGAAGCTGTCCCCATCCTTTCATGCCAGGTGTGCTCCACACAAGACCATCTCTTCAGAGAACCATGGTACCTGTATTTCGTCCTTCTGAACCCTCACCCTGGTGCAGAAGCAGTGGCTCAGAAAATCTGTCCTTTCACTTGCATTGTAGGATTTTTCTTTTTCAAAGCAGCAGCAGTCGCAAGCAGCCTTACCTTCCAAGAAGACTTTGACTCAGGCTACTATTCACATGTATTTGCATTTCCTTTGTACACATGGTTGGGAAGCTGATGGGGAAGAGTTTTGCCAGGGGATGAAAATGCTTTCTGGGCCAGTCCTCAAAGTACTATCGCAATTGCCAATGTGAAATCAAGAAGCAACTTGTTTAGCTCATATCTAGGTAAAATCTGGGGTTACTCCCACCCTGGTTCTTGTTGTCGACAGCCTCACAGCTCCTTGTCTGGCCTGTGTATCTGTTCAAGTCACGTGGGGGTAAGCTGTATTTTGTCCTGGTCTTCCATGCACTGGAAATTTTCTTTCTCCTCTAATTCTTCAGGTTTTGGTCATTTTTAGAGAGCTCTACGGGCACCCTCTGGTGGCTGGCTGAAAATTTGACCTGCAAAAATTGCAGTTTCGTAGGAATAGCTTTATTTTGTAGTCAGCCTCTTTGGTTGGATGTTGGAAATTGTAAGTTTATTTGCTGTAGTTGGTACCACACCTTTCATCACATGATAGATTGAGACTGAACAGTCACTTTGACCTTTCAGGAGGAATGGTACCTTCTAGAAAGGACAGAACTGAGAAACAGAGTGTCTCAGTGGGTTGCAGTTTTTCCAGGTCAGGCTGAGTGAACAGGCTCAGGGCTGCCCTTCTCTGGGCTCTCAAAGGACTCATTTCTGAAGGAAAACCCACTGCATGCCTGGACCAGGCCAGGCTCCCTGGATAGTTGCTGAGGTAGAACTATGCCAATAGCCCCCCATTTTTTTTTTGGTTAAAAAAAATGACCTAAGTTAGGCCAAATAAAAATCTAAGGGAGGGCAGTGAGGTAAAGAGGAATGGAAGCATCTGGGGAGAAGGGTAAATTTTGCAGGCCTAACACATGACCTTCCTTCTAGATTCCTGCTCTAACACTGGCCCAAGGGGCAACCATTCCTGAGAATCTTCCTGGTCTCTAAAGAAGCACTGGGACAGGTTAGGGGATAGCAAGGGAGAGAGGAAGGAAGAGAGGCCCCAGGAAGGAGAACTATCCACCTGAGGATGAAGCCACCCCTTGCTCTTTCCATGGCCCCCAGGCCCTAAAACCACAGGTTCTGATGAGCATGATTGCTCTGTCAACACAGTGAACACTACCACCTGCTTTTCCCTAACTCCCTCTTTAAGGATTTAGTCTCAGGAGACTCCCCGAAGTCTGTTGATGTTGCCTTCATTTTGCAAAAAGAGGACTAAGGGGGTTAAGCACTAGAGACTTCACCCAGCCTGCCAGTGCCAGGGCCAGGATCGGAGTTCTCTGTCCTGCCCACAGTTCTCTGAAAGATCTCCCTGCAGCTGCTGCGGCTCAGCCACACCCCACTCCTGCACTTTGTCTATCAGAGCAAGCCAAGCTCCAACAGGCAAATCACGATGAGGCCTTTGTAGGACAAGGTCTTAAGGAAGGGTACCCTTGAGGCACGGGGGAGTAGCAATGTCCCAAGTGGGTTCCAGAAGCTGAAAAGACAACCAGGTTGGCTCAGATTTCAGACTCTGTGGTTTATGCCTTAGGTGTATCATTTAGTTGGAAAAAAAGAGGCACTGTCTACCAGGAGCAGCCTTCTTTATTGATACCATTTTTCTTGTGCTTGCTTTCACAGCCAGGCCCCAGGGCAGAAGGGAAGCCCCATTTCCCGTGGGCCATCAGTCACCCAACAATGGCAGTGTGCTGCCAGGCTGGGTCTGAGAGCGCCACTGGGGAGACAATGTCTTTGGTAGGCAGCCTAGAAGCTAAGGTGTGATTGGGGCAGAGCGCAAAACGGACACCAATGTGATCACACCTGTGGGAATGGACCAAACTTCACTACCCACAGTGTCATCAACCAAGAGACAGGGCAGTTCTGAGATGTGTTGAATATGAACTGGGCAGAGCTCTGTCACAAGCATATGAGTTTCCCCCTCTTGTCTCCGCTTCCAGCAGAAGGAAAATGTTATTGCCTGATTATTATATGCCACACAATCACACCAAGATGTACAAGGCCTTGTGCTAATCACAGCTAACAGAGTGCTTGCTAAATATCGGTGCCATTCTAAACCCTTTACATAGATTGACTCACTAATCTTTGTGATGACCAAAATGAAGGAAGTATGCTATTATTCCCATGAAAGAGGACAATGAGACAGAGAAACTAAATAACTTGCCCTACATCATGCACACAGTAAGTGGTGGAGCCAGGATTCAAACCCTGGCCATCTGGCTCCAGAGCCTGTGCTCTTAGACACTTCATCCTGCTGTTTCTCTAGGTATGTAGTATAAGCTCATGTATCCTTAAAAGCTGCACCTAATATGCACTATTATTATCACCATTTTACTGATAAGAAAACTAAGTCATAGAGGAATTAAACAAAATTATACAGCTGGCAAGAGGCAGAGCCAGAATTTGAATCCACGCAGCTGGACCCCTGAATCCCAGCTGTAATCATGGTACTCTCTATCACCTCCCTTTAACAGGGCAGTTTTCGAAAGCTCTCTCACTAGATTTGACAAAATTCCTACTGGACATTGGGGACACTACTCTGGCTTTGTGACTGGCCCCAGAGCCCAGCGAGCAGCCTGCCTGCTCTCCTAGAAGCAGATTGAAGGGGCTTCTCCCTCTCTGCCACTGTTCCCCTGTTCCATGGATCCCTTCAGGTGCTAGTGGATTCATTGCCACCAGCCTCTGACAAGCAAGGCAACAGCAGTCTTGATTCTGCCCAGGTCACCTAGGTTTGTCTATCTGGAGCTTCTAGCCCCAGGAAAGAGTCCCTTTTCCTTAGCTAGATTACTCCAATTTCCTTAGAAGTATAAGTATTTGTTTTATGGGCCATAAAGGCAGAGGGTGATCTTCCACTGTGTATCAGGCCCCCAGACCCCCCAACAGACTGACTGCTCAGGAAATTGGGGAGTTCATGGCCCACGGCTGGCATTCACAGGGCATTATCCCATCTGAGAGCTTACTTCTTTAAGTAATGGCTTTGGTAAATTTTTCTCCTTTCTGCCTTATTGATCACGTACCCGGAGTCCTTGTAAAATAGGCTCTGGCCTTTGTCTTAGAAATTTTTTGTTCTTGCTCTATTGGGCAGTTGGGCAGTTGAACTTTATCAACTGGGTTCAACTCCATGAGACCAGCTTCAAAGTGCCTGGTGCTTATTCCATGTCTTCCATTCATCCCTCCAGATCGCCCCTTCACATTTCTCCAACCTGGCATGTCCCAGGGGGCTGGCCTATAAGGACAACATCAACAGCTTCCTTGTCCGCTGGCTTTGGTTGGGTTCATCCAATGGAGGTCACTAGTAGTAAATAAGTAGGCAGGAGGAGAGAGGGGCCAGGCTGTTTGTCCTCCTGGCTTCCTTCTCGCCACAGTATAGGTTATCTGTGTCCCTTTACTGAGGCCACAACTCCTGTATTCCAGCATCCATTGGTAGGCAACAAACTACCTCCAGTACTTAACAGTTTAAAACAACAATGATCACTTATTTTACGGATGAACCTACTCTTTGGGCAGGGTTTGGTGGAGTGACTCATCTCTGCTCCATGTGGCAGCTTGATTGGAGCTGGAGAATCCACATCTGAGATGGCTTATGCACATGGCTAGCCAGTTGATGATGACTGCAACCAGCATCAACTGGGAGCTCTGTCAAGGCTGTCAGCAGAGGCCTTCAGTTCTCCTCCAGGTAGGCTTCTCCTTGAGGCTCAAAAGGTTTCCTCTCAGCAAGGTGGTTGTATCCAAGAGCAAGTGGTCTTCTAAGAAGAAAGAAAATGGAAGCTTCCAAGAAAGGAAATGGAAGCTGCCAATCTCTGAAGGCCTGGGCCTACAAACTAGAACATCATGTCTGTCACATTCTGTTGATCAAAGTAGTCACGAGGCCCCTCTGATTCAAGGCAGGAGAACACAGACCTCAATCTCAAAGGAATATCAAAGAACTTCAAACTATCTTTAATCCACTGTGCCTTGTAAGTAGCCTCGCCTGCAGCTAACCTCTGCAGATTCTAGTAATTGCTGTCCCTCCTTGCTCCATCCAGCCTGGGGCATGGCAGAACCATGCTAGTGCTAGTCCAAAGTACTATACTGTCCTTGGTGTGATTTCTCTAAGCCCGATCACACGGTTATAGCAGTCTCTTTATTAAACTCCCCTCAAAATATCCAACTTAAGCATACTCGGATATTTGCCAGGGCCCTGGCAACATTTCTATACCAAGTTCCTGCTTACCACCACAGGAATACTCCACGAGACCACCCTTCTCAAAATCTCTCCTTCCAACTCCCATCTGCTGTCAAACTCCCACACCCCAATACCCATTCAACTTCACCTGTCACTTTCCTTCTGGCCTTTGGAATGCCTCTACTCAGCACAACTGGTTAATTTATCAAAATAATTCATGCTACCATGCTCATGGTAATGACTTCACACATGGAAGTAAGAATAGCCGAGCCAGATACATCTCCCACAACATGTCATTGAGGCATCCTGGTAAATGGGGTGGGAACTGGGTAAAAGCAGCACTTTACCCAGGAAAATGTTTTATTATAGAGTTTTTCAAGAATCAAAACCTTAACCCAAAGAGAAATTCCTAAACACAATAATTTCCAACCCTCCAAGCAGGCTAATAAGAGAGTAGTTGGGGTCAAGCTGGGCTTTCTGATCCCCTCAAATCATACAGATCTTTTTGCTCTCAGCCTCTCCGAGATTTTTGCCTTGACCTGAGATCCCCATGCAGAGATTGAAGTTCTATTTTTCTTACTTTGGCTAGTCCCTGATGACCCTCATGCTTTCAATGGGGGAACTGTGACTGATAAATCCCGAGCCAGAGCCAAAGGGCATATTGACTGCCCCAACGCCTCCTTTCATCCAAAGACTAATGCATTCCCAGCAAGTGAAGAGGAACAAAGCTTGCATTTCTGACACTGCCAAAGATAGCATTCTCTGGATTCTTATCTGGAATGCTGATAATTGTGGTATCTGTCACATACTTAATCAGCAGAGTCAGGAAAGGCAGCACTCAACTACTTCCGAAGCACTTTTTCAATTTCTCACACTTCCAGAACTTCTTTTCATTCATTAATTAATCAATTAAAAAATACTTATTTGAATACCCACTATAGGTGGCAGGCAGTGTATGAGGTACTGGGAATCAATGATGAGTAAAAGCAGACATGGATTGGAAGATATAGACAGTAATCAAGAATCACACAAATAAAAGTGAAATTAAAACTTACAATATGAGCTACCTGGTAGTATGAATGGTGTATATCAAAGAGAATTGTCGTAATAAAGAAGGTCAGGGATAGGTGGCTGGCTGTCACCCTTAAGTCCCACTGATGTTCCTGCCCTCTACCAAGCTCATCCCTACCCTGGGATAACCATGAAGCATTGAAATACAAGTGTGAGTCCCTGTGTTTGTAGACCTAAGCAGCTCATTGCTAAGGAATCCTACCTGGAGCAGCCCTATCAGCTCCCTAGTCCAACCCACCCACCATACAGGACATCAGGAGCTATGGGACACCATCCCCATTAATGGGAGAGGTCTGGAGTGAGTCTGGAGGCCTCTTGTAAAGCAGCATGAACCTTGTTTCCAAGTGGCATGGTCAGGTCTGCTGCAACACACACCTGCCCAAGGACTCTCCACCAGCTCATGTGCTGCTTCCCAGGGGGACACAGGAGCCATCCATGCTGGGGCAGTTCCCACCCCATTTACCAGGATGCCTCAACGACATGTTGCGGGAGATGTATCTGGCTTGGCTGTTCTTACTTCCAGGTTTTTAGAGAGCTGGTCTTTACACCTTCCCTTAGTCCTTGTGTTACAGGATTCTATCAGGCCTTCTCTACCCATGTCCCTGGCACTATCCTGATATTTATTCTTAGTTGTTTCTCCTAAATGCTGGTTTTGCCACTTATCAGCTATGTGCACTTGGGCAATATATTAAAACAACCTCTGTTTCTTCATCTACAAAAAAATGGGATAATAATTTCCACCTTCTAAGAATAAATAACAGCCACCTTAGTACAGTGCCAGGAGCCCAGAAACTGCTCCACGAAGGTCAGTTTTCTTTTTATTACTACAAATCTATGGCGCAAAACCTCCAAGTCCATACTCAGTCATCCACCCCAAGATGAAAGCAAAAGTGCAGATAATGTAACAACATGCTCCGTTTGCTGAAATAGAACATTCCAGACTGCAGCCTGAACCATCTGGAGGCAGAGAAGCCAGACCCACAGAGAGCACCAAGGATAGGGGCTGAGCTACACTTTCACATGCAGTAAACGTTTGAGGAGTGGGAGAGGGGCTTTTCCAGGTCTAAGGGAGTCTTTCAGTCCAGAGTGTGGATATTAGAAAGGTTCCACATAAAGAGATGGCCTACTGCCCTAAAATACTGCACTGACCTGGCTCGCCCCCAGCCTTATTCTGTGAGGCCAGAGGAGGAAGCAGTAACTGACAGGAACTCTATACTCTTCTGGAAAGAACAAGCTCTTCTATGAAAGCTTCAGATGTCACCAGCAATTCCAACAAATGAATCCTGATGACCCTTCTAAGCTGAGTTGTGAATTTAACAGACTCCCTCTGCCTGGATTGGAATGAGGCAGTGAGACAAACCTACATGGAGGTTCAGCACAGCCGTACAAGCCTCTAGAGTGTCTGCATAAATGCATGCAATTCTGCACGCCCAGAGGACAAGGCTGCTTCTCCTTGGGTGACCTTGCTGGCAGCAGTGGCTTTGTTAGTGTGTGGACTTTCATCATATTCAAAAGATTCTACATTTAAGAGGAGGTAAGCTGGAGAAAAAAGAATTAGGAAAGGTCTATTGGGGTAGCATATGCCTTCAACCGAATTGTCACCCCAGGGCCTTTTTCTCATATACAAGCTTTTCCAAAAGCAAGGGTTTATCACAATAATAGCAATAATGATCACTCTTTACTGAAAGCTGACCATGCACCTGGACGCTACTGAGCACTTTACATGAGTTGTTTAGTTCAATCCTCACAACCGCTCCATGAGTTAAGTACTATTACCTCCATTTTACAAATGAGGAAACTGAGGCACAGAGACAACAAGTCACCAGCCCTAGGTCACGATAGTTAATAAGTGGTAAAGCTGCAGTTCTCAGTTTGTGAAGAGTAGGGAAGAAAAGCACAGCATCTTAGAATTAGAGTCCCTTCAGGATAAGGGCTTTTAAGTTACAGACTCTGAGGAACAGAAAGGATCTTGAAGGTAACCCAGTCATTCACTTCGGGCTTCTCTCTCTCCTCTTCACCAGGAGCTGGAAGAAGGCATCCCTGGGCCCTCAGTGAAACATCACCTCTTCCCCACGAGTATTTGGCACACACTGTAAACTATGCCAGAGAGAATTAGGGAACTTCTCTTATCCCACTTCTTATTTAAGATCAGAGCCAGGACTGCCTTCATGAGCATGGGAACTGTGAGCCACACAGAGACCCTTGTTCTGTTGTTGTCTTGAAATTCTTAATTTCTTTAAAATAAGGAGCCCTGCATTTTCATTTTGCAGTGAGCCCCACAAATTAGACAGGTGGTCCTGGATTCGATCTTTAGGGCTAGGGCAGGGGGAGGCAGCCAAAAAACTCAACAGCCAGTGTCTTTGCCTTGTAGACTCTTCTAAGTAGTGCATTGCCCACTTAGAACACCACACATGATGGAGTCCCTAAGAGCACTGACAAGCCCCTTTTTCAACAAAGGCAGATGAAACAGTTATTTGAAATTTGTCAGTATAGAAGTTCACTGGTAAATGTGTCTTTTCAAAAAATTAACCGTATAGCACCTGGTACCAACTACTAAAACTGGCCACTACACATCCCAGGTTTTACTCCTGTTCATAAAAATCACAAAGAGACTGCTACCCTTTTCTTATCATTGCTGAGCTCAGGAATGTTAAGTGCACGATCATTCCAATTATCACATTTTACTCCAATTTCCACAGCAATACAGGGGATCATAAGGAAGAAAAGGAGCACTGTTTGCTGTCCAATTACGTGGAGCATGTAGGAACAGGATTGCACGTCCTGATAGCAAAAACACTTGTGTTTATCATACCCTATGCTTCAGGGCATGCTTTAGTTTACGGTGTTTAAGGATCCAAATGCCTGAATAAAGAGCCACCAGCCTTGATATAAGCATTTGCTTTTGCCTAAAGACAGGAGGGAAAATTCTCAAGTAGAGAATCTGTGTTGGTGGAGAAGTAGGCTGCTCCAAATCTTAATTTCATGGCACTTATATAGGTGATAGCAGCCCTAGTAGATGTAAAAGACTAAACTACATAAAAATTAAGCAGCGTTACCAAAGTTTAAGAAAGGAGCAAATTTTTGGCATGTGGGTCTATTACACACCCACATTTTACCTCCTTGTTCCAAAGACTAGAGATTTTCCCCCTCTGGGTTTGGTGCTGGAATAGCTGAACCAAGTCATGTTCATTCCAAGGCATCTTCACTCATTCATTCAGAAGGTCAGGTCAAAACGTGTGGTTACCTTGAATAGGCTAATAGTTTAGAATCTCTTACACCAATATTCTTTTAGTATTTGTTCAACATTTGTTTAGCAGGGGTGAGAAAAGCTGATTTTATAGTATAAAAGATGAATTACGTATTTGTTTATAACTCACATGTCAGCTATCCTCTCATCCTGTAAGTATTTTCAAAGCAAAACTCCACTTGTGTAAGTGAGCAATGTAATTTACTGACACATTTGAAATGGTGATATAGAAAGGTATTTATATTGAACAACAGACAGTATTTTACTTGAAAAATACCTCCTAGATTTGTCTCTCCTATCAAATGGCTCTTCTTGGCCTTGCAGCTACCAAACATTTCCTGTCTCTATGTTTCTCTCTCTCCTCTTTCTTTTCACTTCCCACCCACTGTCCGCCCCACTGCTGTAGTTACTACCCATTTGAATGTTTTCCATCAACTACTGATGAATATTTATTTTCTTTAATTATTTGTGAAGTCCTATTACTGAAGATGAAGGTTTTGATTCGGCACCTATACATTAGCTAACGTGTTTCAGAATGCTCATAGCAATACTTCTCATAAAAGCATAAAACTGGACACAAACCAAAGGCCCATCGACAGGATAAATTATGGTGCATTCACTCTGCAGAGAATTATACAATAGTGAAAATGAATGACTTCAGTCAAAGGCAACAATGTGGATGAATCAGAGGTGATATGATGCTGAAAGGCAAAAGTAAGTCTTGGAAGACCATATACAGCATAATACTCTATGAATAAAGAACAAACACTACAAAAACTGAGCTTTATGAAGGCATATATAGAGAGCAGTGATAAACCTTTTACACAGGAAAGGAATAATAAAGACAAACTTCAGGTTAATGGTTGCAGAATGTGAAGGAGACAGCAGTAAAGAATGGGAGAAGAACACACAGGTCAAATTATTATTGTCAGTGTTCTCATCTTTGGGTTGTGAGAGGGTTCCGAGGTATTGATTATGTAATAATACATCAAATAAAAGAGGGCCATATTTGAGCCAGTGATAAATCAGAGAGTATAGTTAACCCAATTCTGGGCATCTAAGAAGTATTTTTTAAAAGGTTCTTTTTGTGCTTCATAAAACTTCTAATAAGAAGAATTCATTCTTCTTTGAAGGCAGAAGGTGGTTAGAAATAACAATTTGTTGTTGTTGTTTTGTGTTTTGTTGTTGTTGTTGTTTGTTTGTTTGTTTGTTTTGAGATAGGGTCTCAATCTGTCCCCCAGGCTGGAGTGCATTGGCACGATCTCAGCTCACTGCAAATTCCACCTCCTGGGTTCAAGCAATCCGCCCACCTCAGCCTCCTGAGTAGCTGGGATTACAGGGGCTCGCCACTACACCCTGCTACTTTTTGTATCTGTTGTAGAGAGGAGGTCTTGCCATGTTGCCCAGGCTGGTCTTGAACTCCTGAGCTCAAGCAATCTGCTCTTTTTGGCCTCCCAAAGTGCTGGAATTATAAGCATGAGCTACCACACCCAGCCACAAATCTTTATTTTCTATCAAATGTTCAAATTCTATATGATAAATATTAAAGTTACCAAATGAAAACATCTACTGACATTTTGCCAGTGACATGAGTTATCTGTAAAAAACCTAAGTTAACTGGCACTATATTCTTAATTTAGGTTAGCCTCCTGGGCAACTAATCCCCCTCCACTGAACCAGACTGCGTTTCTTTATTCACACATTCCTTCCTTTATTTACTCAATTGGCAGACATTTACAGATTATCTATGTACCTGGACTTGTGTTAGGTTCTAAGGCTATAAAGATGATTAAGAAAGAAGCTCTAGGCCGGGCATGGTGGCTCACGCCTGTAATCCCAGCACATTGGGAGGCTGAGGTGGGTGGATCAGGAGTTCGAGACCAGCCTGGCCAATATGGTGAAACCCCGTCTCTACTAAAAATACAAAAATTAGCCAGGCGTGGTGGCAGGTGCCTGTAGTGCCAGCTACTCAGGAGGCTGAGGCAAGAGAATCGCTTGAACCTGGGAGATGGAGGTTGCAGTGAGCCGAGATCACGCCACTGCACGCCAGCCTGGGCAACGGAGCAAGACTTCATCTCAAAAAAGAAGAAGAAAAAAAGAAAGAAAGAAAGAACCTCTATCCTCAGGAGTTGATGGTACAGCTGGAGAAACACACATGGAAACCGAAAGTGGTAGTTTGGCAAACTTGAGAGCTATGAACAAAGAGCTATGGGAGCCCAGAAGAAGGCTAGCAGAAGAGAGGGAAGGAGGGAGAACCTTGGTTGAATACCGCATATGATGCAGATCTGCTAGAAGTTCTACATGTCTTAACAGGGGTTTGACCCTCACAACAACCCTATGAAGGAGGTACCATTGTCTCTGTTTTCCTGATGGGGAAACTGAAGTTTAACTATGAAGTGGCTGACACTGATGAGATGGGGGCATTTCATGGAAGTCTTAACAGATGCCGACTTTCTCAGGTGCAGTGGTGGGATGGGCAGACCAGGCAGATGAAACAGGTATGGAGGTGTAGAACCACAAAGGAGTTTGTTAACATCAAAGGAAAAACATACAAAGAAGTTCTAGACATTTACAGATGTATAACCACTGAAGCCTATTTTCAAGACATCCTTGCTCCCCAGAACTCAAAAGTCTTTTCCAAAGATGAACTCCCCAATATCCCATGTGTAGGACACTAACATATGCTCTAGGTAGAAAAGAAGGCACCTCCAGGGAAAAAAAAATGTGTTTAAGATAAACCTGCTCCTTTGCCCTCACCTTTTTATTATTTATATTCACTCACTCATCTTCTTATCTTTGAGAGTCTTCCACGTATTAGTGGAATTAGTGGGTCTTTGGTGAAACCAGCGAGGATGACTGGGAAGCAGAGGAAAAGTGGCAGACTCTTGGTGAGCACGAGGCCTCATGGTGAGCACAGACCAGCAACCCCAGGGTAAAGACGGGCCTACAGATCCTGTACCATCCTCCTCTCTGCCGTCTTTTCCATACCTACTCTCAACCCACACAGATACAGTCATCAAGACAACCTGCCTCCCCAAAGTCTCATATGCCCCCAGAAAAGCCTGACTCTGACACCGTCTCTCAGTGTAACTGAGAAGGGAGGTTCCTCATCCCATAGTCACCCAGACCTCCTCCATCACAGACTCAAGACCCCAGGGCAAACTTTGAAGTTGTTCAAAGTTAGGATGAAGGATCTTCTCAGATAGGTCACCTTTATCTAGAATCTTCAGTGGAAGGGCCTCTTGGGATAGAAGACCATGGGTTCTGGAAACAGAATAAGCAGAGTTAGACCCTGCTGGCACTCTATGGGCACCAGGGAATAAAACCCCCAAATGCTTGTAGGAGAAAGGGAGAGAAGAGAATCATGTGTAAGAAGCTAAGGAAAACTTCCTGCTAACAGACACATGGCGGTAAACAGCAGACACTGTTAGCTAATACCCCCCTCCTCCTTTCTCTTCCAGAACTCTCCTGAAAGATCTCCTGGGTTGTGCAGAATGTGGATAGTGATAGTTTCTTGCTCCAATTTACTCCTCGCACAATCTCTTCTCCTATCTGTAGGCAAGGCTAATTCTTGAGTGGCTTTGATTGAAAACCAACTGTGATGATTTTAAAAAACCACAAATCAGGCCTGACAAGGATTGCACATTAAGAAAATATTTGAATATCTTCCAATGAGACCCACAAAGCCTCTCCATCGTGTCATTTGTACTTAATGGGTGCTGCCCCAGACTTCAAATATTTCAATATGCCTTTCAAGTCAGTTTCCTGTCTGCCTACTCCCCGTGTTGAACCACCCCTGTTGATATGGTTTGACTGTGTCCCCACTCAAATCTCATCTTAAGGTGTGGCTTTCATAATTCCCATGTGTTGTGGGAGGGACCCAGTGGGAAATAACTGAATCATGGGGCAGCTTCCCCCATACTGTTCTCATAGTGATTAAGTCTCATGAAATCTGATGGTTTTATAAAGGGCTCCCGCTTTCACTTGGCTCTCATTCTCTCTCTTACCTGCTGCCATGTAAGACGTGCCTTTCGCCTTCTGCTGTGATTGTGAGGCTTCCCCAGCCATATGGAACTGTGAGTCCATTAAACCCCCTTTTCTTTATAATTTCCCCAGTCTCAGGTATGTCTTTATCACCAGTGTGAAAACAGACTAACACACCTGTTACCATACATACATTGTTACCACCATGGCTGATTCCCCAAACAGTACCCACTCTCTCCATCCTCATGTTCTAGTTGAAGGTACAGGAACATATAAACAGGGATTACAGCAAAACAGTAACAGTAACACAAGCCTATATGATGAAGCATGAATGTCCAAAGAGTATTGCAGATAGAAAGTGCTTAAGAAAAAAGGAGGGAGGGAGGAAAGGAGGGGGGCAAGGGCTGGAAAACTTTCTGTCAGGTACTATGTTCACTATCCGGGTGACAGGATCCATAGAAGCCCAAACCTCAGCACCACACGATATACTCTTATAACACACCTGCACATGTATCCCCTGAATCTAAAATAAAAATGGAAATTTTTTAAAAAAGAGAGATAGCACTGGAGGAATCTAGAGGGGACAGAGAACTTCAATCAGAGGCAAGCAGACCAGGAGCAGCATTAGAGGTAGAGGTGAGTAGCTAGAATTGTGAGGCACAAGGCAGGTCTGCCCAGGGGAAAGTGAATTTCTCTGTCCAAACTATCCGAAAGAGAAAGCCTCAAGGCAGCAGTGTGCTGGTAAATGTTTAACAACCGGCTCTGATTTGTAGACTTTGACAATTTCCATCATATAAATACTCCCTCCATGGCCAGTTTCAACCTACCAACATGATATCAGTGCACAAAACTGGCTCTCCTGAATAGGTACAAATTGGCTCAAGCAGATCATGGGGACAAAACTATCTGCCTGAGACCTATTACATAGGTTTAGCCCAGTTTCATTAACCCCCAAACAGTACTTCTTGGGATGGAGATGGGCTGACAGAGAATAAATCAGCTGTATCAACACCCGATGTGCTGATTCCCTAAGCAGAGTAGTAGGAAAGTTGGCCAATTTTTCTGTATGACAATTCCCTGAATATTGTTTGCAGTTCTCTAGCCCACCTCTAGTCTTCATATTGCCTTCTGTGAAGGAAAAGGCAGCCTAGCAACCTCCGCTGAGTCTTCTGGGCTAAAGAGACTGCATCAGCCCGGCCTATGCTGCTGACACCCTTGCTGATCCTCCTCATAGCACCTCCCCTGTTTCTCAAGTTAACCACTTAGCACTGTGAATAGACAGTTGGTATATGACCATCTGTGCTTCCAGGCAAGTCTTTAGATTTCTATTCACAGTGCTACATGGTGATATTGAGCCTACGGCCTGGAAGCCTATACTAACAGAACACCTAGAAGCAAAAATACCTTGAGACTCCCTGAATGCAAATAAAGCTTCCTTTGTGCTGCACTGATAAACTGGAAACACCAGAGAAGCAACAATTAGGGCTCCTGCACAGACCTCTCATAGAAAGTTTGGCTTTCCCTGGTGGCCCTTCAAACATTACCCCACTTCTTTTGTAGCCACTGTATGGAAAGGACACTACTATATATGTCAGGCCGTAGCAACATATCAGGACCTACATCAGCTGCCAGAGCAAGTGGGTGGTGGGAAGTGATTGAGTAGGGGTGGAAGAGGGCGGTGGGGCAGTGTCTAGACTACAAGTCCTGTTTAAGGGGTTTTTCTTCCATCCTATGTGTCTTAGGGGCAGTGCAACTTCAGGTGTAGAGGAATAAAAGCAAGCATTTTCCATGTTTCCCCACACCCTCTCTTCCAGGTGGAGATCTGCATACATTTCTCAGAGAACAAGATAAGCCAAAAATAAGAAGTAAAGAGCCAAAAATATGCCCTGAAAAAATAATGTAAATAAATGTAGGGGTTTTTTTTTTCCTTTTTCATCCAGATCCTGCTCTCAATTATTTTTTAATACCTTAGTTATGGACAGTTGGAATGAAACATTCTAGGTAGCTGTTCTGAGACACAGTAAATAAGCCCATTTATTATTTCTTGGAGTGGTCTGAACTATGCAATCATTCTTTCTCTTGGCCCCTACCCTTTGCTTTCCAAGTGAATTGAGTTGAATTCATTATGAGACATTTTATTGTATCATGCTCCTCCTTGCTAAATACCTGACTGATTTCATTGTTTTCTCAGGCCATGAACCTAAAAACCTAACTGGCAGAAGGAAGTGTGTTCTTTTCCAGTGCACATCCATCCCACAGGAGGGGTTTCCGAGTGTATGCTACTGTTCCAAATGCCTGGCTATTGATCCTGATATTGCACAATTTTTCAATAAAGATCTTAATCACACAGACATAAATTGGCAGACATACTGCGAGAGAGATGCAGATGGCTTCTCTGACTAGAAATGCCTGCAGGCAATCGCATACCACGTCAGGGAGCTTATCATTCCTTAAATATTTATGTTTGTTTCCTCCATTATGAAATTACCACATCCCTCTCAAGAATCCTACCAAATATGTCTACTGTCCGAGGGGATTTCTTTTTCTTTTACTGTGGCTTTCCAGATAGTAAGTACATAACTTTAAAACTCACTGAAGGTCTGGGGACTCTCTGGTTGCAGGAGAGGGGTGTGAATGCACCGATTTTTCTAACATTTCTCTTTTTCCTAACTGCACAGAGACGTCACTCCACATATGCTCATTCTTCCAGGAAGCACAGCTCAGAACAGTAGTGAACCTAAAGTCTAGCAAATCTTGGACTCATCATTTATAACTCTTTTCCTTCTGTTACTTGCCATGAAATCTTAAGATTATACAATCAGATACATTTTTGTGAAGTGACCTTTTTAATATACTTAGCTCCACTTTTGCTATCAGCAAAACGGGGACAAACAAATCTGCCGCCACCTCAATGAAGAAAGAATGAATAGCTTGGCTCCCCTGGGGAAGGTGGCATTCTACAGAGCACAAGATAAGTCCTGGCAGAGATGGAAGAAAGGGTCCTTCTCACTCCCAGGTAATTTACAACCATGGACCCCAAGATGGGCCAACATCTGTCACAAAAGCCCAGAGATAGCTCCATTTACTTATGTTCCAGCATAAGACCTCATCTTCCTTTTCTTATCTCCCAAGCTGCTTAGCACATTTTTATGTCCAATAACATTTAGTTAGTGGTTGACTAACTAAATGAAAGATGAACAGTCAGCTTGATTAGTGTCTTATCATTGTCTAACATATGTACAAAATTTAGTCTTTCAAAAACTAAAATGAAAAGATTGATAGCTCTTGCTTTGAATTATGAAATATCCAAAGAACTCACTGAAAAGTGTCTTAACTCATTTTGTTATCACATCTCAGTTTTGTCCCATTCAGCAACTTTCTAGGATACAAATTGAAGAGGCTAGAGTCTTATGAATATCCCCTGAAGCCAAATAGATTATTTCATCCCATATTTTACTTTTCGGAATTTTTTTGGCAGTCTTCTATTTGACACATGTCAAAACATCACTAGTATGTGTTAATATAATTTGTTAATTTGTAGAGAGGATGCTGTGAATTCTAGGCTGAATTCAATGGTCAGAGAATGTCTCACCTGGATAAAGATCAATCAGGGTGTCTTTCAGTGTGTGCCCTAGCATATCTCTACCTGGCTTCTCTGCAATGTTACTTGCATAGTTAACTTAAATTGTATAACTATGACTAGTGTATATACTATAACTACATATAGCATAAATTATGTCATTCTGCCTATAAAATTTTCATCAACTAAATGAACTGTTAGATTTAGAGGAAAGAGATCAGAGCTAATTAGTTTCTTATTTATTTTTGTTATACACAAATAAGTCCTTAATAAGTATCTCTCAGTGATAACCAAGACAGTGGTGGCAAAGATATAAGCACCTGGTGGAGCCGAAAACCCTGAGCATCATTGTGTCAGATTTCCTGTCCTGCCACTTTCAGGCTGAAAATTACTCTTTGATCATTTTGCTAATGCTTAAAATATATCCTTGATTCTTTGTTTAGAAATTTTTTTGCAGGTACATAGTAAGTGTATATATTTATGGGGTACATAAATATTTTGATACAGGCATACAATGCATAATCATCACACTAGGATAAATATGGTATCCATCACCTCAAGCATTTATCCTTTCTTTGTGTTATGATCCATTTGTACTCTTAGTTATTTTTAAATGTACAATAAAGTGTTGACTATATTTACCCCATTGTGCTGTCAAATACTAGATCTTAATTCTATCTAACCATACTTTTATACCCATTAACCAGTCCCACTCTCCCTACCTCATCCCAGCCTCCAGTAACCATCATTCTACCATCTCGATGAGTTCAATCGTTTTAATTTTGATCCCACAAATAAATGAGAACATGCAAAGTTTGTATTGCCGTGCCTGGGTTATTTCACCTAACATAATGACCTCCAGTTCTATCCATGTTGTTGCAAATGACAAGATCTCATTCCTTTTTATGGCTGAATAGTACTCCATTATATATGTGTACCACCTTTACTTTATCCATTCTTCTGTCGATGGACACTTAGGATGTTTCCAAATCTTGGCCATTGTGAATAGTATTGCAATAAATATGAAAGTACAGACATTTTTTCAATATACTGATTTCCTTTCTTTTGGGTATATACCTAGCAGTAGGACTGCCGGATTATATGATTGTTCTATTTTCAGATTTTGGGGAACCTCTAAACTGTTTTGCATGGTGGTTGTACTAATTTACATTCCCACCAAGATTATATGAAGGTTCCCTTTTCTCCACATCCTTGCCAGCATTTGTTATTGCCCATCCTTTGGATGAAAGTCATAACTGGGGTGAGATGATATCTCATTGTAGTTTTGATTTGTATTTATCTGATGATCAGTGATGTTGAGCACCTTTTCACGTACCAGTTGGCCATTTGTATGTCTTTTGGGAAATGTCTATTCAGATCATTTGCCCACTTTTTAGTCAGATTAGATTTTTTTTCTGTTGAGTTGTTTGAGCTCCTTACATATTATGATGATTAATCCCTTGTCTGATAAAAAGTTTGCAAATATGTTTCCCCATTATGTGGGTTGTCTCTTCACTTTGTTGATTGTTTCCTTTGCTGTGTGGAAGCTTTTTAACTTGCAATCCCATTTTTCCAGTTTTGCTTGGTTGCCTGTGCTTATGGGGTATTATTCAATAAATCTTTGCCTAGTCCAGTGTCCTGCAGTGTTTCCCCAATGTTTCCCCAATGATTCATAGTTTGGTGCCTTAGATTTAAGTCTTCAGTTCATTTTGATTTGATTTCTGTATATGACAGATATAGAAGTCTAGCTGCATTCTTCTGCATATGGATATCCAGTTTTCCCAGCACCGTTGATGGAAGAGACTGTCCTTTCCCCAATGTATGTTCTTGGCATGTTTGTCAAAAATGAGTTCAGTGTAGATATATGGATTTATTTCTGGGTTCTCTATTCAGTTCCAATGGTTTATGTGTCTGTTTTTATGACAGTACCACACTGTTTTGGTTACTATAGCTCTGTAGTATAATTTGAAGTCAGATAACAGGATTCCTCCAGTTTTGTTCTTTTTGCTCAGGATAGCTTTGGCTATTCTGGGTCTTCTGTGGTTTCATAAAAATTTTAGATTTTGTTTTCTATTTCTGTGAAGAATGTCATTGATATTTTGATAGGGACTGCATTGGATCTGTTGTCCTTGATTCTTTACAGCCAAAATATTTTATTAACATAAGTTTGAAAACATAAGTTTTCTTAAATAACTCTATAATTAATTCTGAATCTTTTCAATGTTAAAAAGAAGGTTACCCACTAAAGAAATCACACAAACTATTTGTCACACAAAACTATTTTGGGTTCTCTTCTCTAAGAATTTTGGAGACATCTCCTCAGCAAAGTAAAGTTTCTTAATGACCGGAGAGCAACCTGGCCAGGACACCAACTGCATTCTTGCCCACAACTTTAATGGGATACCCTGAACTCTATTAACTGTTATCAAATCACTGTTCTCAAAATGGAGAGGTCTCACCACTGAAAGTCTAAGATTAAAGCAAAGCATCCCTCCATTTCTCAAAGTCTGTAACCACTACTCTGGTATTATCCTACCCACTCATGCTTTTCTTTGGTCCTTAAGATTTTTTAAAAACTTCTCTATTTCTAGAAACCTTTGAACTAGATGGAATCAGTTTATTTGAATATCCTTATTGGGTAGGGGCACAAACTGCACAAATATTAAATTAACATCTGATAGAATCTCTCATGACTTTGTCCAAATCTAGTCATAGTTCTGGGGACTATGACCACAGCAAATCTCAGGCTTTCTCAAGGTCCCAGATCCTCAAAGACTTCTGCTGGGCTGGACTAGCCAATACCAACAAGAAGGACAGTGATAATAGTAATGGTAGAAGTAGCAGTAACAGTCATAACAGCTATTAACAGAAATCAGGGCACAAAACGAGTAGCCCTACGATGAGGAGCCATAATTCCAAACTTCACAGACAACAGTGGGGCTGATGCTGATATTTATAACCCAATTAGTCCACAGTCCAGCTTAACTTCAGTAAATGTATCTTCTGTGCAATACGTATTTTTAAACATTGACATTCTCCCTCACTTTTTTATACCTTTGGGCTTTCAACTGACAGTAAACATTTCAAAATACTACATAGTGCTACAGCAACCCATCAATGGTTTACTTTCAGCACCATTACCATCTTTGTCTGTACAACATTAATTTGAGTAGTTTATTGCATTATAATCCTATTGTTTAAGAAGAAAATGAAAACAAAGGGCAGGTGCCAGTGATGCAAAACACAGATTTCATAAACTTATTCTAATTGAGTTCAAGACAGAAATCATCATAGGTATCAAAAAATAAACTCACAAACTTCACTAACAGACTCCTGAGCACTTGGGAAAAATTGGTGCATTCTAGCCAGAGTGTCACACTTGTCCAAGGCTGCTGGTTCAGACCTGGTAAACCACAGCCAATCACACTCAAGACAATCAGACTCTCCATCTCAGCCAGGCATGGTGGCTCACACCTGTAATCCCAGCACTTTGGGAGGCTAAGACAGGCAAATCCCGATATCAGGAGTTCGAGACCAGCCTGACCAACATGGTGAAACCCTGTCTCTATTAATAATATAAAAATTAGCCAGGTGTGGTGGCACGCACCCGTAGTCCCAGCTACTCAGGAGCCTGAGGCAGGAGAATTGCTTGAACCCAGGAGGCGGAGGTTGCAGTGAGCTGAGATCGCACCACTGCACTCCAGCCTGGATGACAGAGTGAGACTCCATCTCAAAAAAAAAAAGATTCTCCATCTCACCCACATGAAGCCTTTCTGAAGCCTCAACCCCAGAAGCTAGAGGTTACGGCCAAGGGCTTCTAAGAAAGAAAAATCTTGGCGCTTGTCTGGCTAGGTAAATAGCCAGACAAGGGCCAAGATTTTTTTTGAGCCAACATTTTCTGGATTGTTCCCATTTACAATCCAAGTTAACCATGGGCTGGCCATGCCTCCCCTTGGTGCTCTGCAGACACATGCTTTTTGCACTCTTTGGAAGCAAGCCCATGATAAATAAACCATAACACAATAAATTAAATTTCTATCATGGCATCCATCTCCTAGTATGAAAAGAAGCTCCTGATCTTATTCTTTCAAGGTTTATATTTCAAGGCAAAATTTTGGCATAATTTAGAAAGTTTTCTTTTCTATTGAGTCAGTTTGCTATTTTTGAAATATTGTACAAATAACTCACATACACTGCATGGGGGGGGGGTAAATCATCTATCTTTTAATGAAAAGCATAAGTTATCTTTAAAAGGAGTCATTTATTTCTTAACATCCCCAAGGCAAAAACCTCCTAAGATGAAGTTAGGACTCTTCCTGTCTCTGCCTTATTTGACACCATATCTATAAATCAATTTCTCTAAATCCAGTGATTTTCAACATATTATTTTGGAAGTTTGTTCTCTTCACGTCCTAAAGAAGAAAGGCATTTGGAAATGTGTATTCACTCCTTCAAGTATTCATTCACTGAACATTCATTAAGTGAGCAGGATTTCTAGAGCACTGTGCTAGGTATCAGCACAAAACAATAGGGATGAATAAAAAGATAAGAAAGGACCCCTTCACATCATGAGTTTAGAAGCTTATAGCACATGAACCAAGCACTGAATACCAGGAGCAACTAGAAGAAGCCAGTATGGCTCCTGAGTCTGGTTGCATACAGAGGTTGCTTGAGAAACTGATTAAAAACAAGATTCTTAGGTTCCACCTACAAGACCCAGATCTAGTGAATCAGAGAGGCCTAGAAGAATCTGAAAATTTTATTTCTATACTGGCCCAGGTAATTCTGAGATTCAGCTCGGTATGGGAATCACTGAGTCTTAAATAACATTCTAGAAGCTAAAAAATCCCACACAGCCCCTACCATGACCACCAAAAGCATTTTCATTCATGCTCATGATCCAGATCAAGGTCATTGAGATCCTCATTTGTGAAGCCGCAAAACTAGACTACAAAAAAAAAAAAAAAAAAAAAAAAGGTCTGACTTGCCCAAAGAGAACTCCAGGAAGAGATGTATCTTTGACTACAAAGCCAACGGTTTCTAGCTGTCATTGTGCCACTGGAAAGTAAAAAACCTATTTTAGCAGTATGCAAGACTATCTACACAGAATCACAGCTCCTCGGAGCCAGTAGAACTTCATACGTAGATCAGAGTTCACAAACTCAAATGGTGACAGGTCTCAGCCAGTAACAAAAATGACTGAAGCAGGCTGAAGGGAAGGGGGGTAAAGGGAAAGGATATGCCCCAACAAAGAGGGCACCTGCTACTCCACTCTGGCAGTCACTTACAATGAAATAATGTGGGCCCAACATGCTAGGAATTCCAAATTTTTAAGAGAAAACAGAAATCAGATTTGAAAAACTATTGATGCAAGTAAAACAGACTTTTCAGACAGATTTGTCCTGTGGACCACCAGTTTGTAATTCCTGATGTAGACCAAAGTCTTCATTTGACAAGTGAAAAAATAACCTTGTCCTATTCCTTGTGTCTTTCCGATTTGGCCTGCCGCAGTAAGGAAGGAGACTTGATGAATTAAGTTTTGCTTTTTATCTTGGCTTTGAATTTTTCAATGTTATTTATTGGTCTTGAGGTTCAAATGTGAGTTTGCTAAAAGTCACACACAGTAGATACTATGCTGCACTGCCCAGATTCCTGTTACCCCAACCGGCAGGCCTCAGCTCTAAGCCCTCTCCTGAAATTGCATCTAGCTGCTTCACTCTAGGGTGGGTCCCCTTCCTGGGGCATCTGGCACGCAATGACTAGAGGGTGCTCCTGTCTAAAGGCCAGCCCCCTTGCCCTAACTCAGTATGATTCTGCAGGGCCTTCCCAGCTTCAGAGCTCCCTCTGGAGCCAGCTGAAGTCTTGTAGCTGCATCACAGCAAGGCTTCTCTCCATGCCCAATCCTGCTTCCTTTACAAGCATAGATCCCTCCCCAATATACTTCCTGCACATATTTGGTCTTTGAATCCTGCTTCTGAGGGAACCTGGCCTGCAACATGGTGCACATGAGTATCTCATTGAAAATAACCTCATCTGTGAAAGCCCAGATTTGCAAAGTCAAACAATTTTTTGTTTTCACAAAAATTACTTCTGTTGTTTCTTTCACTATTGTTTCACTGGTGTTTGAAAAATGATACAATAGCAGATGCCTCCTATTTCACATCTCTTACTCACCTCTGCTTTTAGCCACTGTGTTGAGCAGTTCCAGGAGCCCAGATCTCCTGGCACCACAATGTCCCTCCCACCTTAGCTGTGAGCCAAGTTTCTTTCTGCCCTCAGATGTGAGGCCTTTTCTGATGCTGCAAGGGCCCACTGGGCCTTTGAAAACAGAGCCTGGAAAGTTGAGGGTGTTCACGCCAATGAAGGCTGTGACCCAGTAGATTAGTATTCCAGCCTCCTGTCCTTTAGCCAAGTCCCCATGGCAAGGAACTCCCTTTACCCACTCCCAGTGCCTTATATACACCCTGACATTGACTTCCCTTTTCGATGTCTCCATCCATCTCTTTGCTTCCTCACTTCTCTTCCTGGTATCACATCCCAAATCAACCACGCCAAGTTCCTGTCTATGAGGCTCTGCTTAAGGTGGGACCAAAACTAAGACACATGTGTCCTCAATTTTTAATAACTCAAAACAAGACAGAAAAGTATAAAAAATAAAGTAAAAGTCTGCTTTTCAAACATCCCCCTCCAGTCATCTTTCTATGCATTAATGCCCACTTAAACGTAACTTTAAATAAATGGGATCAACCGAGATACTCTGTTCAGTAAACCTGCAGGTTCCCTCAAACACTGGTCTTACTGGCTACACTTAAAATTCAAATTAACTTCTACAAATTGTTTCATCCATTCATTTAACAAACGTTTATTTCAGGTCCTCTATGTGTAAGGCACAGTGCTAAGTACTGTAGATGTTATAAAGACATGTCCCATGCCCTTAGGATATTCATATTCATTTTCCAATTCAAGTTTCAGGAGCATACTGATAAACAAATTAAAGCACACCTATTTTCAAAACCACATTAGGACTCTTTGAAATCTAATGCCATAGATTTTAATTAAACATTTTTTACCCAGGTAGCATGTACCGGTGAATGGATTCCTGGGTTCAAATCTTGGCTCTGCGACTAAGCAGAAGTGTGATGTTAAGCCTCATTTTTCTTGTTTGTAAAATAAGAGTAACAATTATGATTGTAAATAGTTGTTATGAGGCTAAAATGCCAACCAATGTAAAGAACTCGGCATAGCATCTGACACAGAGTAAGCACTGAATACATTTCAGCTATAATAATAGTTACCATTTTCATCTAACATTAACTTCAGGTCCACTATCTGCATGGATCCAGGCACCATGGGAACTGGGCAGACAAATTGGAACTCAAAATACAGACACTGTCCAGTGAGGTTTCTCTCAGCACAGTTTTAACAGCTTGAAGCCCTGTTCCAGCAACTGAGGACCCAAGGCACAAAGAAAGCATCATGTTCACCTGGTCACTCACCATAACTACAGGGAGATTGGGCTCATTAGCAATCTGGTGCCATGGCCAGCTGAAGCACACGTGGTGATTTTGCCACAAGTAGAGTTAACTCCAGGCTCCTATCTTGAATACAGCATTTACTAGTCCTGCTGGTAAAACAGCAGGGAAAACACAAACAAGAAAGATGCAGAAGGGATGTAAATACCAGATTTGCTTATCTGTCTGAGCAAATATCCTGCTGGCAAGGAGATTCGCGTTATGATTCAACTTCTCAAGAAGTTATCAAGTCAGGCAGTTGCTCCCCAAGACACACTGTCCCTTCAATATGAGTGGCATGTTCAGAAGGATTTGCTGTCTTCTACCTTTTGTAGTCCTCATAGCATTCTGTATAGCCCTATTCCTCCTAGATGCTCAATAAATACTTGTTCACAGACTCATTGAATGCTTATAGAGCTCTTTGAATATTGTCCTAGCAAGGAAAGAGCATAAGAAGTGTAGAGAACTTTTTAGGCAGTGCACCACTTTTGAAATCTGACTTTCTGAAGTCTTTCTGCTTATGCTTTGTAAAATGGTTTAAAGAGAGAGAGAGAAAGAGAATGCTGATAAAAATGAAATCAGCCTCATGATGCAGTCATGTGTGTCTGGATGGGAGGGGAACAACGGTGGCTGCAAGAGAAAAATGCCTGCTACTCCATGCACAAAACATTACAAAAAGAAGGAAGGAAGGAAGGGAGAGAGGGAGGGAGGGAAGGAGGGGAGGGGAGAAAGGAAAGAAAAAGGAAAGGAGAGGAGGAAGGAAAGGAAGAAGGAAAGAGAAGGGAAGGGAAAAGAAAAGAAAGAAAATCTCCATTGGAAAACATCCTAAGGTGGTGACAAGAACAGGTGGGAGATGATATTGTTTTATAGCCAAGGACAGCAAGCCACTGCCTGAAGATATATTTTGTTTGAACTCTTCACTTGTAAGACTGCTAGATAGATTTTGTCTGAACTCTTCATTTGCAAGACAACAAAAGATACTGTGCTACAATTAAATTAGAAACACTGGAAACACCAAATCCAAATTCTACAAGGTAACAATTGGCTGCAGCTTCCTCGTCCTTAGCAGCTGACTCACTTTCCACTTCCCCCTAGTCCCCACCTCTCTCTACCTACCACTGAAGTCATGTGTCCATCACCATTTACCGCTATTATCATTTTTCTTACAAAGTTAGGAGGAACATCAAAACTTTGGACTCATGGCTCTGTCAAAAATGCACAAATGAAAGAGACTAAAAGGATTGTATGTTTTTAAAAATGTTTTTTACCCATAGCTTACTTTACTCATTTATGGTACATTCTGGACCTTGGAGGCATTTTAACTTGTGCCCTGTGTTAGTTTCCTATTGTTGCTGTAACAATTTACTAGAAACTTCAAGGCTTAAAAACAACATGAATTTATTATCTCACAGTTGTGGAAGTCAGAACTCCACAATGGCTTTCGCTGGGCTAAAAGGAAGGGACCACTAGGGCCACACTGCTCCTGGAGGCACTAGGAGAGAAGCCCCAATCCTTGCTGTTTCCAGCCCTAGAGGCTGCCACATTCCCAGGTTCATTCCAGTCTGCAATGGCATCACCCCAACTTCCACTTCCAGTCACCATGCTGCCCTCTCTGACTCTCACTTTCCTGCCTCCCTCTTTCCCTGGTAAGGACCCAGTGATTCCATGGGGCCCAACTAGCTAATCCAGGATTCTCTCCCATCTCAAGATGCTTAATTCAAACACATCTACAAAGTTCTTTTTGCTAAGCATATACGGTAACATATTCCCAGGTTCCAGGGACTAGGACATGGAAACCTTGTCGGGAGGAGGCATTATCATGCCTACCAAGTGACCCTGTTATGGAGGCCAGGGATTAGTATGCTATTGCTTTCAAAGGAATTTCTAACAAGAAAAGGATAGAAGGAGAACCAAATATTTCAAAACCTTTGAAAATAATCCAGTTCAAATTCCATTTCTCAAGTTTTTTAAACCTAAAATGAGGGCAATACAGAAACTGAATGGTGGGGTGGTCATATGCCAGCATTTAAACCCCTTTCCAAGTATGGAAAATTCCCACCTTAGGAGTTTTGGTGGGAATGAGGACAGCTTTTCCTCACTGGGAACAAATATACTAGGTACGAGTTGAGTAGTGTATCTGAAATGCTTGGGACCAGAAGTGTTTCAGATTTTGGACTTCTTTTTGGAATTTTGGAATATTTGCACCAAGTTTACTACCCCTAATTTAAAAATTCAAAATTCAAAATGCTGAAAAATTCTAAAATTTTGGAGTGTTGACATAAAGCTCAAAGGAAACACTCATTAGAGCATTTTGGATTTTGAATATTCGAGTTAGGGATACTCCATCTGTACTGAGTTTCCCATCTTCCCCTGTGGCTGCGGCCAGGCCTGGGATATGGCTGCACCCGTCAGTACTCACAGACAGGTGAGCATTAAACAAGATAACACATGAAGCACTTAGCCCAGGGCTTAGTCCATAGGGTAGCTCGGTAAGTAGCAGCTATTATTAATTTTAAAATCACAAGGTTAAAACATTGGCAGAGAACATGAATTGCTCCCCAGTATTCATTTTCCCCTATTTCCTTGGTAATAGAATCGCCAGTTTGTAGCTGGGCACATGGCCACATAGACTAAAGCATATCCCAGCCTCTTGAGAAGCTCGGTGTTTCTGTGTAACTAGGTTCTGGCCAAAGGAGTAAAAGTAGAAGTAGCCACTTCTAGAAAGTGGCCTGAAAGGGAGAGGGCATGTACAAATTTGCCTGTCATGCTAAATGGAATGCAAACACGATGGCTGAAGCTTTAGCAAGTTGATTAAACTATGAGGTGGAACCCATGACATGAGTGGAATGGAGTGGCAAGAGGGAAGAAATCTCTGAGAATCGTGGAGGGCTCTCACAAACCCTGGGTTGATTACCTTCTGGACTCTTACTTCAGAGACAACTTCCATGTTGTTTAAGCCTGTGTTATTTTGGAGTTCCATCACTCACCACTGAATCTAATCCTAACTGATGCAGAAGATAACTTCTAGTTTACCATTCGATACGGGAATCCCCTCTACAACATCTGTGACATCCCTAATGCTAAGTCATCTAACTTTTGTTCCAAGATTTCCAGTTACGAAGTCTTCACTACATCACAGGCAGCCCATTCTTATTTTTTAAAGTTGCCTTTGTATTATGCAGTTAATATGTGAATCTATTGCTAGAAAGTATGTTAAAAGTACAGAATAACACATTTTCAAGCATGAAGGCCCCCATCGTCTCCACCCACTCCCATGGATTTTCTTCCCCAGAACTAACCATGGTCAACAGTCCAGCATGTGTCTTTCTAGTCTCCTCCCAATGCCATTACATACATACAAGTAGTGTAATAGTAATGGAGATACAGAGAAGGGACCAGGTGAAAGAATCCACTGCACTCAATAACTGATTAGATAAGGGAGTGGTAGAATGGAAAAGACCAAGTCAAAAAGAAAATGTAGGGGTCAAGCCTGGGTGAAATTTGATAACAGTGCCATGGACAGTAAGTAAAAGGGAGCACAGTAGGAAGAAGAAGGAAAAAAGGAGAAAGGATGATAAGTCTAGTTCTGAACAGTCATCTCCAAAAGTGGGCTGCAGACCCAGGCAGACATCTAGAGAGGCTGGAAACGTTAGGCTGGAGCTGAGAGTGAGGAATGCCGCCTTGTGCAAACGAGCCAACCGCTGGAGCACACAGGAGCATATGGAAGCACCTGGGGGAGTGGGGAGATGAGAAGAGAGGAGAGCCAGAGGCAGATCTTTGGGGGGAAACCTGCCTTTTGAGGTAAGAGAAAAGGAAACAGAACAAAAAGCAGATAAATAATTGGGAAGGTAAGGGGAGATTTCCTTAAAGTGAGAATGGATTACTTTTTATTAAGCTTAAAATAATGAAGTAAAAGATTAAGAGAGAAAGAAGAGTTTAAGTGAATGAGGCAACTCAGCAGTCTGTAGCTAAATAAGGATGAGGTCACTGGTAAATTTTGAGGGTAGCCGTTTCTCCAAGCAGTGAGGGCAGACACAAGATTACACAAATTGGAGGAGCAGGTGGGGTGAGGGGGAGTGAAGCAGCAAGGCATGTCCCGCTTATTGTCAGGACAGGCCAAACTATGTGGCAATCCCAGAATAAATCCTCAAATCTCAGTGGTTTCACATGATAAAGGCTTACCTTTTGTTCACGTAAAGTCTGATGCAGGTCAAATAGCTTCCTCCATCTTGTAGCTGTACCTTTGGGGGCACATGGCAGAGGAAGCAAGAACAAGGGAAGTAAGACATTGGTTCTTTATTGCCCCAGTGTGGAAGCCACACATATCACCCCTGCTCATGGTTCATCTGCTAGAATGAGTTCCACGGCCTCACCCAAACAATACACCACATAGAACATCTGGTGAACACAGACTGCTGCAGACACCTTGTTCAAGAGATCAGGAAGTTAATAAATGGGGAAAGTAACCAAGAGGAGGGAGCCTGTGTTCATGCAAGGGACAGAGACTGCCGCATATTGAGGGGAGGGAGGACAAAGGTAGAGAGGATTAAAGTTATCGAGGCCTGGAGGAATCCTGAGTCTATCCCCTGATATCATAGTTGGCCCTCTCATCCTTACATCATCTGCCCTTGAGAAGCAACCTGCCTACGATCACCTCACAACCCCTGATAGAAATGTTGCCCACAGCCTTTTTCTACATGTTTTCAAGCACACAAATCAACACCAGAAACCACTCATCCAATAAAGGCTATTGGAATGGATTCAAGACCTTCCTGCAAGGTGAGATAACCATGCCTTACACTCACAGTTTCCTGAAGGCTTTAAAATACATGACTTCGGTTGATCGTTATTATAATGGTATGAGACACATGTGGCCTGTAGAATTATTACTACTATCATATCACCATTCTTATTTTACAGATGAGAAAGCTAAGGTGTAGAGAAAGCAAATGACTTACCCAAGGCCATGTGCTGAAGCTGGAATTTGGTTCTCATACACCCTCTCCTCTGTGAGCAAAATGCTGTCTGATTTGTTCTGTGCTTTTGAGGGCAGATTTAAAATGGTTGATACACCCTGCAGAAAGTGGGCAATGAATAGCTTTGTTATACTTTGTTTATAACAATTACATGAAGGAAACTGTTTCAACAACTTCTACTCCAATTTTGGACTCTAGCTAAGTTTGTATTATATATTTAGTCCCACTTCTATTTGCAAGCAGACTTAAATTGGCATAAGAGGCTGGGAGCGGTGGCTCATGCCTATAATCCCAGCACTTTGGGAGGCTCAGGCAGGTGAATCACCTAAGGTCAGGAGTTCAAGACCAGTCTGGCCAACGTGGTGAAACCCCATCTCTACTAAAAATACAAAAATTAGCCAGGCGTGGTGGTGGGTGCCTGTAATTCCAACTACTTGGGAGGCTGAGGCAGGAGAATCATTTGAACCCGGGAGGCGGTGGTTGCAGTGAGCCAAGATCACGCCACTGTACTCCAGCCTGGGTGACAGAGCCAGACTCCATCTCACCAAAAAAAAAAAAAAAAAAAAAAAAAAAAAAAAAAAAAGGCATAAGAAGTGAATGGCACCGTAGCCCAGCTCCATTCCACATGCACCCTTCTACAGAGGCATTTTGCTAGTGACCCAAGGTCAAACTGGTTGGGCATGATGAGCTGATGGTGTGTGCTGTGCCTGGGCCAGTCCTTTCTCTGTACATCTGTGATGTTTTCTTTTCACTAGGAGTCTCAAAAATGCTACAACATGAAGGAAATGGTGCAGTCACCTCTCACTGGGTGCTAATATGTTCCTGGTGCTTTGTACACACTGTCCCCCTGGGACCTCACAGAAGGCTTGCAAAGTAGTTACTCTCAGTTTACAAAGTTCAGAGAATTTAGGTGAATTATCCAACACTCTGCAGCTACATATAGCATGCCTGGATTCAAAGCTAAGCCCATCTCTCATCAAGGCTGGTGCACTTTCGACTAGCTCACTGAAACTCCTGGCTGAGGAACATGATGGGGAAAATGAAAATAAATAAAAAATAACTGTCTTAGAGCATTGCACGAAATCAACTTTCTAATAGAGTCTATTTTCTCAAGGAAAGTATACAGGGAGGAAGAGGTGGATGGGTAGATGGATGGATGGAGATAGAGAGAGAGAGAGAGAAAGAGAGAGAGAGAGAGATGGATGCTGTAGATACTCTCCGGCACATCTTATACCTGCTTTAAATATCTGAAGCTACGTTGTCCTATGTTTTCAGAGCCATTGATCAATGCCAGGATGAGCCCAGGACAGGGCCCTGGGAAATGGCAGCCAAGAAGTGAGAGAAAAGCAAGAGAGAGGTGCCCCAAGCACCAAGAGCAGAGAGGAGATCCTATTGCTTTCCCTACCAACATCCCCAGTCTATTTAACAGATTGCTTTTAGATTTTTATTTTCTTGTAGTGATTTAAACACTTTAAATATTTGTATTTGGAGATAAAGGAAGAATTCCAAAGGTTTTGCATAAAATAACCATCATGAACCTGTTTTTCATTTTTTCTAAAGCCTGTCCTGGGCTACAGGGGTGAAGACACTTGGCCACTGAGGCTCAGGCAGGTCCTTTTCCGTGCTGCTTGCAGGAAGGAGATGGCAGCCCCACATGGTAGAGGCCCTCAGCTCCTTTGCTTCCTTGGCTACCAGAGCCTATTTCCAGCTTCACCTCACAGCCATGTGTGAACACGGCCCCGATGCCTGGAACAATCTCTGCGCCCACATTTGCGTGCCAAGGTGTGTGTACGTGAGGCCCTGCTCAGGCTGCGATGAAAATGCGAAGCACCTACTATTTTCAGCCTGAGCAGCTGCCAGGGCTTCTCAGCCAAGTTGGTGGAGGCAGCTCTCCACGCCCAAGCTGCCTGGTGTGAAACATGAAGAAAGCATCTGGGGTGGTCAAAACCTTCAAGCTTTCTGGAAACATGAGTTTCCAACACTCCACTTCAGTGTTATCCCTACAGAAACAGATACCTTTCCTTTTTACCAAAGCTCCTTGGAAGGAGCCACAATGGTAGTTTTATCTTCCACAGGTTTCTCTGAAGTACAGTGTGATGGAGGGACAGGGGTTGGCCTCTCCCCACCCCAGGCTCCCAAAGCATATACAGATTCAGGATGCTACAGGGAGAAATCGGAATGCTGTGTATGATGGGTACTAGCTCAGAGTCCCAGCCTAGGCAACAACTGACTCCCAGAGCAGGACTTGGGGGAGCCATTCTGTTCCCTCCCAACCCCAATTTTAAGATATGGCTCAAGTCACTGAAGGACCAGGATTTCATTTCCCTTTGTCCTAAAATGACTCCAAAAGAAAGAGTGAAAGTCATTGAGTTCAAAGAGGCCCCTTGGAAACAGGTGTGGACTATGAGGAATAGGCCAATGGGGTCCCTGGCTGGCCCTCTGAATAGGATACCCACCTAAAAGGCTTTGCCTGGGTCCTGTGGGTCCAGCCCACACCTGCGGGGAGATGGAAGGTCGTGTACTTCCCGTAAAAGGATGTGAAGCACAGTGCTTTAGCAAGGGATGGTCCAAGCCAAGACATGACGTGCCTGGAGAAACAACCGAAGTTCCACCCCTAAACCAAAGATAAGTTATGCTACTTCCGCCAGTGCCCTCCTCCCAGCAGAAACCTGTTAGTTTGACAAAACAGAAACCCAGTCCAGGCCAAGGCCAACCTAGCTGCCTGTAAATGGGAAAGGAATCTATGGGTGGGGAAGGGAGGTGGCAGAGGGTTCATTTCAGGCTCCCATGAAAGAGAAAGCTGGTCTTTAGTGCCTTGGCCACCATTTCCACGCTGCCCTCAGCACATTCTGTTGCCCTAGCCTAGCCATTACAATTGCCCAGTGGCCTTTCTTGGGCTACAGATCTTTGCTTTGTTCAACTGAGGAAAGCAGAGACATTCAGTAACACAGAAAGTAACCCGACAGAGCTGGCTCAGAGCCTGGATCTGCTGACTTCTAGCCCCATGGTCTTCCCCAACAGAATGTAGATGACCCACCCTGTCTCTTCAGTCACAAAGGGCTCTATTGACAAAAATATCCCCAGGACCTCTGCGACGGCACTCAGTAATGTAATCATTTCTCTGAGTTGACTGAGATTCCAACTTCAAGGACACGTGACGAGGTGATGGCCAGTCACCTGACTGGTGATCCTTTCCTCTTTCTTTAGGAGTGAAATACAGGGGAGAGAGCACCTTCCCACTCAGTAGTGAAGCTGAAGCAAGAGGCCCAAAGTGACTGGGCTAAACGTCATGCAGCAGGAGGAGCTGGAGGTGAAAGAAGACACCCAGTGCACCCCCCTGTTCACAGCAAGTCTCATTTCTCACCCCTTCACCTTGCAGATGGTGAACACATATCTGCCAGCCCTGCGCCCAGCATCCCAGCCAAAGTGCTTTTCCCTCCCACTCCCTCACTCTATAGAGATGCACCATCCCAACCCTGCAAAGGGCCAGCCAGCTGATGCATTAAGTTCCAAGGGCAGGAGCCAGGCTTTTTAGATTCTTGCCTCCAGTAACATTACGTGACCTCAAAGTTTTAACTCAAATAGAAGTTTTTTCAGAAACAAGGCCTCACTCTCTGTCATCCAGGGTTCAGTCTGGAACTCCTGGGCTCAAGCAATCCTCCCGCCTCAGCCTCCTGAGCAGCTAGGACTACAGGCCTGTGCCACCATACCTGGCTAATTTTTGTATTTTTTGGTAGAGACGAGGTCTCAGCATGTTGCCCAGGCCAGTCTCAAACTCCTGGCCTCAAGTGATCCTCCCGCCTTGGCCTCCCAAAGTGCTGGGATTACAGGTATGAGCCACCGTGCCCGGCTCAAGTAAAAGTTTAAACCAGGGCTGAGGAGTTGCGGGGCAGGTAGGACAGGAGGCTGGCATCTCTTGGAAGTTGTACTGCCTCCCTGGGAGGAGGTCTTGTCGCTCACAGCTGCACAGGAGGCTCTGTCCGCAGGCCCAGAGCCCCTCCGGGTGTTTCTGTCCAGCACTAAGCTCCTTTGCCCCTAAGTATGACAGGTCACTGGAAGCCTCTTGAAACACTGAGCGAAATCTGCCGCCTGACACGTTCTCCCTGGCTAGTTGGCTGCTTTGCATGCCTATGGGGCAAGCAGGCTATTTTTGCGCGGATTTCATAACCCCCTTTGTAGCTGCTGTGGCTGCTGATTGCACATGTGTTTCCAGCTCCACTCCCGTGGTGAGAATGTTTACAGAAACAGGCGCGTTGTCAGAGAATGTAGAGAAAGCAGGATTGAGAGATTAAGAGCACAATTTCCATGTCTAGACATAGTTCACGCAGCCGGCATCTGCTCCAATCAGGGTCTCCAGAACTCAGCAACTTGTGCTGATCACTCTCTTAACCACTTATCCCATCTCTGAGAACTTGACTATGAAATCTTCCAAGGCAGTGACAAGGCGTGAGAGGGGCTCTCAGATGTCTTTCCTGAGGATAAATCCAGGATGGATTTCTGAGTGTTGTGATAGGAAAACGATCAAAGCATCAGAAAAATCTGCAAACATCTGCATACATTTTTCTTTTTGTGATCTTAAACTGCAAGCCCAATTCCAGCCTCTGTGACAGGCTGCCTCTTAGTGTCTGGACTGGTAGGGTCGTCTTTATCACTACGTTTGTTGCTTATTTATCGATCCCAGTCTGCTTTCTCCTTTGCTTACCTTCTCACTCTTGTCAACCCGGTGACGAGTCTGCTCACCTACTGTGCTTTTAATGTATCCTGTTGCTCCTCTTTCCCACCTTTAGACACTATGCCCAGGCTCTGTCAGACCCCACTGTTATATTCTGTTCAATTCAGCTTTCACTTTCAGCCCCACCATGTTAAACAATCCTTTCTGCCGATCCTTTTTTGAACCTTTGATTCTGTTTGTTTCATGCCCCTTTCGTCCTAATCTTCTCTCCTGGCTCCCATCATTTCTGGTGTTAGGATTGCCCATCATAAGCTACCTTGGGCAGGATCTGTATCTGACTTAGCCTTGTTTCCGTCACAGCCTTCTTGGAGGACGTTTTCAAGAACAGTAATACCAGCCACCCGTCAAGACCAATGTAGCGGGCACTGAACTAATGCTCCACATGCACTTTTCAATTTTCTCTTAATCCTCATAATAATCTGCTGAGGAGGTTGCCCAAGTTTACCCATAAAAAAGCTGGGGTCTAAAGGGGTAAAGTTGCTTGCCTAGTTCATCGGTGGCGGAAACAGGCTTCAAATTTAGGTCTGCTCGACTCTAGAGCCTGAACACCTAGGTATCACCCTCACCCTCTTGTGAATGTATATTGAAAGAATCTGGGATGAATAAATAAATACTCAAGGCCCACAGCTTTCCAGCCATTTTGCTTCTCACATATATGCTCTGGCTCTTTTCTAACTCTCAAGGAAAGCAGAACCCTGCAAAGAGATCTAGGATGTAAACTCAGAGACCAACCTCATTCTCCTTAATCCCACACCCATCTCCTGCCAGTCCACAGTCCTGGGGCCTGTTACCCAAGAGGACAGAGCTTCCGTGCTTTGGCAGGGGAATGTGATCTCAGTCCCTTTTTGGAGGCTACCCCTGGGGTGGATGGTGGGGTGATGTGAAAAGGCATGGAGGGCAACTCAGGAACAACCGCTGCTGTTGTCCTCCCAGCCCAAGCTGGCCCATGCGTAGCCTGGGGCCATGGCCCAGAATCAGCCTTGCTGCCTGGTTTCTCAGGGTCACTTCTATTCAGGAAGAATTTCCCCCAGGTCCTTCCAGGTGGTCGTGCCAGTGCCGGTCACTTCAGGGGAACAGAGATGCAAGACACGGAAAAGGGCTATAAAAGATGATGGGGTAAGTGTCCACAGCATCTCTCTCCCCCTGCTATTTGAGGAGAATGCTAAATGTCCACAATTTAACTCTTCCTACCCCTCCTAAAGAGGAAGTATTCTTACTTTCTAGAAAAGACGCGAAGTGGCCCAAACAATAAAAGAAATAACAGAGGAGGGAAGGGAAAAGAAAGCAGGGAGCTGTGGGTTGATAAGTGACCTAGATGGTTCACTGTGGCTTCCAGAGGCTGGAGGACGGAAAAGAGGAGACAAGTGAGATCTGCCCATGTGGCTTAGGAATTGGATCCTGTTTAATGAAGAGACTGTTGTAAATAATGAATTCTTTAAAAAAAAATTAGCTGTACTCTGCAGAACTGTGTTGCTTTAGATATGGTTCCATGCAAAAACTAAGTCACATGTTCATACTCTTCAAAAAATAGAGAAAGAAGTGTTTTGGACTCCTTGGTATCTTTAACGTAGGACAAGAATCATCACTTTGAAGTCATGGTTCGCAGGGTTGCTCTCTTGATTTCTTGATTCCTGGCTTCTTGCCCTTCCTCCTCCCTACATAGACTAAAAGTGGAGAAGGTAGTTCCTGGAGGACAGGAAGGGGTTTTGATGCACAGTTGTGAGCCCAAATAAGTGCAAAGTAAATAGTTATTAAGAATCCAAGTATCAAAAGTTTCATGTGTCATGAGCTCACAAAATTATGTCATGTAAAAGAAGGATATCATATAATCTCAATTTTCAAAAAAGAAAATATGTACACATACATGTAAAATATAACAGTGGAGTTCTGAGTGTACTTTTGTTTTCATTATATTTTATTTTTGTATTATCCAAATTTTTTATAAAAAAAAATGTAGTTTCCCCCAGAAAACACTTTTTATAAAGGCAAGAAAATTAAATTCTGATGCATTTGGATGATAGGATAGGTCTTTTCAAAAGAGAGGAATAGCCTGAACATAGACCTAAGATCCTCAGAACTCACCAGGGAAAAAAATACTGAAGAAACCACTCTTCTTATTCATGGCACCTTCCTGGTAATGATAGGACATTCCCTGCTGGTGGGTTAGCTGGTTTACAAAAGAGAGTGGATGCACTCTCCCTTTAGCAAAGAAAACATATTTATTGTTAATTACTTAGACCAACAAATGTCTTCAAACCTGAAGAAATACTCCTCTTTAGATCAAGTAGAGCAGTTTTCTTGTAACTTTCTTGATATTTGTCACTCTCCACTTTGTATTGCATCAATACAGAGGGAAAGACAAGACAACTGAAATTAAAGTGAAAAGATATACATTCAAAACCTGGCTGTACTACTTACTAGCTCAGAGACATCAAGCAAGTCATTTATCCTTTCCAAATCTCACATTACCTGCCATTCAAGGAATGCAATACAATAAGGGTAATTAAAGGGAAAGGAAGAAAAAAATCAGAACCAAGAAAAGGCAGAAAGAGCACATACACTCCTTACAAGGGTGGATATTGTTTTTATTTTTGAGCAACAGCTTTACTCTGCATTTCCGGACATCCATTTTTGTTGTTATCCAACATCTGCCCACCGATATTCCTTTTGAAGACTACCCCATTAATCTTGAGAGTGGCTGGTACTCCCTCTAAGACATCGAAAGGGACTAGCTTTCCAAACTGAAGCCTTTGGCTAATCAGAAACTTTTCCAGGACTTGAATGTAGAGTGACCCAACATCATGAAGGCAATTGCACGTCTTACTCAACCTGGCCCAGCAGCAAGAGAACCAGTTCCTGTGACCTCACTATCCAGAACTCTCTTGGTTCCTATGTGCTTCCCAGGCTTGGTTTTTGAGCATTCCATCTATTTTGTGAGCCTCGCTCTGATTGTGCAACATTCCTTGAATGGCAGGTAAAGCAAACTTTGGGAGGCTTTTGGGTTTGTTTGTTTTTTTTTAAGGAATTAAGTAACAACATTTTAATCAATAAATATGAACATGTGTTTGTTAACCAGTTATTATTTGGCAGAAAAAAAAAGTCATTTACAAAGAATGCAAAAGATAACACCACCTTGAAAACAAAGTGCCAAAAGTCTTTGCCATAAACATTTCCTCACTTATAGAACTAGAAGTAACAAACATTTATTCAGAATAAGGCTTGAAATAATCTAAAAAGTTCCAGATATATTTTAAAGCTGTAACAGATTATTTTGCATGTAATGCCAAAATAGATTATTTTGCACATAGTAGACTATCTGACAACCCAATGAATAAATGATTGAATAGATGAATTGTTGAACATCAGAGAAAGTGAATACTTATGTTCACATTATGGGCCAGGCCTATATTCAACTCTTGGTCTTCTCCTGCCTCACTGTCCCTTGCTCTTCCAAGGGCCTTGGACAGGGGACTTTCAGGTAGGGCTGGAATGGTAAGGTGTAAAGTGAAATTTGAAAAGGATAAATGACTTGTCCACTGCCCCTGAGCTAGTCAGTGGTACAGCTTGGTCCTGAATCATCCTTTCAACAAATTCCTCTTTTCTTTTTCTTTTTTTTTTTTTTTAGATCAAGTCTCACTCTATCGCCCAGGCTGGAGTGCAGTGGTGCGATCTTGGCTCACTGCAATCTCTCCCTGGTTCAAGCAATTCCCCTGCCTTAGCCTCCCGGGTAGCTGGGATTACCGACGCATGCCACCACACCCGGCTAATTTTTTTGTACTTTTAGTAGAGAAGGGGTTTCACCATATTGGCCAGACTGGTCTCGAACTCCTGACCTCAGGCTATCTGCCTGCCTTGGCCTCAAGGGCCTGTAATCCCCAAAGTGCTGGGATTACAGGCATGAGCCGCCACACCCTGCCACAAATTCCTCTTTTCTGACTGCAATAGCCAGAATCGATTTCTGTGGTATGCAAACTAGAACCTTGGAAAAAAATAGAAACATAAGTTACACAGTTCTCAAATCTGGAAAAAAAAAAAAAAAAAAAAAAAGGATATAGACCATTTCCTCACAAGAGACAATGCTTTTTTGGGACTAAATTCAAAAAGTAACTCTCAAGGGGGAAGACACATGGAGGAGAGCCTTAAGTCATTCAATAGATCATGTACTTATGATGACCAGATAGTCTTTAACCTGGTATTTTATGTCTTGTTAACCCCGGCCTTGTTCATAAAAGTATCTACTATAATTTTGCTGAAGGAAGGACTAAACGAATGAGGATGCTTTCTAGAAACTTTTCTCAGCTGACATTCTCAATTGGTGTTCAACCACCCTTATCTAGAGGAGACACAGGATTTCCATAACAATACCTAAGACCCTCTTCCTCCTCAGCTCCAACACCCACCTACAAGATTGGCAGATCCTACATAATTACCCACACAGTGAGCACTTTCTATTTCTCCTGATTCTTCATTCTTCTTCCCTACCAGCAAGTTTATATCCTGTCAGAAATTATTATTTGTGCTTCTCTTTCCTGCACCTAGTCCAAAGCCAAAGGTGAAAGGTGATGGGAGTGAGCAGGAGGTCATGGAGCTTATCCCTGAGGACCTACATGGAGGGCATCTTGGAAGTTCACCGAGAAGAGCCGGTGGGCAGGATCAGGCAAAGTAGGGCTGGGCCCTCTGCTCCCTCAGCTCAGGAGCCCTTTTCCTGCCTCTCTAGTGGGTTTCATAACTCCATAGAAGATGATTCTGAATGCCAACCAAATAACTTCACACAATTAGAATGGCCAGCCAGACCTAAAATACAGAAGTCTAAAACTACTGCTCAGTGGGGCCTGTCAATGACATCAACAGGAGACAGACACCCAGGTTATCATTCTGCTAAGACCTTGCCTTTTACCCATCCTGCTGCTAAAGGAAGTTTTCTCCTTCTACGTTGAGTCATGTTAATCATAGATTCCCATTTTCTTAAACTTCTAATTTAAACTGTTGAGATTGCAAATCTTTAAGATTCACAATCAACTGGACCAATAATCCAATAGTATCTTCTACAAGAGTATTCTTCTTTAGGAGAGCTGGGCAGTGATGATGAACTAGTAGTATTCACCCTAGTAGGTCATTGCCTGGAGTCCCTGGGAGGCATTAGATTCCTGACATAAGTTGTGTTTCCTCAGATACCAGGAAAGGCTAGAGCATGGCAATAGCATTCTGGAAATAAAAAGTATCACTGCCTTCTCCCTCCTGCTCCTGTCCCCCACCACCCCCAGTTTCCTGCACAAGCCTTGTACAAGTGGGGAGAGCAACTTGCTCAAATCCAGACCCAGAAGTAAGGAATAGACCCTGGCATCCTAACAAGGCTGGAACCTGCTACACCAGAGTGCCTGCTTTTCATTGAGAAATACAAAGAAGCAGCAGCTCCTCCTTTGGCCCGAGGCCAACCTCCACAGTAGAGTCAAAATGTTCTATCACCCCTGATGCAAAGCATCTCAATCCCTGCTGAGTGGCTGGAGAAGCAGTGGGAGCAACTCAGCCTGGCAGGATCTGTATTTCACTGTCTCCCTATTATGGAGTAATATAAAAATATGTTACAGCAGCATCAGGCAAGCAAAGCATTACAGGAGGTCTGAATTCAAGGCCCGGTGTCACCTCAGCTCATTAGCTTTTCTATGGATGGCAAGGCAGATTCCCTTCCCCCTTGAACAAGCAAGAGACTCACTGTGTTGAGCCTTGCTCACCAAGTCAAGGCAGATCTCCAGGAAAATAGGCCTGCTGATGTGGAAGAAAAGAAGGCAAGCCAGAGCAAGGGGCCACCGGTGGCCTACAGGGGAGCCTCCAGGGCTGACCCCTTTGCTTTTCCTATTTAGCATTTATTTGAACTGAAATTTACATGTTTGGCTTCAGTCCAAGAACTAGCATTTTGTGAGAGAGCCTGAACCCAGCTTATTTTAAGTATATAATAATGACAACTAGAGGGACTTTTTGTCTGGCATCCTTCAATTTCCCAGAAAGGGAGAAAGGGATGTAAACTTACCTGCTTGCCCCACAAAGCTATTACTATCACATGTCCAGCCATCTCTCTCAGTGATGTTTTTCAGAAAGCAAAGGTTTAAATGAGTAGAGAGGAAAACCTTACCTGAACAAATGACAATTTTACAAATGTTGAGTTACATGAGTTCTCAGGTGTCTGAGAAGCTGGGTAAATATGTACCAAGCCTGAACAATGATATAGCTGTGGTTTTTCCATTTGAGCCAGAAGATGATGGACATCTCTGGATGGCACTGTATCCAGTGGTTGCTCCCATTTCTTTTCACAAAGGAATCACAATGAAAAGGCAAAAATGGCATTTTCAGTGCCTTGTTTGACAGGGTTAGGGAGGTGGGATGGGATGGCCATCCTGACCACAGGGGCATGGGAAGGAGAGTGGTAAGGAGGAAGAAAACAGAATTGTACACCTGAACACAGAGTCAGGAAGCACTTGTCATTGTGGCCACTTTAGCCACTCGCCCACATACATCACCGTAATAACCACTCAGTGGGCTTGGACAAAAGACAAACCCAAAAGTGGTGTGCAAAGGGTTTTGACCTTAAATACTTCACATACGAATTTACTTCCTCAAGAACTTTATCAGGCTGCTGCCATCTTCAAAGAACCTCAACATTATTGTCACAATCCTTAAATCAATTTGCAACAGGCACTTGAAGCTCTCTCAGAGACGAGAAGTGCATGGTTTGTTTGTCCTTCTCTATTGACCAAGTTTTGACTTTCTAAAATACTCTCCCTCCTTGAAAGTGGATTTCAAAAAGTGTTCCAGTTACAATTCTTTTAGACTCTGATCCTCTCCCAGATGTATAAACAAATATGTATATTAAACATCCTGTTCAAACAAAGTAGGGAAAACAGGCTAAGATTATGGGGCAGGGAAGCAGCAGTCTCTCTTTCAGTGCCTCTTTGCCATCCCCTACCTTGTGTCCATTAGAACATCTTCAAAATTACATGAGACTCATTGCAGCTTCTTCCTAAAACAAGGCTAGTGACACTTTAGCTCTAAGATTCCAAAATCATTTGAAGGAATAGCCTGTAGAACCAATCCTCTGTATCTTTGCATCTCAGATTGAATACTTCCAAAAATAAGCATTAAAACATATAGGCACCACTTATTATACTTTTATTAACTCACATAATCTATACAACCTCATTGGGAATGGGTATCCTTACACCCAATCAAAAGGTCATGAAACTCAAGCTGAGAGAGGTTGACTGTTTTAGCTAAGGTCACACAAACAATACATGGCAGAGAGGGGCTTGAATCCAGACCCTCGGCCTCTTTCTACCATGTCATAGCTGCCTCTCAAATGTGTCACAGGAGACCTAAATCTAGTAAACACTAAAGTGCAACAAATATCACATTCCCCTATGGGCTCCCCATCTTGTAAGATGCAAACTCCAAAGCCTCTAGAGGCCAAGCTCTGTGGAGCCCTAGAGAACTGCAGAGCAACTGCATCCTCTAAAGAGGTGGTTGCAACACAGTTCTAACACAAGGTGGCTATAAGAATGAGGAGTTCAGTGGCTGGCAAGATGGCTGAATAGGAACAGCTCTGGTCTGTAGCTCCCAGCAAGATCAACGCAGAAGGCAGGTGATTTCTGCATTTCCAACTGAGGTACCTGGCTCATCTCATTGGGACTGGTTAGACAGTGGGTGCAGCCCACAGAGGGTGAGCCAAAGCAGGGTGGGGTACTGCCTCACCCGGGAAGTGCAAGGGGTTGGGGAACGCCCTCCCCTAGCCAAGGGAAGCCCTGAGGGACTGTGCCGTGAGGAACGGTGCACTCTGGCCCATATATTACGCTTTTCCCATGGTCTTCCCAACCCACAGATGAGGAGATTCCCTCCAGTGCCTACACCACCAGGGCCCTGGGTTTCAAGCACAAAACTGGGTGGCCGTTTGGGCAGACACCTAGCTAGCTGCAGGAGTTTCTTCATACCCCAGTGGCTCCTGGAATGCCAACAAGACAGAACCATTCACTCCCCTGGAAAGAAGGCTGAAGCCAGGGAGCCAAGTGGTCTTGCTCAGCAGATTGCACCCCCACAGACCCCAGCAAGCTAAGATCCACTGGCTTGAAATTCTTGCTGCCAGCACAGCAGTGTGAAGTGGACGTGGGACTCTCGAGCTTGGTGGGGGGAGGGGCGTCTGCCATTACTGAGGCTTGAATAGGCAGTTTTTCCCTCACAGTGTAAACAAAGCCTCCGGGAAGTTCAAACTGGGTGGAGCCCACAGCAGCTTGCCAAAGCCGCTGTAGCCAGACTGCCTTGCTAGATTCTTGCTCTCTGGGCGGGGCATCTCTGAAAGAAAGGCAGCAGCCATAGTCAGGGGCTTATAGATAAAACTCCCATTTCCCTGGGACAGAGCACCTGGGGGAAGGGGCGGCTGTTGGCGCAGCTTCAGCAGACTTAAATGTTCCTGCCTGCCAGCTCTGAGGAGAGCAATGTATCTCCCAGCACAGCGCTCAAGCTCTGCTAAGGGACAGACTGCCTCCTCGAGTGAATCCCTGACCCTCATGTCTCCTGATAGGGAGACACCTCCCAGCAGGGGTCGACAGACACCTCATACAGGAGAGCTCCAGCTGGCATCTGGCAGGTGCCCCTCTGGGATGAAGCTTCCAGAGGAAGGAACAGGCAGCAATCTTTGCTGTTCTGCAGCCTCTGCTGGTGATACCCGGGCAAACAGGGTCTGGAGTGGACCTCTAGCAACTCTAGCAGACGTACAGCAGAGGGGCCTGTTAGAAGGAAAACTAACAAACAGAAAAGGATAGCATCAACATCAACAAAAAGGACGTCCACACAAAAACCCCATCCGAAGGTCACCAACATCAAAGACCAAAGGTAGAAAAGTCCACAAAGATGAGGAAAAACCAGCGCAAAAAGGCTGAAAATTCCAAAAACCAGAATGCCTCTTCTCCTCCAAAGGATCACAACTCCTCACCAGCAAGGAAACAAAAATGGACAGAGAATGAGTTTGATGAGTTGACAGAAGTAGGCTTCAGAAGGTAGGTAATAGCAAACTCCTCTGAGCTAAAGGAGTATGTTCTAATCCAATGCAAGGAAGCTAAGAACCTTGATAAAAGGCTACAGGAACTGCTAACTAGAATAACCAGTTTAGAGAAGAACATAAATGACCTGAAGGAGCTGAAAAACATAGCATGAGAACTTCATGAAGCATACACAAGTATCAACAGTCGAATTGATCAAGCGGAAGAAAGGATATCAGAGATTGAAGATCAGCTGAATGAAATAAAGCGTGAAGACAAGATTAGAGAAAAAAGAAAGAAAAGGAATGAACAAAGCCTCCAACAAATATGGGACTATGTGAAAAGACCAAACCTACATTTGATTGGTGTACCTGAAAGTGATGGGGAGAATGGAACCAAGCTTGGAAAGACATTCCAGGATATTATCCAGGAGAACTTCCCCAACCTAGCAAGGCAGGCCAACATTCAAATTCAGGAAATACAAACAACACCACAAAGATACTCCTTGAGAAGAGCAACCCCAAGACACATAATTGTCAGATTCACCAAGGTTGAAATGACGGAAAAAATGTTAAGGGCAGCCAGAGAAAAAGGTCAAGTTACCCACAAAGGGAAGCCCATCAGACTAACAGCAGATCTCTCAGCAGAAACCCTACAAGCCAGAAGAGAGTGGGGGCCAATATTTGACAACTTAAGAAAAAGAATTTTCAACCCAGAATTTCATATCCAGCCAAACTAAGCTTCATAAGTGAAGGAGAAATAAAATCCTTTATGGACAAGCAAATGCTAAGAGATTTTGTCACTACCAGGCCTGCCTTACAAGAGCTCCTGAAGGAAGCACTAATTATGGAGAGAAAAAAACGGTACCAGCCACTGCAAAAACATACCAAATTATAAAGACCTCAACACTATGAAGAAACTGCATCAACTAATGTGCAAAATAACCAGCTAGCATCATAATCACAGGATGAAATTCACACATAACAATATTAACCTTCAATGTAAAATGGGCTAAATGCGCCAATAAAAAGACACAGACTGGCAAATTGGATAAAGAGTCAAGACCCATCGGTGTGCTGTATCCAGGAGAGCCATCTCACGTGCAAGGACACACATAGGCTCAAAATAAAGGGATGGAGGAATATTTACCAAGCAAATGGAAAGCAAAAAAAAGCAGGGGTTGCAATCCAGTCTCTGATAAAACAGACTTTAAACCAACAAAGATCAAAAAAGACAAAGAAGGGCAATACATAATGGTAAAGGGATCAATGCAACAAGAAGAGCTAACTATCCTAAATATATATGCACCCAATACAGGAGCACCTAGATTCATAAAGCAAGCTCTTAGAGACCTACAAAGAGACTGAGGCTCCCACACAATAATAGTGGGAGACTGTAACACCCCACTCTCAATATTAGACAGATCAACAAGACAGAAAATTAACAAGGATATTCAGGACTTGAACTCAGCTCTGGACAAAGAAGACCTAATAGACATTTACAGAACTCTCCACCCCAAATCAACAGAATATACACTCTTCTCAGCACCACACTGCACTCATTGTAAAATTGACCACATAATTGGAAGTAAAACACTTGTCAGCAAATGTAAAAGAATGGAAATCATAACAAACAGTCTCTCAGACCACAGTCCAATCCAATTAGAACCAAGGATTAAGAAATTCACTCAAGGCTGGGTGCGGTGGCTCATGCCTGTAATCCCAGCACTTTGGGAGGCCGAGACGGGCAGAACACAAGATCAGGAGATCGAGACCATCCTGGCTAACACAGTGAAACCCCATCTCTACTAAAAATCAAAAAAATTAGCCAGGCATGTTGGCAGGCACCTGTAGTCTCAGCTACTCCAGAGGCTAAGGCAGGAGAATGGCATGAACCCAGGAGGTGGAGCTTGCAGTGAGCCGAGATTGCACCACTGCACTCCAGCCTGGGTGACAGGGCAAGACTCCATCTCAAAAAAACAAAAAAAAAAAGAAACTCACTCAAAACCGCACAACTACATAGAAACTAAACAACCTGCGCCTGAATGACTACTGGGTAAATAACAAAATGAAGACAGAAATAAATAAGTTCCTCGAAACCAATAAGAACAAAGACACAATGTACCAGAATCTCTGGGACACAGCTAAAGCAGCGTTTAGAGGGAAATTTATAGCATTAAATGCCCACAGAAGAAAGCAGGAAAGATATAAAGTTGACACCCTAACATCACAATTAAAAGAACTAGAGAAGCAAGAGCAAATAAATTCAAAAGCTAGCAGAAGACAAGAAATAACTAAGATCAGAGCAGAACTGAAGGAGATAGAGACATGAAAATCCCTTCAAAAAAATCAGTGAATCCAGGAGCTGGTTTTTTGAAAAGATCAACAAAATAGATAGACCACTAGCCAGACTAATAAAGAAGAAAAGAGAGAAGAATCAAATAGACACAATAAAAAATGATAAAGGGGATATCACCACTGATCCCACAGAAATACAAACTACTATCAGAGAATACTATAAACACCTCTATGCAATTGAACTAGAAAATCTAGAAGAAATGGATAAATTCCTGGACACATACACCCTCCCAAGACTAAACCAGGAAGTAGTTGAATCCCTGAATGGACCAATAACATGTTCTGAAATTGAGGCAGTAATTAATAGCCTACCAACCAAAAAAAAAGTCCAGGACCAGATGGATTCACTGCCAAATTCTACCAGAGGTAAAAGAGGAGCTAGTACCATTCCTTCTGAAATTATTCCAATCAACAGAAAAAGAGGCACTCCTCCAAAACACATTTTATGAGGCCAGTATCATCCTGATACGAAACCTGGCAGAGACACAACAAAAAAAAGAAAATTTCAGGTCAATATCCCTGATGAACATTGATGCGAAAATCCTCAATAAAATACTGGCAAACCAAATCCAGCAGCACATCAAATAGCTTATTGACCATGATCAAGTCGGCTTCATTCCTGGGATGCAAGGCTGGTTCAACATATGCAAATCAATAAATGTAATCCATCACATAAACAGAACCAATGACAAAAACCACATGATTATCTCAATAGAGGCAGAAAAGGCCTTCGATAAAATTGAACACCACTTCATGCTAAAACCTCTCAATAAACTAGGTGTTGATGGAACACATCTCAAAATAATACGAGCTATTTATGATAAGCCCACAGCCAATATCATACTGAATGGGCATAAGCTGGAAGCATTCCCTTTGAAAACCAGCACAAGACAGGGACGCCCTCTCTCACCACTCCTATTCAACATAGTATTGGAAGTTCTGGCCAGGGCAATCAGGCAAGAGAAAGAAACAAAGGGTATTCAAATAGGAAGAGAGGATGTCAAATTGTCTCTGTTTGTGGATGACGTGATTGTATATTTAGAAAACCCCATCATCCCAGCTCCAAATCTCCTTAAGCTAACAAGCAACTTCAGCAAAGTCTCAGGATACAAGATCAATGTGCAAAAATCACAGGCATTCCTATACACCAATAACAGACAAACAGAGACCCAAATCATGAGTGAACTCCCATTCACAATTGCTACAAAGAGAATAAAATACCTAGGAATATAACTTTTAAGGGATGTGAAGGACCTCTTCAAGGAGAACTATAAGCCACTGCTCAAGGAAATCAGAGAGGACACAAACAAATGGAAAAACATTCCATGCTCATGGATAGGAAGAATCAATATCGTGAAAATGGCTATACTGCCCAAAGTAATTTATAGATTCAATGCTATCCCTATCAAGCTCTCATTGACTTTCTTCACAGAATTGGAAAGAACTACTTTAAATTTCATATGGAACCAAAAAAGAGCCTACATAGCCAAGACAATCCTAAGCAAAAACAACAAAGCTGGAGGCATCACGCTACCTGACTTCAAACTATACTACAAGGCTACAATAACCAAAACAGCATGGTACTGGTACCAAAACAGATGTATAGACCAATGGAACAGAACAGAGGCCTCAGAAATAACGCCGCATAGCTACAACTATCTGATCTTTGACAAACCTGACAAAAACAAGAAATGGGGAAAGGATTCCCTATTTAATAAATGGTTTTGGGAAAACTGGCTAGCCATATGCAGAAAAGTGAAATTAGACCCCTACCTTACACCTTATATAAAAATTAACGAAGATAGATTAAAGACTTAAATGTAAGACCTAAAACCATAAAAACCCTAGAAGAAAACGTAGGAAATACCATTCAGGACACAGGCATGGGCGAGGACTTCATAACTAAAACACCAAAAGCAATGGCAACAAAGGCCAAAATTGACAAATGGGATCTAAATAAACTAAAGAGCTTCTGCACAGCAAAAGAAACTATCATCAGAGTGAACAGGTAACCTACAGAATGGGAGAAAATTTTTGCAATCTCTCCCTCCGACAAAGGGCTAATATCCAGAATCTACAAGGAACTTAAACAAATTCACAAGAAAAAAACAAACAACCCCATCAAAAAGTAGGTGAAGGATATGAACAGACACTTCTCAAAAGAAGACATTTATGCAACCAACAAACACATAAAAAAAAAAAAAAGCTCATCATCACTGGTCATTAGAGAAATGCAAATCAAAACCACAATGAGATATCATCTCACACCAGTTAGAATGGTGATCATTAAAAAGTCAGGAAGCAACAGATGCTGGAGAGGATGTGGAGAAATAGGAACACTTTCACACTGTTGGTGGGAGTGTAAATTAGTTCAACCATTGTGGAAGACAGTGTGGCAATTCCTCAAGGATCTAGAACCAGAAATACCATTTGACCCAGCAATCCCATTACTGGTATATACCAAAAGGATTATAAATCATTCTACTATAAAGATACATGCACATGTATATTTATTGCAGCACTGTTCACAATAGCAAAGACTTGGAACCAACCCAAATTCCCATCAATGTTAGACTAGATAAAGAAAATGTGGCACATATATACCATGGCATACTATGCAGCCAGAAAAAAGGATGAGTTCATGTCCTTTGCAGAGACACGGATGAAGCTGGAAACCATCATTCTCAGCAAACTAACACAAGAACAGAAAACCAAACACCACACGTTCTCACTCATCAGCAGGAGTTGAACAATGAGAACACATGGACACAGGGAGGGGAACATCACACACCAGGGCCTGTCGGGGGCTCAGGGGCTAGGGGAGGGATAGCATTAGGAGAAATACCTAATGTAGATGACGGGTTGATGGGTGCAGCAAACCACTATGTCACATGTATACCTGTGTAACAAACCTGCACGTTCTGCACATGTATCCCAGAACTTAAAGTATTATAATAAAAAAATTAAATAAAATTTTTTTAAAAAGAATGAGGAGTTCAGTGTTGCCAGAGAGTCCAATTTTCAAGAGAAGCTTGCAATCTGAGTTTGTGTATATTTGTGTGTGAGAGCAAGATCACTTCATTTTAGAAATATGGACAACTAATGCACACATTTTATATCCTTGTGCAGACAAAATACATGTCTTTAGGACAAATCTGGCCCATCTGAGGGGCTGGCAGGACCTGTAATGCAGGTGAATTGCTCTCTCTGGCTGGGGCCAATTATTTCCCTAACAGAGAACCACATCTCTACTTTGGGGATCCTTCAGATTCACTTTCCTTCTGAGGTGGTCCAGCTCCTGGACTCTACTGCTAGCTCATTGCTCATTCCACCTTCTCTCAGGGAGAGGCAGCTGGAGGGGAAAGAGCTCTGGTCCTATGGTCAGGAGACTGGGGCCCACTGCTTCCATGTGACCTGAGTGAGCCTCAGTTTCCTTGGCTAGAAGATGCATGATTTAAACATTAAATGGGGCATGTTGTTTAGATGCTTTACGGTACCATGCAAATAGAAGGTGGTTTCATTCTGACCACAGGAGCATAACTGGATGCCATCTATGTCAAAATTCACATGGTCTCCATGGAAAACTCTCTCCTTCTGAACTGGCTCTTCTGAACTGTATAATGTGCAATCTCTATGCCTTTCACTAGACATTTATCTACAACCTGCTTTGTGTCATCTGGGATTGGTATTAACTCCCCTGTTTTCAGCTCCTCACACGAGGGGAAGATTATTTCCCCAGTTAGATTGTGAACTCCAGAAAGCAAGGATCACAAACTATATTTCTAGCCTCTACCTTAGCCCTTTGGGATCCTCACCAAAAGTGTTCTGTCTGAATTAAGTAGAAAGTCTGGCAGATTCTTAGATGACCTGCATTCACCTTTCACTCCTTTCAGTTTAAAAGAAGGAATTAGATTTATTGAATAGTAGAGTGTGGGAGTGACATAGGGAAACTGAGGCAAGCTTGATATGGAGGAAACCAAAAGAGAAAAAAACTGTCATCCTATAAAGCCTCAAGCAATACCGGGAAATGACTGCAGGGGCCTTAGCAGAAGGTGGTGGAGACAGAGAGATGAAATAGGAATTCTGAACCCAAACAAGGACAGAAAAGGATGGGTTGCACTGCTTCCCACTCCTCTCCTCCCACCATTTTCTCATGTAAAGCAAGGGAACCAATAAACAGACCACAGTAAACCCAACCGGAAAAAAGCAAGCAAGTAGGGAACTCCAGCTAGAGGCAAGCTCCGGATAAGGAGGAGGGAAGGGAGGGGAGCAACAGAGTGGGACCCTTGCTTCTCTTCCTGCTTGCTCCCCCTGCTTGCCATGACCTCCCCCAGCGTGCTGGGTGGCCAGCAAGCCCATGAACCCCATTCCCAGGAGCCAGGTTTCTAGTGTGCAGCTGAGAGAGCCCTGGTGTGTTGATAGGATGCCCAGTCTGGTGTGGGAAAGGGAAGACCTGCCCTGCACACACCCATGGTTACTATGACATCCTCGGACGAGAGCCAGATAGGAACATCTTCACACAAGTGACTAAGACTTCAAGTTACATGCCAGACAGCATTGGCTTCATATCCTGTTTTAACTTCATGATCTGGATAATTACCAGGTCTTGTTAAGTTCTTCCTTGATGGCTGGAGTCTTGGGCTTTCCCAGGTGAATTTTAGTTTTACTGACACTGTTTAAAAAAATAATCTGATAAAACTAAGGTATTCCATAATCCTTGCTTCTTGATGTTATTTTGAAAAACAAACAAACAAACAAAGGCTTTCCATAGTTCAGCCTTTCTTTCCCAACCTCAGGGTTTAGAATGGTTGAGTCAAGCATTTACTGAGTTGTGTGGTCCTCTTCTCCCATCTTCCTCTTTGGCAAGAGTTCAGTTCCCTCTCATTCTTACCTCTCTTCATGCAACTATGATAGAAGATTTTGATCTGGGAATTTACAATGGAAAATATGATAATTTACTTGTCTGTGGTCTAATATTAATAGGAACACATTGTGAGGCTCCATTTTTGCAGCTTAAATAAAAATAAATAAATACAAGGTCCTGAGAAAGTAAATGGCTTATTTAAGCTTACACTACCTTGAATTGTGGGACTATACCTGTAGCTCTCAAATTCTGAAGCACTGCTCTGCCCTCTCCCCCACACTGGACTCTTACACTGGACTCTTAGAAAGTACTATTGTGTTCACTCTATGCCAAGTCAACTCAGGGCAAACGATCCCGACTGCAATACTGGAGGGAAAACTGAACTGGAGTTCCGAACACCCAGAGGCGGTTCTGCCTGGCTCGTGCCAACTGTGAGACTGTCCGCCCATCCCCACCTCACTCCCAGCTAACTGTGGGCTCCTTGCACTGGGCTTACAGTGGTGCAGGCTCTGATGAAGGGAGACAGAGTATGCGCTGGCTCCAGCTTCGTGAAGAGCACTTGAATTTCAACAGGAGATTCATTCCCCACTGAGAATAGCTGAACCTCATGAACTTGGTCACAGATCCTCCTTCCTCATCCCCCTCCACACAGCCCTTATCTTCTCCCATCTCAGTCACCTTTCTAGTCTTTCAGCTTTTTAAAAACATATATTTTATTTTAAATGTCTCTCTAATATTTTTGTTAATTTTAATTTTTATCTTTTAATTTTCTATTTTCTGTTTTTAATTTTTAATCCCTTTTATTATTTTAACTTTCTAATCATAAGGTATTGGTATTTTGTCTTAGTTTTTTATAATTATTATTATTTTTGTTTTTTATGTTTTTAACCACCATCTCATTGATTTATAAACTGTCTGCTACTTTAAACTTCATCTACTTTATTTTGGTATTTTTAAAAGCTTAACTTTTTACCTTTATTGGAATTTTGAGTTTATTTTCACTTCTCTTTCACTTTTTTTCCTCTCACCTTACATTTTTTTGGGGTTTTTTCCTTTCTAATCAGCTTTCTCAGGTTGAATCTTTTTGTTTTTCATTTTAATAGCTTTCTAAGTCTCTACTCTCCCTTTATTTAAAATTTTTTTACTGGATTTTATATTAGTCAGCAAGAAGTGTAATAAATAGCCCACACCATAAATAGATTTCAAAGGACATTTCCCCCTGGTTTGCTACCCCTACTCTTGACTTTGCCTTAGATTGTCCTAATTTTAAGGATGGCATTAAAGCACAACTCTGATGAAAGGAGTTAGAAATATGGAAAGGGGAAGCCTAGAATAAGCCCTGTGAAGCTGGATTGGAATCAGGGGTATTCGTGTGAACTCATAGTATATACATATATGTGTGTGTGTACACATATATTTACATACATACACATAAACATATATATGCAGATATGAAATATATAATATAGGTATACACAAACTTATCTGCATATATTTATTAGCTAGTTCTGTCTGCTGACAAAGCAATCAGTCCCTAGTAGCAACAAGTACACGTGCTGCCCAGAGCTTGGTTTCTAAATACCAATGGTTTCTAGAGCTTAGTTTCTAAATTGTGGCAAGGAAAGTACAAAATGAACCTGGAATATCTTATTGTGTGCAAAAGAAAGCTCAGATAATAATGCAGACAAATAATAATGCAGACAATGTCCAAAAAACCCCCAAATACTGGACTTAGTTTGGAGGGGCTTCCACTGGCCAAATCTAGCACATTTCGACCATAAAAACAAATTATAGTAATAAATTATAACCTACTGAATAAAAGAACCTATTAAACTATATAGGAATAAATAAAAAATATATGGAAAGTTCTTCCTTAGAGGAGAATACCTACTAATAAATGCAGAAAAACTGATAAGAGTTAGAAAATCACCATTTTCTACCTATCATAGAAATAATTGATTCAAGAAGAATCATTAACAAACGCTAAAACTAGTAGCTAAAAGTTGGATGACAACAGGATATATACATGGCCTCAAAATATCTCTCTACAGGGGGGCAGCCAAGATGGCCGAATTGGAACAGCTCCAGTCTACAGCTCCCAGCATGAGTGACGCAGAAGACGGGTGATTTCTGCATTTCCATCTGAGGTACCAGGTTCATCTCACTAGGGAGTGCCAGACAGTGGGCGCAGGACAGTGGGTGCAGCGCACCATGCATGAGCCGAAGCACGGCAAGGCATTGCCTCCCTCGGGAAGCGCAAGGGGTCAGGGAGTTTCCTTTCCTAGTCAAAGAAAGGGGTGACAGATGGCACCTGGAAAATTGGGTCACTCCCACCCTAATACTGAGCTTTTCCGATGGGCTTAAAAAATGGCGCACCAGGAGATTATATCCCGCACATGGCTCGGAGGGTCCTACACCCATGGAGTCTTGCTGATTGCTAGCACAGCAGTCTGAGATCAAACTGCAAGGCGGCAGCGAGGCTGGGGGAGGGGCGCCCGCCATTGCCCAGGCTTGCTTAGGTAAACAAAGCACCTGGGAAGCTCGAACTGGGTGGAGCCCACCACAGCTCAAGGAGGCCTGCCTGCCTCTGTTGGCTCCACCTCTGGGGGCAGGGCACAGACAAACAAAAAGACAGCAGTAACCTCTGCAGTCTTAAATGTCCCTATCTGACAGCTTTGAAGAGAGCAGTGGTTCTCCCAGCACACAGCTGAAGATCTGAGAACGGGCAGACTGCCTCCTCAAATGGGTCTCTGACCCCTGACCCCCGAGCAGCCTAACTGGGAGGCACCCCCAACTAGGGACAGACTGACACCTCACACGGCTGGGTACTCCTCTGAGACAAAACTTCCAGAGGAACGATCAGACAGCAGCATTCGCAGTTCATGAAAATCCGCTGTTCTGCAGCCACCGCTGCTGATACCCAGGCAAACAGGGTCTGCAGTGGACCTCTAGCAAACTCCAACAGACCTGCAGCTGAGGGTCCTGTCTGTTAGAAGAAAAACTAACAAACAGAAAGGACATCCACACCAAAAACCCATCTGTACATCACCATCATCAAAGACCAAAAGTAGATAAAACCACAAAGATGGGGAAAAAACAGAGCAGGAAAACTGGAAACTCTAAAAAGCAGAGTGCCTCTCCTCCGCCAAAGGAATGCAGTTCCTCACCAGCAATGGAACAAAGCTGGACGGAGAATGACTTTGACGAGTTGAGAGAAGAAGGCTTCAGACGATCAAACTACTCCAAGCTACAGGAGGAAATTCAAACCAAAGGCAAAGAAGTTAAAAACTTTGAAAAAAATTTAGACGAATGTATAACTAGAATACCCAATACAGAGAAGTGCTTAAAGGAGCTGATGGAGCTGAAAGCCAAGGCTCGAGAACTACGTGAAGAATGCAGAAGCCTCAGGAGCCGATGCGATCAACTGGAAGAAAGAGTATCAGTGACGGAAGATGAAATGAATGAAATGAAGCGAGAAGGCAAGTTTAGAGAAAAAAGAATAAAAAGAAACAAACAAAGCCTCCAATAAATATGGGACTATGTGAAAAGACCAAATCTACATCTGATTGGTGTACCTGAAAGTGACGGGGAGAATGGAACCAAGTTGGAAAACACTCTGCAGGATATTATCCAGGAGAACTTCCCCAATCTAGCAAGGCAGGCCAACATTCAGATTCAAGAAATACAGAGAACGCCACAAAGATACTCCTTGAGAAGAGCAACTCCAAGACACATAATTGTCAGATTCACCAAAGTTGAAATGCAGGTAAAAATGTTAAGGGCAGCCAGAGAGAAAGGTCGGGTTACCCACAAAGGGAAGCCCATCAGACTAACAGCGGATCTCTCGGCAGAAACTCTACAAGCCAGAAGAGAGTGGGGGCCAATATTCAACATTCTTAAAGAAAAGAATTTTCAACCCAGAATTTCATATCCAGCCAAACTAAGCTTCATAAGTGAAGGAGAAATAAAATACTTTACAGACAAGCAAATGCTGAGAGATTTTGTCACCGCCAGGCCTGCCCTAAAAGAGCTCCTGAAGGAAGCACTAAACATGGAAAGGAACAACCAGTACCAGCCACTGCAAAATCATGCCAAATTGTAAAGACCATTGAGGCTAGGAAGAAACTGCATCAACTAACGAGCAAAATAACCAGCTAACATCATAATGACAGGATCAGAGTCACACATAATAATATTAACTTTACATGTAAATGGACTAAATGCTCCAATTAAAAGACACAGACTGGCAAATTGGATAAAGAGTCAAGACCCATCATTGTGCTGTATTCAGGAAAACCATCTCATGTGCAGATATACATACAGGCTCAAAATAAAAGGATGGAGAAAGATCTACCAAGCAAATGGAAAACAAAAAAAGGCAGGGGTTGCAAACCTAGTCTCTGATAAAACAGACTTTAAACCAACAAAGATCAAAAGAGACAGGGCCATTACATAATGGTAAAGGGATCAATTCAACAAGAAGAGCTAACTATCCTAAATATATATGCACCCAATACAGGAGCACCCAGATTCATAAAGCAAGTCCTGAGTGACCTACAAAGAGACTTAGACTCCCACATAATAATAATGGGAGACTTTAACACCCCACTGTCAACATTAGACAGATCAACGAGACAGAAAGTTAACAAGGATACCCAGGAACTGAACTCAGCTCTGCACCAAGCGGACCTAACAGACATCTACAGAACTCTCCATCCCACATCAACAGAATATACATTTTTTTCAGCACCACACCACACCTATTCCAAAATTGACCACATACTTGGAAGTAAAGCTCTCCTCAGCAAATGTAAAAGAAGAGAAATTATAACAAACTATCTCTCAGACCACAGTGCAATCAAACTAGAACTCAGGATTAAGAAACTCACTCAAAACTGCTCAACTACATGGAAACTGAACAACCTGCTCCTGAATGACTACTGGGTACATAAGGAAATGAAGGCAGAAATAAAGATGTTCTTTGAAACCAATGAGAACAAAGACACAACATACCAGAATCTCTGGGACACATTCAAAGCAGTGTGTAGAGGGAAATTTATAGCACTAAATGCCCACAAGAGAAAGCAGGAAAGATCCAAAATTGACACCCTAACATCACAATTAAAAGAACTAGAAAAGCAAGAGCAAACACATTCAAAAGCTAGCAGAAGGCAAGAAATAACTAAAATCAGAGCACAACTGAAGGAAATAGAGACACAAAAAACCCTTCAAAAAATTAATGAATCCAAGAGCTGTTTTTTGAAAGGATGAACAAAATTGATAGACCGCTAGCAAGACTAATAAAGAAGAAAAAAAGAAAAGAATCAAATAGACGCAATAAAAATGGTAAAGGGGATATCACCACCGATCCCACAGAAATACAAACTACCATCAGAGAATACTACAAACACCTCTACACAAATAAACTAGAAAATCTAGAAGAAATGGATAAATTCCTGGACACATACACTCTCCCAAGACTAAACCAGGAAGAAGTTGAATCTCTGAATAGACCAATAACAGGCTCTGAAATTGTGGCAATAATCAATAGCTTACCAACCAAAAAGAGTCCAGGACCAGATGGATTCACAGCCGAATTCTACCAGACGTACAAGGAGGAACTGGTACCATTCCTTCTGAAACTATTCCAATCAACAGAGAAAGAGGGAATCCTCCCTAGCTCATTTTATGAGGCCAGCATCATCCTGATACCAAAGCCGGGCAGAGACACAACCGAAAAAGAGAATTTTAGACCAATATCCTTGATGAGCATTGACGCAAAAATCTTCAATAAAATACTGGCAAACCGAATCCAGCAGCACATCAAAAAGCTTTCCACCATGATCAAGTGGGCTTCAACCCTGGGATGCAAGGCTGGTTCAATATACGCAAATCAATAAATGTAATCCAGCATATAAACACAACCAAAGACAAAAACCACATGATTATCTCAATAGAGGCAGAAAAGGTCTTTGACAAAATTCAACAACCTTCATGCTAAAAACTCTCAATAAATTAGGTATTCATGGGACGTATCTCAAAATAATAAGAGCTATCTATGACAAACCCACAGCCAATATCATACTGAATGGGCAAAAACTGGAAGCATTCCCTTTGAAAACAGGCACAAGACAGGGATGCCCTCTCTCACCACTCCTATTCAACATAGTGTTGGAAGTTCTGGCCAGGACAATCAGGCAGGAGAAAGAAATAAAGGGTATTCAATTAGGAAAAGAGGAAGTCAAATTGTCCCTGTTTGTAGATGACATGATTGTATATCTAGAAAACCCCATCGTCTCAGCCCAAAATCTCCTCAAGCTGATAAGCAACTTCAGCAAAGTCTCAGGATACAAAATCAATGTACAAAAATCACAAGCATTCTTATACACCAACAACAGACAAACAGAGAGCCAAATCATGAGTGAACTCCCATTCACAATTGCTTCAAAGACAATAAAATACCTAAGAATCCAACTTACAAGGGATGTGAAGGACTTCTTCAAGGAGAACTACAAACCACTGCTCAACGAAATAAAAGAGGATACAAAGAAATGGAAGAACATTCCATGCTCATGGATAGGAAGAATCAATATCATAAAAATGGCCATACTGCCCAAGGTAATTTATAGATTCAATGCCATCCCCATCAAGCTACCAATGACTTTCTTCACAGAACTGGAAAAAACTACTTTAAAGTTCATATGGAACCAAAAAAGAGCCCACATCACCAAGTCAATCCTAAGCCAAAAGAACAAAGCTGGAGGCATCACGCTACCTGACTTCAAACTATACTACAAGGCTACAATAACCAAAACAGCATGGTACTGGTACCAAAACAGAGATATAGATCAATGGAACAGAACAGAGCCCTCAGAAATAACGCCGCATAGCTACAACTATCTGATCTTTGACAAACCTGAGAAAAACAAGCAATGGGGAAAGGATTCCCTATTTAATAAATGGTGCTGGGAAAACTGGCTAGCCATATGTAGACAGCTGAAACTGGATCCCTTCCTTACACCTTATACAAAAATTAATTCAAGATGGATTAAAGACTTAAATGTTAGACCTAAAACCATAAAAACCCTAGAAGAAAACCTAGGCATTACCATTCAGGACATAGGCATGGGCAAGGACTTCATGTCTAAAACACCAAAAGCAATGGCAACAAAAGCCAAAACTGACAAATGGGATCTAATTAAACTAAAGAGCTTCTGCACAGCAAAAGAAACTACCATCAGAGTGAACAGGCAACCTACAAAATGCAGAAAATTTTCGCAACCTACTCATCTGACAAAGGGCTAATATCCAGAATCTACAATGAACTCAAACAAATTTACAAGGAAAAAACAAACAACCCCATCAAAAAGTGGGCAAAGGACATGAACAGACACTTCTCAAAAGAAGACATTTATGCAGCCAAAAAACACATGATAAAATGCTCACCATCACTGGCCATCAGAGAAACGCAAATCAAAACCACAATGAGATACCATCTCACACCAGTTAGAATGGCAGTCATTAAAAAGTCAGGAAACAACAGGTTCTGGAGAGGATGTGGAGAAATAGGAACACTTTTACACTGTTGGTGGGACTGTAAAATAGTTCAACCATTGTGGAAGTCAGTGTGGTGATTCCTCAGGGATCTAGAACTAGAAATACCATTTGACCCAGCCATCCCATTACTGGGTATATACCCAAAAGACCATAAATCATGCTGCTATAAAGACACATGCACACGTATGTTTATTGCGGCACTATTCACAATAGCAAAGACTTGGAACCAACCCAAATGTCCAACATTGATAGACTGGATTAAGAAAATGTGGCACATATACACCATGGAATACTATGCAGCCATAAAAAAGGATGAGTTCATGTCCTTTGTAGGGACATGGATGAAATTGGAAATCATCATTCTCAGTAAACTATCGCAAGGACAAAAAACCAAACACTGCATGTTCTCACTCATAGGTGGGAATTGAACAATGAGAACACATGGACACAGGATGGGGAACATCACACTCTGGGGACTGTTGTGGGATGGGGGGAGGGGGGAGGGATAGCATGAGGAGATATACCTAATGCTAAATGACAAGTTAATGGGTGCAGCACACCAGCATGTCACATGTATACACACGTAACTAACCTGCAGATTGTGCACATGTACCCTAATACTTAAAGTATAATAATAATAAAATAAAAAATAAATAAACAAATAATAATAATAAAAATAAAATATTGGTTGATGGACCGATGGCCCTTTAGTACAAAGAAAAGAACTACATTTTTTTCTAAGTATATAATAAAAATATTTATTTGACAAAAAAAAGAAAAGAAATCTCTCTACAGTTATTTATTAATTTCAAAGGGGGAAAACAGTAACTTTAAGTGGATAATCTGGAAGACACCAGCTTAAGCCATGTGCCTTCTGACACAATGCACTGAGACAGATACAATATTGCTTCTGTAATGTTCCTACTACTGAAAATAAATGACCCTAATCATTAGGTGACACCAACCTAACTTAAATTTAAGGACTTTCTACAAAATAACAGGCTGTACTCTTTTAAATATGCCAGCATCCTTCAAGACAAAGAAAGGTAACCCCAGATTAAGAGAAATTGAAAAGACATGACAGCAAAATGCGATGTGTGATCTCAGTTTGGATGGTGGAAAGGATGGACTATTGTTTAGATAACAATAACATGTGAATGTTAAATGTACTGATTTCGATCATTGCCCTGTGAGTATTTAAAAGAACGACTTGGTTCTTAGGAAATACACACTGAAGTATTTGGGGATAAAGGTCTACAATATCTCACTCACTGAACCTGGGACATGGTGAGCATCAAAATAAACAATGACAGTAATAAATTATAACCCAATGAACAAAAGGAAGAATCCACGAATCCACATAGGTATAAATAAATACATACTCAATATATATATAAAAGGAAATAAAATGCTTTTCCTTACAATAAAATTACTCTCAAATAGTTCAGAAAGAGAAGTTGTGTGAATGAGAGAACACACACAAATGACAAAGCAAGTAGGGGAAATGACAACAATTGGTGAATCTTAGCAAAGGAGAGTTTGAATGAAATATGCCAACAGCAAGCACTGAGATGGAAAGGCAAGTAGA